>NC_000004.12:187709259-188012290 GCF_000001405.40 Homo sapiens | reverse complement strand
GGCTGGAGTGCGGTGGCGCGATCTCGGCTCCCTGCAAGCTCCGCCTCCCGGGTTCCCGCCATTCTCCTGCCTCAGTCTCCCGAGTAGCTGGGACTACAGGCGCCCACCACCACGCCCGGCTAATTTTTTGTATTTTTAGTAGAGACGGGGTTTCACTGTGTTAACCAGGATGGTCTCGATCTCCTGACCTTGTGATCCCCCTGCCTCAGCCTCCCAAAGTGCTGGGATTACAGGCGTGAGCCACCGCCCCCGGCCAGAATTTGCAGGCATCTTTAATCTGCCTAAGTGTAAGACCTATTGAGTACATACACATACTCCATAAAGCTTTCCCCTCTACAAAAATATCACTACCATGCGGAGTCCTCAACAGTCTGCAAACAGATAAGAATGGGATGCTATTACACATACTGCATACAACTTTAACTTTTTTATATTTAACGGTGAGAATAATTAAAATGCCCTCAAGTTTTATTACTTCTTTGACGTGTATATGTGTATTTTATGACAAACATTTTAAGTTGCATGGAGCACACAGTATGCTTTTAATGACATATAACTAAAATCTTAGGAGCATTAAGAATAGTTTATTAATGCCCAGGGGATCATTCTAGTCTAATACCTTTGATTTACTAAAGTCACAAAAGTTATGTTGGCTTGTTTTATGAATATAATTTTAGCCACATGGTAAAGTATAGCTTTGTACAGGTGTTCTCACATGTCTGGTCCACTGACATCTAAGAAATTCAACTCCGGGGTTATGGAGAGAAGAAGCAAAAGACCTAATAAAAACCACATGTTAACCATTAATGTTCATTTACCAAATCTTGCTTAAACTCTTGTACTCTCAAAGCTAATTTCATCCAACTGCCTTTTAATTATAGTCTCTTGCTCAGAGTTGCAAATATAATGGCTTTTTAATATGACTTGCACTGTTCTGTGTCCAGTGTAGGAGGTAATCATGCAATTTATTCAGTCAGAGCCAGTGCATTAGGTAATTAAAACACAAGCACATACAGATTCCTGCACGTGCATATAGCCAGCAAAAAATGATCTGAGAAACAAGAGTATTTGTCAACAATATAACAACCTGACAAATTTGCTTTCAGATAGAATTCTGTAAATCCTATGTCCACAAATGTATATTGTAGCTGTGGTGAAATACAGGAGTCAGATATCACTGGGAGAGCTGTGCACATATCGCACGGTATAAAACAACTGATTTGAACAAGTAGGAATGTAAGTGATATCACCATCGAATACAGTCTTGGTAATAATTCTTCATACTGGTTAGTTCTTCATTATTCAAGATGCTGGAAGATGAACAAACCCTCAGTCCCCTGCCTCTTACAGAGAAGGAAGGCAGAAAGGAATGATAATGAGATTTAAGATTATTTTCACTATTAATGAAGATGATCAAACAAAATAATTGAAGAACTCTTAGTGGAGATTACTTTTGGAAAACAGGAATAGATGTGTGCATGTGTTATATGTATATGCACACACAGACACATTTTTTTCTTTTAGTGAGAATATGTTAGTCTATTAAAGTTGCTTACCTTTATTTCAGAGTATTCATATTTTATATAAAAATAAGTAACACGGCTGGGCATGGTGGCTCACGCCTGTAATCCCAGCACTTTGGGAGGCCGAGGCGGGCAGATCACGAGATCAGGAGATCGAGACCATCCTGGCTAACACAGTAAAACCCCGTCTCTACTGAAAATACAAAAAGTTAGCCAGGCGTGGTGGCATGCGCCTATAGTTCCAGCTACTCAGGAAGCTGAGGCGGGAGAATCGCTTGAACCTGGGAGGCGGAGGTTGCAGTGAGCCAAGATTGCACCACTGCACTCCAGCCTGGTGACAGAGCGAGACTCCGTCTCAAAAAAAAAAAAAAAACAAAACAAAACAGTAACAGTTTCCTTATTGGCCATTTTGGGTTATATTTTTAATTTAATTTTGATAATTTTATTAAGGTACTTTTAAAGCATATTAAGCTCCATTTTTACATTTATTCATTCCATAATTTACTAAGTGCCTCCTATTGCCTGTATTAGTGATACCAAGAAAGCAGTGGACTCTGCCTTAAGATTTTCAGTTTTTTAATCAGCTGTCGTTCTTTACAGCAGTTACTGTCTATCAGAAAAAGAAACCAAGAAAACAGTCCCGTTTAGAATGAATCCAAAAGAATAAAATACTTAAGAATAAATGGAACAGAGGAAGTGAAAGATACAAATGCCAGAAAGTGTAAACATTGCTGAAAAAACTGAAGACACAAATAAATGGAAAGATATCCTATGTTCACGGGTTGGAAGAATATTGTTAAAATGTCTGTATCGCCTAAAGCAATCTACAGATTCCATGCAATTCCTATCAAAATACCAATGTCATTTTCCACAGAAATGGTGCAGTGGCGCGATCTCAGCTCACTGCAACCTCCGCCTCCCGAGTTCAAGCAATTCTCCTGCCTCAGCCTCCCAAGTAGCTGGGATTACAGGCACCTGCCACCATGCCCGGCTAATGAAAAAAGAATCTTTTTATTTAATTTTTCTTTTTTTTTTTCCTTAAGAGAAGGGGTCTCACCCTATTGCCCAGGCTGGAGAGCATCGGCAGGATCACAGCTCATTGTAACCTTGAAGTCCTGGGCTCAAGCAATCCTCCTGGCTCAGCCTCTCAAAGTATTGAGATTACAGGTGTTAGCCACCATGCCTGGACAGAAGATGCAATTCTATAATTTGCTTAGAACCACGGAAGACCCTGAATAGCCAAAAAACATTTTGAGAAAGAAAAATAAAGTTAGAAGCATTACATTCCCTTATTTCAAATTATATTACAAAGCTACAGTAATCAAAATATTACAATACTAGCATAAAAACAGACACACAGATGAAAGGAACAGAACAGAGAACCCAGAAATTAACCCAAAAGCATATATAAGAATTTTCATCAAGAAAAACAAAAAGACACAATGGGGAAAAGGCACTCTCTTCAATAAATGGTATTGGGAAAACTAGATATTCACAAGCAAAATGAAACTGGACCATTATCTTACACCATACACACAAAAACCAACTCCAAGCAAAAATTAGCAAGTGGGGCTACATCAAACTAGAAAGCTTCTGAATGGCAAAGAAAACATCCACAAAATGAAAAG
Source organism: Homo sapiens (assembly GCF_000001405.40). NCBI lineage: Eukaryota > Metazoa > Chordata > Mammalia > Primates > Hominidae > Homo > Homo sapiens. Next base: position 188,009,139 of record NC_000004.12, on the reverse strand, counting down.
GCAGCCTATGGGTTGGGAGAAAATATTTGCAAATCATTTACCTGATAGGAGTTAATATTAAAAAAATACAAGGTGCCCACACAACTCACCCCCCAAAAAAACAACTTGATTAAAAAAATGGTGAAAGGGTCAGGCATGGTGGCTTACACCTGTAATCCCAGTACTCTGGGAGGCGGAGACAGGAGGATCGCTTGAGGTCAGGAGTTCAAGACTAGCCTGAACAACATAGCAAGACCTCGTCTCTCAAAAAAAAAAAAAAAAAAAAAAAGAAAGAAAAAAAAAGGCAAAGGACTTGAACAGACATAGCGCAAAAGACACACAAATATATGAACAGGTGTTCAACGGCACTCATTGTCAGAGAAATGCAAACCAAACCACAGTGAAACACTCCCTCACACCTGTCAGAATGGCCACTATCAAAGAGACAAGAAACAGCAAGTGTTGACAAAGATGTGGAGAAAAGTGAATTCTTGCAGACTGTTGGTGGGAAAGTAAGTTAGTACAGCCATTGTGGAAAGCAGGATGGGAATTCCTCAAAACACTAAAAGTACGACTACCATATGGGCCAGCAATTCCCTTTCTGGGCATATAGCCAAAGGAAATGAAATCACCACCGCACGAAGCTATCTGCACGTCCATCTTCATTGCAGCATCATTCACCACGGCCAAGAAATGAAACAATCCACATGTCCATCAACAGATGAATAAGGAAATCGTGGTGCACATACGTACAACGGAATATTATTCAGACTTAAAAAAGGAGATAACTGCCTTTGCTACAACATAAACTGGAAAAATAAACCAAACATGGAAAGAAAAACACTACATAATCTCACTGATATGTGGAAACTAAACAAACAAACAAAAAAGGCAAATACATAGAAACAGCGCAGAAATGGTAGTGACCAGGAATGCAGAGGTAGAGGAGGGAGAAATAGGGAGCAACAGACAAGGGTCTATGCTTGCAGTTAGATAGCATGGGTCTAGAAACCTAACGCACAGCATGAAGAAGCAGTTAATAATGTAGTATTCATTACCAAAAATTTGCTGAAAGTAGATTTTAGGTGCTTACTACACACACAAAAGATAACTGAAAAAGGGGACAATGGGTTAATTTTCTTTTCTTTCTTTCTTTTTTTTTTTTTTTTGAGACGGAGTCTCGCTCTGTTGCCCAGGCTGGAGTACAGTGGCGCCATCTCAGCTCGCTGCAAGCTCCGTCTCCCGGGTTCACGCCATTCTCCTGCCTCAGCCTCCCCAGTAGTTGGGACTACAGGCACCAGCCACCACGCCCGGCTAATTTTTTGTATTTTTAGTAGAGACGGGGTTTCACTGTGTTAGCCAGGATGGTCTCTATCTCCTGACCTCGTGATCTGCCCACCTCGGCCTCCCAAAGTGCTGGGATTACAGGCGTGAGCCACCGCGCCAGGCCATGGGTTAATTTTCCTGACAGTAATCATTTCACTATATGCATATCAAAACAGCACACCTTTTTTTTTTTTGAGACAAGAGTCTCACACTGTCCCCCAGGCTGGAGTGCAGTGGCACCATCTCTGCTCACTGCAACCTCACCCTCCCAGGTTCAAGAGATTCTCCTGCCTCAGCCTCCCATGTAGCTGGGATTACAGGTGCGCACCACCACACCAGGCTAATCTTTGTATTTTTAGTAGAGATAGAGTTTTGCCATGCTGGCCATGCTGGTCTTGCACTCCTGACCTCAGGTGATCCGCCCACCTTGGCCTCCCAAAGTGCTGGCATTACAGGCATGAGCCACTGCGCCTGGCCCAGCACATACATCTTAAACAAACATGATAAAAAATGTAAAAAACCCTACACATGTAAGATTCTGTTTGTTGTTTATGGGCCATGAAGCCAAATGCCAGCTTGAAAACCGAAAAACATTTTATTCATTTATCAGGATTTGGGGTCTGTCAAATGCCAGTGCCTGGAAAGGTGAAAAGCTAGATGAACTGAGACTTTTTTTCAGTTTTCTCTGGGTATGTGTTCAGGTTATCTTGTGTTCGTTCTTACTTAAAACACAAATGTGGAGAGTCTATGTACATTTCTTCCTGAACCATAAACAAAGGATTTCAGGTGACATATCCTCATATATCCTCATTAGCTAACCTCCTTTTCCTTTTTTTTTTTTTTTGTTTCCATTGCATCCACATGCATCTTACATCCACATTGCATCCACATGCATCCTCTTACATTCTTAGCAGTTTTAGGGTTCCTTTTTGGAAGAAAAGCAAAAACAAGAACAGCTAGGAAGCTAGCTAAGTAGCACCCTATTCCTCAGTCAGGATTTAACTAAGCCTTGGGATCCAGATACACAAGCATTTTCTCAGATTGCTGTTTCTTACACATTTAAGCTTTAGAGTTGTTAACAGGGAGTTTCGGACCCTTCAGCTCTAGAAAAGAGCTGAACAGGAACAGCCATCTGAGAACAGCAAGAGGGATGGAGACTGGCTCCCGCTATGTAAAGGCTGATCTACCTTTTAGAAATGCTCATGGTTCAGGAAGAAGCATCTCCATCCATCCCTCTCGGTGCCCTGCATCTCGGCTCTCCAGCTTGCAGCCTAAACCCTGCCCCTGACTTCCTCTGGCCTTGAGGGCTGCTATTCAGTCCTGCCTTTTGCCTGGTCTTCAGAGGTGCTCTGTGCTAATTCATCTCTGAAGTAGAAACCCACAGAAGAGCAAATCAAACACAGTGCTACGAAAGCAAAACTAGCTGAGAATATGCTTTGTCATCTTGATCAAATACCAAATTCCCATCTCAAGTTCTATACTCAGGTGTTTGATTTGGAGGAAATTCCACTTACAAATGGATTATGTACCCAGTGTTCCTCACTCAGTACCCACATTCCTGTAAAAATGATACTAGAAATTCTAGACCAAATTAAGAAGTAATTTCCATAGTCCATAGTAGCAATTAGCTCATACTGACGTCAAAATGTAAGCCTTTGATTTTTTTTACTTGTTTTAAAGACATATTTTAGACTTTGGCATTTTAGAAATCAAGATTAATCTTAAGTTTGATATATTTACTTAGTGTGGTATTGTTATTTCCTGAAAAGCCATTAAATTAATGGTACACTTAGCACTACCTCCAGAGATGTCTTAAATCTTAAAATCAAATAAGCATTTCAAGTTTGATGGCAGCATATTTTTGGCCATTATGAGATGATTCCAATCAGGGATTCACTTAATAATGATAAAAATGAGTTAACCCCTACATTAGATCAGCTACCTTCAGACAATTTCTCCCTTTATCCGTATGTAACTACTTTCTCTGAATTTCCTTCCACAGCAAGAAAATACACCAGATCCCGTCTCATCTGTTAGTAACAAGAAACTTCCTCTTTGTGGCTTGCCTCCAGCTGTGACCCTCTCCCTGAAGGAGACTTGCACATTTGCTGTTGAACAAAAGTGGCATGAATTATGCAGCCCATATCCCCTTAATGAACATTTACGTTATGGGTTTATCACTATTAAAAATACTATTCAGTTAACATTCTTGAACAGATCCCTTTGTACATTAGTACAAATAACCTCAGTACCTCAGAATGTGACTTTATTTGAAGGTAGGGTCTTCAGAGTTTGTCAAGTTAACATGAGGTCATCAGCACGGGTGATAATCCCACATGACTGGTGTCCCTGTTCGGACACAGGCAGAGTGAAGGGATGTGGGGATACAGGGTGAATGCCATGTGAACACGAGACAGTCACTTAAAGCCAAAAAGGGAGGCCTGGGCCAGTCCTTCCCTCCCAGCCTCAGAAGGAACCAACCCTGCCAACACCTGGGTTTTGGACCTCTAGCCTCTGGAACCGAGACAATACATTTCTGCTAAGTTACCTAGCTTGGGAGTACTGCTACGGCAGCTCAAAAACGAATATAGCACAATTACAAAATTTATTTCCAAACTGGCTGTGACAGTTTATCCCTTATCCAACCACACGTAAGCCCAACTTCCCGCCATATCTCACCTATACCGAACATCAGTCTGTTGAATTTTGCTAAGTTTTAAGAACAAATAAATGGTATCTCTTTTCAATGTAGACTTTGATTTTTTAAAATACAGACTTGGCATATTTCTGAAGTTTCATATTCTTTAATTGTGAAATATCTAAAATGGATTCAAATGGACTAACATTATCAAATAATCACATCTAACCATATGATTTCCATATAGTTTGATACAATGATAAAAAGAAAACAAAAATCACAATGAAATACAGTTGACTTTAAGGAATATTTAACTACTGATTCATTTATTGACTATCTACTGCAAATTTTTCATTCTCTAGGGCTATGACATGAACCATGAAGTATATTTTTAATTTTTACTTTTTTTAAAAGATGGGCTCTTGCTGTTATCCAGTCTGGAGTACAGTGGTGCAATCACAGCTCACTGTAGCCTCAAACTCCTGGGCTCAAGCTATCCTCCTGCTTCAGCCTCCTGAGTAGCTGGGAACACAGGCGTATGCAACCAGGCCTAGCTAAGTTTAAACATGTTGTGGGGGGCCAGGCACAGTGGCTCACACCTGTAATCCCAGCACTTTGGGAGGCCGAGGTGGGCAGATCACTGGAGGTCAGGAGTTTGAGACTAGCCTGGCCAACATGGTGAAACCCCATCTCTACTAAAAATACAAAAATTAGCCGGGCGTGGTGACACACACCTGTAGTCCCAGCTACTTGGGAGGCTGAGGCCAGAGAATCACTTGAACCCGGGAGGTGGAGGTTGCAGTGAGCCAAGATCACGACACTAGACTCCAGCCTGGGTGACAGAGCGAGACGCCTACCAACAAAAACAAAAATAAAAATATATAAATACAAATAAAAACAAATTTTTTTGTAGAGACAGGATCTCACTATGTTGCCCAGGCTGGTCTGGAACTCCTGGCCTCAAGCTATCCTCCTGCTTTGGCCTCCCAACAAAGTGTTGGGATTACAGGCATCAGTCACTATGCCTGGCTGAAGTATAAATTTAAAAGGCAAAAGCTAAGAAATGGAAACTACACAATTAAAAATCAAAGTTATTTTCATATTTATAGTACATGAAAATAAGTCTTATATCCAATAATCCAACAGATAATATATTGAAGGTTATGCTTTTGAAAATTTATCACTGACCTTCCTGTTGGAAGCACACTTTAAGAACACACAAAGTTCTAAATAAAACAAATAAAAAAAGTTCTAAATAAAACAAATAAAAGAAAAAAAAATGCACCATGTCCTTAAAACGGTATCACAAAGTGTAGGAGCATCTTAGTAACACCAAATTATAACCGCTTTTGGGGTTGCAATATTGATTTAGAAATTCCTTCCTAGAAACAATAATCAATGAGGCATGTTTGTCACTGATCACTCTTCTGTTAATCTGCTTCATCCTGTTGGAGGACTACTTTCCCTCTTGTTCATTCTTGTTCGTATTTGCATGCGTTAGGATGTGGGCTTTCAGGTTATTTGACTGAATAAACCTCCTGTTGCAGCCTTGAAAGGGACACACGAAACGTTTCTCCCCCGTGTGGATGCGCACGTGCGTACGCAAATTAAAGTCCAGAGAGAAGCGCTTTCCGCACCCTTCAAAAGTGCACCGAAACGGCTTCTCTCCAGTATGAACCAGGAAATGTCTCTTTAGTTTTGAGCTCTCAACGAACGCTTTCCCACATTCCGCACAGACGTGGTCTCGGGGACCATGAATGAGGAGATGCTTTCTCAGGGCAGCTCTATTCCTCAACTTCCTAGTGCATCCACTCTGAGGACAAGCGATTGCGCTCAGACTGTCATATTCTTTATTTATGGGGGGCTTCTTTCTAGCAAATTCTGCGAGCTGTTTAGGATCTGATAGGTCAATGCCAGGTATTCCTCCAGGCGGAAGCTTCTTGCCTGTCATGTACTCAGAATACTCAAGCGAATTCTCTCCAACTATCTTTTGTGGAAGCTCTTTCTTTACCCCTTTTTTCATGTATTCCAAAGAACATTCAAGGGAGCTTGCTTCGAAAACCTTTTGAGAAAGCTGTTGTTCTGATCCTTTCTTTAGGTATTCCAAGGACTCAAAAAGTGAGTCCTCTTCCAGGATGGGTTGAGAAAACTCACCCCTTATGACGCATTCTATGTAACAGTCTGAGAAATCATCCCCTCCGAGAGCCTGAGGGCCAGGCTCATAGCACACATAGCCATCACATAAGGCCCACACCGCGCTGACAGGTTCTATTTCCGCCTGCAGGTCTTGGCTTGACTTGCCTTGCCTGGGCTTAGCCCCACTGGGGGCTCTTCCACCCAGGCCTTTCTGGTGTCTTGTCTTTGCCCGTTTCTTCAGTTGCTGGCTCATGTTTTCCTGCCTGTGCCCTTCTTGAAGGTTTACACCAGGATATATCAACCACCTCCAGGCAGTAGTGATCTGAGTAAGCTGTCTTCAGCAAACACCTGCTTTATGATAATAACCTTTAGTTAAAATAGATTCCAGTATTAGAGCCACTGTCAAAAAATGACCTAAGACACATTTTCCAATAATACATTTGTCTTCTCTGATAAACTAACCAAGAGACCAAGAATGAGCTCTGTGTAAGACATGAGTCATAAACAGATCTTATCTGGGTGTCCCCACAAGTTATTGGAACCCTCTATATCTAATTGCTCACCTGACACGTGTTGGGTGGGACTATGTGCTAGCTCTATTTTAGGCTACACAGTTTGTGATCCATCAGTAAACAGGCATACAAACATCTATGCCTCCATGGAGTAGACATACTCATGAGCATAGAAAATAAGCAATGTATGCCACGTTAGAAGGTGACTAAGTGTGAAAGAGTAAGCAAAGGGGCTGGTAGGAAACAGAAGCCTGCAATATTAAATAGGGCACTCGGGCAAACCTTCACTAGGGTGGTAAGTGGCAGTTGGTTAAAAGCCTGAAGGCGGTGAGGGAGCAAAATACTGTCTTTTCTTTTTCTTCTTTTTTTTTGGAGACGGAGTCTCACTCTGTCGCCCAGGCTGGAGTGCAGTGGTGCAATCTTAGCTCATTGCAACCTCCACCTCCCGGGTTCAAGCAATTCTCCTGCCTCAGCCTCCCAAGTAGCTGGGATTACAGGCGCACGCCACCACGCCTGGCTACTTTTTCTAGTTTTAGTAGAAATGGGGTTTCACCATGTTGGTCAGGCTGGTCTGGAGCTCCCGACTTCGTGATCCGCCTGCCTCGGCCTCCCAAAGTGCTGGGATTACAGGCGTGAGCCACCATGCCTGGCCCTATTGTTTTCTTATGTAATACTGTTATGAAATTCAAATTAAATAACGCATGCAAAGTGCTTAGCACGGATTATGGTGCACAGCAAATGCTGGCCGCTATGTGAGCTCGTGTTATTTTATTACCTTTTTATTCATTCTACAAGTATATGTTGCATCCTGCTACACGCCAGGTTCTTTCTAGACTGGGGTGGTAAACTATTTCTGCAAAGGGCCAGATTTTAGCTTTGTGGGTCCTGTGGTGTCTGTTGAAACTATTCAACTTTGCCGTTGTAGCACGGCACAGAAGCAGTCAGATAACACATAAAGGAATGAGGGTGGCTGTGTTCCAGTAAAACAGGGAGACTGGCCCATGGGCCATCGTGTGCCCACTCATTGTTCTAAAAAATGGGGATCCAGAGAATAAGACACATGAAATTAATGGTGCTCCCACTTTTAGGAATCCATGCCAAAATAAAGGCACGGGGTAGCTTGGCCCTGAAGACTTTCCTATCATTTCCTTAAACATTTAACAGCAATGACGTTATAAAAGTTATAGCATGAATATGTTATTGCTTTGACTATAAAAGTCTCTTACTTAATGTTACAATTGTGTGCCTGAGAAAAGATCTCCCTATTTATTGTCCTGATGTCTTTCTGTAGGAAGAAAAATTATATGCCTTTAAAAAAGAGGCAAAGGTAAAAGTTGTTGGATGAAAATTAAAATAACCACATTAAAAAAAAAACACCTCAACAGAAGCATGTCATTTACTTTTGGTAAAAAACAAATACATATAATAAAAACAAAATGTGTTCCAACTGTAGGGGAAAAGTTTAAGATTTCTTAAAATGTATTTAAAAATATGTAATACATATATGTTATATGCTACTAATGTTATTTTTTGTGTCCTTTTATTTTATTTTGAGATGGAGTTTCGCTCTTGTTGCCCAGGCTGGAGTACAATGGCGCAATCTCAGCTCACTGCAACCTCCGCCTCTGGGGTTCAAGTGATTCTCCTGCCTCAGGCCCCAAGTAGCTGGGATTACAGGCAGGCGCCCCCCCGCCCCGCCACCACACCCAGCTAATTTGTGTTATTTTTTAGTAGATACGGGATTTCATCATGTTGGCCAGGCTGGTCTCGAACTCCTGACCTCAGGTGATCTGCTCTCCTCGGCTTCTCAAAGTACTGGGATTACAGGCGTGAGCCACTGCGCCAGGCCTGTGTCCTTTAAAAAGGTGAAATTAGGGCTGGGTGCAGTGGCTCGTGCCTGTAATGCCAGCCCTTTGTGAGCACAAGGCTGGCGGATCACCTGAGATCAGGAGTTTAAGACCAGCCTGGCCAATATGGCGGAACCCTGTCTACTAAAAATACAAGAAATTAACTGGATGTGGTGGCGTACACCTGCAATCCCAGCTACTGGCAGGAGATCACTTGAGCCTGGGAGGCGGAGGCAGTGAGCCAAGATTGTGCCACTGCACTCCAGCCTGGACAACAGAGCGACTTTCTCGGAAAAAAAAGAAAAAAAAAGAAAACAAAAATATAGAGGTGAAATTAACCAGGGAGATCTCAAAATATTTATGAAGCACAATATTAGCACCTTTGGAGGGTAATTACTAGGATTAAACACAGAGCTGCTCTCCCCAATTAGTCCATTTAAAAAACAGCTTGTGCATCCCAAATCTGAAAATCTAGGACCTGAAATGCTTAAAGTATGAAACCTTTTTGAGTGCCATCATGACACTTAAAGGAAATTCTCATTGGACCATTTTGGATTTTGAATTTTCGGACTCGGGATGCTCATATTGGGTATTTTGCAAATACTCAAACATTCAAAAAAATCTGATGTCCATAATACTTCTGGTCCCAAGCACTTTGGATAAAAAATACTCAACCTGTAACTGCAATTTAATTGACTGCTGCTTTTCCCTCCAAGCTCACCTCCTGCCATCTATAGCTCTTGTATTTCACTATTCAGCCATAATAAACTTTCTCCAGTAAAGCATCAGATCAGTCCATTACAAATGTTCTTTTTTCTCACTAAAATACCACCTATCCTCCAACACACACACAGAGGCTTGCTTCCCATCCATACTTCAAATGCGCAAACATCACCTCTTCAGGCAGGCTTCCCTGGATTCTTCAGCTCAGTTGAGTCCCAAAGCTAAACGTTCTCCTAGCTCCCTATTTCACACTGATCAGAGCTCTGGTGTCCCTTGCTTCAAGTCTGTCTTACCTGCTGGACTGTGAGCACTACTAGAGTGAAGGCCTCTTCTGTTCTGTTCACACAGGCTCCAGCCTCAGTACATTTGTCTAGTGAGATGAAATCATGAGTATGCATTAGTCATTGTGCTGTTGATCTCTGATTTAACAACCCTATATAATTACTTTACTAGGAATTTATTTGAGAGTTTAGACAATTTAATGTAGAAGTTTCAAAAAAGCTGGCTATTAATGATGCAGGGTGTTACATAGAAAGGAATTTCCTAAGGCCAGGCATGGTGGCTCATGCCTGCAATCCCAGCACTTTGGGAGGCTGAGGTGGGTGGATCCCTTGAGCCCAGGAGTTGGTGACCAGCCTCGGCAAAACGGTGAAACCCCATCTCTACAAAAAAGAAAAAATGAGTCTAATCAGACCACACCTACACTTCAGCTCAGCGATGGTTAGGTCTGAATTCCCAAGGGAGGCCGTGAGTGGGGTGGGTTTGCCTAGTGTGCTGGTGGTCAGCTATTCAGGAGGCTGAGGTGGGAGGATCGCTGGAGCCTGGGAGGCAGGGGTTGCAGTGAGCTGAGATCACACCATTGCACTCCAACCTGGGTGACAGAAAAAAAAGAAAGGCATCTCCTAAGAGAGGTGTTTTCTTTATGAATTTACTAAGGTTCAAGTATGGTCCTTACCTTTCTAAGCTAAATTCTTATTTGTCAGATCTCCGAGCATTATGCTATTTCTCATAGCAGTATACAAGCTTGTGAGGATGACATATAACATTGAAATGGTAATTTATTAATTTACTAAAAGAAAACTATTTATATGGCAAGCCAATTTCTGTTAGCAGAAATAACTAGTCATGCATCACTCGAAGACAGGAATATGTTCTGAGAAATGTATCTTTAGGTTGCTGTGTCATCCTGTGAACATCACAGAGTGTAGCTACGCAGACCCGAATGGCACAGCCTGCAACTCACCCAGGTTACACAGTAGGGCCCATGGCTCCTAGGCTATAAATCTCCACAGCATGTTACAGTTCTGAGTACTGTAGGCAACTGTAACACAACAGTAAGTATTTGCATATAAACATATCCAAACAGAAGAAATACTGTACAAAAGATAAAAAATGGTACACCTGTGTAGGCACATTCCCATAATGGAGCTCACAGTACTGGTAGTGGCTCTGGATGAGTGAGTGAGTGAGTGTTGAGTGAATGAAGGCCTGGGACGCCACTGTACACAACTGTAGGCTTTATAAGCACTGTACACTTAGGCAAATTTTAGAACTTATTTAAAAATTTGTCTTTCCTGAATAATAAATTAACCTTAGCTTACTGTAACTTTTTAAATTCATTTATTTATTTACTTTTTTTTTTGAGACAGAGTTTCCCTCTTGTTGCCCAGGCTGGAGTGCAACAGCGTGATCTCCGCTCACAGCAACCTCCGCCTCCCAGGTTCAGCCGATTCTCCCGCGTCAGCCTCCTGAGTAGCTGGGATTACAGGCATGTGTCACCACGCCCAGCTAATTTCGTATTTTTAGTAGAAATGAGGTTTCTCCACGTTGGTCAGGCTGGTCTCCAACTCCCGACCTCAGGCGATCCGCCTGCCTCAGGCTCTCAAAATGCTGGGATTACAGGCGTGAGCCACCGCGCCCAGACTCTTTTTAACTTTATAAACTTAAAAATGTGCAAACTTCCTGACTCTTTTGTAATAACACTTAGCTTAAAACACAAACATTTTTTCACCTGTACAAAAATATTTTTTCTTTATATTCTTATTCTGTAAAATTTTGTCTGTTTAAAAACTTTTACGTTAAAAACGAAGAGACAAACACACACATGAGCCTAGGCCTACACAAATTCAGGATCATGAAGATGTCACTAGGCCATGGGGATTTTTCAGCTCTTTTATAATCTTATGGGACCACCATAGTACGTGGGGTTGCTCACTGACTGAAACGGCCTTATATGGAACTTGACTGTACATGGAAAACATACTGGTAAAAGCGGATGTGGACGAAATCTTCATATACATTTAGTATTCGTTCTAGGTGCTGAACTTAGGGAAAAAGATGCAAAGTTCCTCGTTAACACAAAGTTTGGTGTGGGACAGACAGTAAAGGGCAAATAAACAAAAAATGTCAGATTGAGAAAAATGCTATTAAAAAAAAGGTCGGGGCGGGGTGGGACCGGGAGCGGTGGCTCACGCTTGTAATCCCACCACTTTGGGAGGCCGAGGCGGGCGGATCACGAGGTCAGGAGATCGAGACCATCCTGGCCAACATGGTGAAACCCTATTAAAAATAAAAAAAATTAGTCGGGCGTGGTGGCGGGCGCCTGTAGTCCCAGCTACTCGGGAGGCCGAGGCAGGAGAATCGCTTGAACCTAGGAGGCGGAGGTTGCAGTGAGCCGAGATCGTGCCACTGCACTCCAGCCCAAGCGACAAGAGCAAAACTCTGTCTCAAAAAAAAAAAAAAAAAAAAAAGAATATGAGAGGGGAAGTAACCGAGGACGCCACCTTCATCATGAATGTCTGGAAAAGGCCCCCAAGGAGGGGGCCATCGGAGCCAGATGTGGGCAGGAGGAAAAGTGCACGGGGGTGGGAAGAGACGAGCGAAGCCTGCTGGTTCCAGGCTGCCGGCGCTCCCCGGGGGCTGCAGGCCATGCTCCATGCTCCACGCTCCATGCTCCATGCTCCACGCTCCACGCTCCATGCTCCATGCTCCCTACAGCTATGGCGGGCAGGAAGGTGGGGGCTGGGGCGAGGCCCAGGCGCGGGGCTGACGGTGAGCCCCGGGACCATTTGCATTTCATCCCAGGTCCCAAGGAAACCATTACAGGGCTTCCAACAAGCAAACAGCAAGTTTTTTTAGGTTAGAAGATGGGCCGGACAGCTGCATGGAGAATGGATTTGGGGAGAACAGAAAAATCTATTAGATTTGGGAATCCCGCGAAGGGCTGCCAGGGGTTTGGAGCAGATGGCGGCAGAGGAGATGAAATGCAGGGAGAGCGGGAAAACAGGAGAAAGAACCACCCCCTCGCCCTGCAGCTCGCCGGTGGATTGGATGAAGAGCGGAAGGGAAACAGGAATCAAGAATGAGTCTCGCCCGGCGCGGTGGCTCACGCCTGTAATCTCAGCACTTTGGGAGGCTGAGGCGGGCGGATCATCTGAGGTCACGAGTTCGAGACCAGCCTGACCAACATGGTGAAACCCCGTCTCTACTAAAATACAAAAATTAGCCGGGCGCAGTGAAGGGCGCCTGTAATCTCAGCTACTTGGGAGGCTGAGGCAGGAGAATCCCTTGAACCCGGGAGACGGAGGTTGCAGTGAGCCGAGATCGCGCCATTGCACTCCAGCCTGGCAACAGAGCGAGACTGTCTCCAAAAAAAAAGAAAAAAGAAAAGAAAGAGTCTCCTAGGTTTTTTGCTAGAGTAATTTGAGTTGGGGGTATTGCCATCTCCAGAGATAAGAGGAGAGGAAAAGAAAGGGAAGAGACTGGTGTCTTGATCACAATGTAAGCATGTTAATATAGAAAAGACTTAGCCAGATATTGTAAGGAAACATATTTACATGAAGTTTTGAAATAAAATAAAAAATGCAATTTAGGAAATCACCGCCAGACACTTGCTTTCTTGAGAGTGTATTACTTGCCCATCTGCCCGTTTTCAACATTTGAGGCCAGTGGCCAGCCACGGGTCACCGCAGGGCGAGGGCTACAAGTCTCCCGGCGAGGCCGGCTCCGGCCTGGTCCCAGGATGAGAACACGCTTCCCCTCCCTGACTATCTAACCCCTTTGACCGACACATTCCAAGTAGTGAGCAACACAACCCCCTTCTCCCCATTTGAAAAAAGTTCCATGAAACAAGACTCACCCCTGTTACCGCGAAGCACTCTGCTATTTCCAATGCCACCTCCTCCCAAACGTAAAACAAAGGAGAAACTGCAGTGGAAACGTGGACTGCCCTGCGCCCCCTCCCAAGACCCACCCTCCGGACTGACGCGGTCTAATCAGGCTACAGCCACCCATCAGCTCCGCCAGGGTTAGGGAGGGCGTGGCCGGCCCCGCCCTGGGGCGCCGCCCTGGAGCCACCTGGCCCGCGCGTTCACTCTCTGCCCGGAGCCGCCTGGCACCTGGGCGGCGCGCTCACCCTCAGCCCGGGGCCCCCAGGCACCCGGCCCGCACGCAAACCCTCAGCCCGGGGCCCCCTGACCCCCGCGTTCACCCCTCAGCCCGGCCGCCGGGCACTGCGCATCCGCCACGTGGCAGCGCCTCCAGAGCCCAGACGCCCGGCGTTGGCACGTGGTGAGCGCTCAATAAATGTCTGTTGAACAAATACGCGTGGGTGTAATCACATTTACCCTTTTAGGCCGGACGCGGTGGCTCACGCCTGTCGTCCCAGCACTTTGGGAGGCCGAGACGGGGGGATCACATGAGGTCAAGCGTTCGAGACCAGCCTGGCCAACATGGCGAAACCCCGTCTCTACCGAAAAATACAAAAATTAGCCAGGCATGGTGGTGCTCGCCTGTAATCCCAGCTACTCAGGAGGCTGAGGCAGGAGAATCGCTTGAACCCGGGATGCGGAGGTTGCAGTGAGCCGAGATCGCGCCACTAAGCTCCAGCCTGGGTGATAGAGCGAGGCTCCATCTCAATAGAACAAAACAAAACATTTACGCTTTTGCAGATCGAGGAAAAAAATCAAGCGGAGGAGGCAGTTTTTACCCCCCGAAATAGAGGTTGACTCGAACGCAAACCCCCACACCTTTCCCACCCCACCCTACCCCCAGTTGTTTCAAACACCCCCAGTGTTTGTTTTCTTTTTTCTTTTTCTGGCCATTAATGTGACTGTATTGCTAAAGGCAACACAACTCACTTTGAAAGCAATGGTCAGTCAACGCTCACTATTGGCTACAGTCTAGTGAAATGTAATAGGTCGTATAAGTACACCCAGACCATTAGAACGAAACCCAGATCGATATTTAAAAACCTCCTAAATGTTGACTTGAAGCTTTTCTGCATATATATCTGGGAGCAGTTCTCCACTTTTTTCTTTTTTTAAATCTGTTTCTGAATAAGCTTCAATTTTGAGGTTGGCCAATAAAATATAATTTTCCTTCCTTCCTTCCTTCCTTCCTTCCTTCCTTCCTTCCTTCCTTCCTTCCTTCCTTTCTTTTCTTTCTCTTTTTTTTTCTTTTTTGAGACGGAGTCTTTCTCTGTCCCCCAGGCTGGAGTGCAGTGGCACCGTCTCACCTCACTGCAACCTCCGCCTATTTGGTTCAAGTGATTCTCCTGCCTCAGCCTCCCCAGTAGCTGGGATTACAGGCATGCACCACCACGCACGGCTAATTTAGTATTTTTAGTAGAGACAGGGTTTCTCCATGTTGGCAGGCTGGTCCGACCTCAGGTGATCCGCCTGTCTCGGCCTCCCAAAGTGTTGGGATTACAGGCGTGAGCCACTGCGCCTGGCCAATAGGATATAATTTTCAATGAAGGAAATATTTATTATTCCCTGATCTCCTCCAGTAGGCATAGCAGGACCTCTCCATTTGAAATCCGATTTCAATAAAGCTTCCTTAGTTCCTTACCTTAGAATGTATTATTTGCAGACGAGGGTCAGAAAGCCGATTTACCAGTCAGAAGGACTTCCCTCAACTTCCCTCCTTCTGTCTCTATGGCGCCTTGCTGTGGCCTCTTTAGAAACTACAGGGGAATTCCACCAGCCTTTTTTTTTGTTTCCCTTGGAGATAAAAATGTTAACATTTGGGTTTCGATAAGAAATACTTCAATGAACCGAAGAATGTTGACCAGAACCTTCTTTGTAAGCCTTTAAGTGGCAATGTCATTGAAAGCCCCTTTCCTCACTAGATGGAAACACACACACTTAGCTCAAGCCGAGGATCCTTTCTTTGGGTTGTCGGAAACCACCCTTTATCACTCCCTTAACCATTCACACAGTGCATCCCATAAACTAGATTGATTTATAATCGCCTCCCCTACCACTGATTCCATTTGATCGCTTGGGTGTGGCTCTGTTTGGGCATTAGAGACAGCATGTTTAGAAAATCTAATTTTACATTTCACACTCCACCTCTTCCATAGATTATTTTTGCTCCCATTATCGTTTAGCTTTCCTTTCCATGGGCCTGAAGAAGAAACCAAAACGAATGAACTCATCTGTTGTGATATGAACTCAGCTCAAAGGAAATTGAATTTCTCCTAAATGAGCTCGAGAACCAATTAAACCGTGAAACAGAAGTGGGCTGTCTTGAAATTGACCACAAAGAGGTTATGCATAGAAAAAGTGTTGTCCATTGCTGGAATTTTAGTCATAGTGATTCTTCTGCCAGTAACATCATGGTCACTTAAAACACTTGTATTTCGACCATTTTATCTGTGTTACAAATCAATATTTTCCTTAAAACCCTTAAAATGCAAAAACTATAGATATGCATTAATTCACTCTATACAGATTTGAGTTTCTCCCCTACACAGGCGGAGGTTCTAGGCCCTGGTGGATACGTATTCCTGGCCTCCTGGGGTTTGAATGCGGAATGGCCAGGTCAGAACAGGAGGGTAAGAACTAGATTGAGGTGAGTAACTCACTTGTAAACAAAACACCCTCAGTAATCAGTATTAGTAATATTTTAACCTGGCATGTAAAAGAATCAAAATCAACGCAACAATTTATAGAGAACAAAATATCCACATTGTAAATAAAGACAGTCAGAGGATACCAGCCAAATAATCATGATTGTAAGTGTCACAATGCAGCTATTATTAGCACAATGAAGGAGAGGTGCGTGGTGCTGTGGGAGCCACATAGGAGAGCCGGGAAGTTAGGGGAGGTTTCCCTGATCTGCAGGAATCAGCGTGGACGGCAGAGCCTCCCTGACAGGAGAGGGAATAGTTATGGAAGGACCTGAGATGAGTGGAGGCGAGTGTGGAGAGGCTATGCAGGCCCAGACTCTGGGACCCCGTAGGCCATGGGAAGAACTTCGATCTTCAGTCCAGGAGCCCTGGGAACGGAATATTGTAAGAAAACATGCCTTATCTATAAATGCTTATTAACCTTAAACTTGTAAAACATTATTTCATTATTAGAGCTTCAGCTTATTTCTATTTGATTTAGCTAATATAAATTGAATACACGCACAGTCTCATTTTATCTGAAATCAAATTTCTAAAATAGTTATTATTACTGTTATTATAATTTCATTTGCGTTTTAAAATAACCCCGAGGCACAAAGAAACTTTATACAGGAATAAGTTTCTAAACTCAGATTAGAACCCAAGTGTTGGCTGGGCGTGGTGGCTCATGCCTGTAATCCTAGCACTTTTGGAGGCCGAGGCCAGCACATTGCCTAAGCTCAGGAGTTGGAGACCAGCCTGGGCAACATGGTGAAACCCCCTGTCTCTAATAAAATTAAAAAAAAAAAAAGAAAAAAAAAAAGTCAGTCGTGGTGGCGGGCGTCTGTAGTCCCAGCTACTCGGAAGGCTGAGGCAGGAGAATTGCTTGAACCCAGGAGGCAAGGGTTGCAGTGAGCCGAAATTGTGCCGCTGCACTGCAGCCTGGGCGACAGGGCGAGACTCCATCTCCAAAGACAAACGAAAAAAATGAAACAAAAATCCCTCTCCCTCTCTCCCTCTCCCCACGGTCTCCCTCTCCCCACGGTCTCCCTCTCCGTCTCCCTCTCCCCACGGTCTCCCTCTCCCCACGGTCTCCCTCTCCCCACGGTCTCCCTCTCCCTCTCCCCACGGTCTCCCTCTCCCTCTCTTTCCACGGTCTCCCTCTGATGCCGAGCCGAAGCTGGACTGTACTGCTGCCATCTTGGCTCACTGCAGCCTCCCTGCCTGATTCTCCTGCCTCAGCCTGCCGAGTGCCTGCGATTGCAGGCGTGCGCCGCCACGCCTGACTGGTTTTCGTATTTTTTTGGTGGAGACGGGGTTTCGCTGTGTTGGCCGGGCTGGTCTCCAGCTCCTAACCGCGAGTGATCCGCCAGCCTCGGCCTCCCGAGGTGCCGGGATTGCAGACGGAGTCTCCTTCACTCAGTGCTCAATGGTGCCCAGGCTGGAGTGCAGTGGCGTGATCTCGGCTCGCTACAACCTCCACCTCCCAGCCGCCTGCCTTGGCCTCCCAAAGAGCCGAGATTGCAGCCTCTGCCCGGCCGCCATCCCATCTGGGAAGTGAGGAGTGTCTCTGCCCGGCCGCCCCTACTGGGAAGTGAGGAGCCCCTCTGCCCGGCCACCACCCCGTCTGGGAGGTGTGCCCAGCAGCTCATTGAGAACAGGCCATGATGACCATGGCGGTTTTGTGGAATAGAAGGGGGGGAAAGGTGGGGAAAAGATTGAGAAATCGGATGGTTGCTGTGTCTGTGTAGAAAGAAGTAGACATAGGAGACTCCATTTTGTTCTGCACTAAGAAAAATTCTTCTGCCTTGGGATCCTGTTGATCTGTGACCTTACCCCCAACCCTGTGCTCTCTGAAACATGTGCTGTGTCCACTCAGGGTTGAATGGATTAAGGGTGGTGCAAGATGTGCTTTGTTAAACAGATGCTTGAAGGCAGCATGCTCCTTAAGAGTCATCACCACTCCCTAATCTCAAGTACCCAGGGACACAAACACTGCGGAAGGCCGCAGGGTCCTCTGCCTAGGAAAACCAGAGACCTTTGTTCACTTATCTGCTGACCTTCCCTCCACTATTGTCCTGTGACCCTGCCAAATCCCCCTCTGCGAGAAACATCCAAGAATGATCAATAAAAAAAAAATAAAAATAAAAAAATAAAAAATAAAAAAATAAAAAAATAAATGAAACAAAAACAACAACAAAAGAACCCATCTTGCTCCTTTGATATGCGTCACTGTGGTCTAATATAGTATTTTACATTAAGGTATTTTGCAAACTCTGTAGTTGTATTTTTCATTTAAGAAATCTCTCCATGTTATTATTGGCTATGATTTGTAATGCCTTTTTACATGCTTGTTTGATCTTGATAGCACCTTAGGGATTGTTATTATCCATTTTATAGATGAGGAAATGTGAAGTCAGTAGTGACAAATGCCTTATTCAAAGCCCTATAGGTATTAGTTTACAGAGCAGAGTTTAGAACCCAAATCTTGCTATCCTGATACAAAATGTAAAGATAAAGTTAATTTGCCAAGTTCAGTCAGTTGTTTAAAGAGCTTGTTTTTTGTTTTTTTGTTTTTTGTTTTTTGTTTTGGATGGACTCTGGCTCTGTCTCCCAGGCTGGAGTGCAATGGCACAATCTCGGCTCACCGCAACCTCCGCCTCCCTGCCTCCTGGATTCAAGCGATCAAGCGATTCTCCTGCCTCAGCCTCCCGAGTAGCTGGCACTAACAGGCGCCCGCCACCACGCCCGGCTAAGTTTTTGTATTTTTAGTAGAGACGGGGTTTCACCATGTTAGCCAGGATGGTCTTGATCTCCTGACCTTGTGATCCACCTGCCTCGGCCTCCCAAAGTGCTAGGATTACAGGCGTGAGCCACCATAACTGGCCTAAAGAGCTTGTTAAACATATTTTTAGAGTTTCTGTGAAAAAAAGAATAACCCACCAGTCAGTAATGTATGTTTCCACTTGGAATTTGATATCTTAGTAGAGTATGATTTTTAAAAGGCATATTTAACTCTGCTTTTCAAAAAACAATCTAAGTAGAATCTAAAATCTACATGGAAGCCTTTTGGTACTTCACACTGAGAAGAATGAGACTTATCGTCCTGTTGTATATTTTCAAAAACTTTTGTGCTCTTTACATGAAAGCTATAACCATATAAATATGGTCTCATTTGATTATCTGTGAGAATTTAGCAGTGGGTCTAAGTATAGGGCCTAAGGCTATTTTTTAGACCCCAGATTCTCCTCAGACTTTGACAGTGATTTGTTAATGTTATGTTTGGCAGTTTCATAAGATTTTTCCTTCTTTTTTTTAAAGACAGAGTTTCGCTCTTGTTGCCCAGGATGAAGTACAGTGGTGCCATCACGGCTCACTGCAACCTCTGCCTCCCAGGTTCAAGTGATTCTCCTGCCTCAGCTTCCCGAGTAAGCTGGGATTATAAGCGCGGTGCCACCATGCCTGGCTAATTTTGTATTTTTAGTAGAGACGGGGTTTCTCCATGTTGGTCAGGCTGGTCTCGAACTCCTGACCTCAGGTGATCCACCCGCCTTGGCCTTCCAAAGTGCTGGGATTACAGGCATGAGCCACTGCGCCTGGCCAGATTTTTTCTTCTTTTTAAGAATGGACTGTTGCTATGGTTTACATGTTTGTGTCCCTCCAAAAGCCATGCATTGAAACCTGCCCCGATGTGATGGTATCAAGAGGCCTCTGGTAAGTAGTTAAGTCCTGAGGGCTCCGCCCTGGTGAATGGAGTTGGTGTCCTTATAAAGGAGGCGTGGGGGAGCCCTTTTCCCCTCCATCTTATGAGGACACACAGAAGGCACCGTCTGTGAGGAGTGGGCCCTCGGCAGACACCAAATCTGCTGGCACCTTGATCTTGGACTTCTCAGCCTCCAGAATTATGAGCCATACATTTCTGTTGTTTAAAAATTACTTGGCCGGGGGCAGTGGCTCACGCCTGTAATCTCAGCACTTTGGGAGGCCCAGGCAGGTGGATCGCCTGAGGTCAGGAGTTTGAGACCAGCCTGGCCAACATGGTGAAACCTTGTCTCTACTAAAGAGACAATCTTTTGTAAAAATACAAAAGATTAGCCGGGAGTGGTGGCAGGCACCTGTATTCCCAGCTACTCAGGATGCTGAGGCAGGAGAATCGCTTGAACCCGGGAGGCGGAGGTTGCAGTGAGCTGAGATTGTGCTATCGCACTCCAGCGTGGGTGATAAGATGGAAACTTCATCTCAAAAAGATAATAAATAAATATGAATTACTCAAATTTTTTTTTATAGCAGGCTGAACAGACTAAGACAACTATTCCCATAACCTCCCTTTCCCCAAACACCCCTTGCCTTTCTGCTAAGAAACCTACTAAAATTGGGCTTATCTGGAGTAAATTTTCTGAGCTTGCTCCATTTTGTTTTAGACCATCACTCAAATTTTCCCTCAAAATCTTTTGAGTCAACCTCAGACGGTGTGGTCTTTTTTTCTTTTTATTTTGACATACCTTTGGATTTATAGAGGAGTTGCAAAGATAGTACATTGAGTTTCCATATATACTTCACCCAGTTTCCGCTAATGTTAACATCCTACACAACCAATGTACATTTATCAAAATACAGAATCAACAATGGTGCAATCCTGTCAACCAAGCTCCAGACTTTATTTGGTCTTCATCATGCTTTTCCACTCATGTACTTTTTATTTCTTCTAGGATTTGATCCAGGAGGCCATTTTGCATTTAGGACACAGCTAATGCACAGATATGAACTCCACAATCTCATTCCAGTTCTAGCCTAGAAAGTATAATTTACGCCTTGCGATATCCTCGCTAATATCACCCTTTCTATAAAATTTACCACCCTCCCATTCCAAGTTTATACCTTTTACAAGACTCAAATCAAGAATCACCGCTTGTAAGAAAGCCTTTCTTTCAGAAACTTCAATATTATCCCTTCCTACATGGAATTACTTGGCTTTTAGGGATGTATTTTATATCATATCATCAGCCTTTAGATGTCTTTTGTATCCATAATGTGGATTTTAAACCAATACTTTAAAATGCACATCTGTCCAGGAAAATATCATTGAGGCACATTGGAGCCTCCAGGTTTTACAAGGTCTATATAGTCTAAATAGGGAAATTGTAGAACTGGTTATTGTTTTATATTATGTCTGAAATGATGAGAACAAATGATATCAGCCTGTAAATAATACAGGTTCCACCTTATTTGGGCAAAGAAAAAGGTATAAAATAAGCAGTTGTGGGACACACAGTTATGTATAGTTTTCTTTTAATTTTAGGATTTAAATCTATGATTTTCATTATAAGTTGGAACCAATTAGTGGGTAGTGACCAGCATTTTGTAATGGTCAGAAAGGTTTGAAAAATGTGTTTATGTGTGTAATTGGAAATGGATCAATATGAGTAAATATGTGAGCATCAGGGACTCAAACCATATTTGATTTGGAACTTAAATATTTTATCTTCTTCTTTTTTTTTTTTTTTTAGCTGAAAGAATCCACCAAATGTGCCTTAGAACAGGTTGACTTAGGTGATGTAGTCGATATAAAGAAACCAGTGCAGCCCCTCAGCTCTTCAGGCATGCCGTGCTGTCCCATCCCCAGGAAAGTGATGCAGTGAAGCAGTAATGAACTATGTCAGAATTTTCTCCAGCTACATCCATCTTTCTAACTGGCAACAGGGTTTTTGCATTTGTCTTTCTTCTGTCTGAAATTCTATGTCCCAGATTATTCCAAGCATTCTGATCTCAGCTTAAGTGTGACATCGGGGCCAATGTGCCTGAGTTGACTCAGTCAATCTCTATCATATCCCCTTGGCTTATTTTCTTCGTGACCCTTTTCACTACAGATGGTATTAGTAGCCCTAATGTTGGGGATGAGTATAGGTAGAAGAGAGGGCAGCCCAGGATCAAACTCGAATTACCCAATTTACAAGTGCAGTCTTTGAACAGCAAAGGACAAAGGAGGAGGTAAGTGAGGAGCAAGCAGTAAATCAGAATGCAAGAGAGGCGCAAACAGGCTTGGAGGACTGTGCCTATCGTGAACTAAGAGGCAGGGACCTTGGTTTCAGTGGATTTTCTGCAGGGTACTGATAAAGCTTCACCACTGCTGAGAGTCCTTTCTCTAATGAATGCAAACAAGGAGTAGGTATCCAATGGGGTTCTGGGTGTACCTTTATTCTTTTCTTAAGAAAGAGTCAAGAAAAAAAAAAGAGTCAAGAAACCACTGTCATGGAAGGATGCTAAAAGTATGTCTTGCTGGCCCAATCCAGGAGCTCTTCAGGACTTGGAATGCGTCTCCCCTGTGCCTTCCCGGGTATAACCCCTAGGAGGTGATTCTCCTTCCCCCAGCCCGTAGGGTTTCACCCAGAAAGGTCAATCATACATTTCAAGAAGGGAAAGTGATTTTTGAAATTGTCATAGAAAAGAATTCTCAAATTCTCTGGTTCCATCTTGGACCACAACCCTCAGTCCTTTTTCTGAACTCTTCCCCTGTGTGAAGCCCCATTTCTTTACCAGCATCATATTCTTACTGTGTGAGTCCTAGTCCTGTGGGTTAAATCTCTTTAATGTGCCTAAATATTCTTTTCCTTCCTGTCTCTGTGTCTTCCTTGTGTTTCTTTTACCTGCAAGCCTTTTCACAGGTCTATTTCAGGACATTAGATTGCTGTTTTTGTTAATATGCTTTTTCCTACTTACAGTGTGTTCGGAGAGAAAGTAAAATTGTATATTTAGTATCTTTTCAATGTTACCACTTTAATTATTTCTAATAACATTCAATGGCTTATGCTTTCTCAAGCAAAGGGGTCTCTAGGCATTGATATGTCCCCCTATAGAAGTGCCAAGGTCTCTAAGCTGACTCTTCACATCTAATTTCTTATCTTTCCAATCCATCATTTTTATTGCAACCACCTATTTTCCTAAAACACTAATGAGATCGTATCTTTTGCCTCCGTTAACAATTTTTAATGGATTCTAAAGCATACGTACCCACACCCCCCGTCCAAACACTTTAGCTTTTTTTTTGACAACCACACTAATCTGGTTCCAATCTCTTTTTCCGCTTTTCCCGCTAAATATTAAACTATGCCAGAGGTCTTCAATCTATGGCAGATGTTCCAAAGTTGGCCTGCCATGAGCTATGAAAAGTTTTTACATTTTTAAATGTTTGAACAAAAAATCAAAAGAAAAATAATATTTCATAACATTAAAAATTATATAAAATTAAAAGTTCAGTAACCGTAAATAAGATGTTATTGAACAGAGCCATGCCCATTCCTTTATCTGTGAGATATATCTGCTTTTTTTTGTTTTCTTCTAGATGGAGTCTTGCTCTGTCACCCAGGCTGGAGTGCAGTGGCACAATCTCGTCTCACTGCAACCTCCGCCTCCCAGGTTCAAGCTATTCTGCCTCAGCCTCCTGAGTAGCTGGGATTACAGGTGCCCACCACTGCGCCTGGCTAATTTTTTTTTTTGTATTTTTTAGTAGACATGGTGTTTCACCATGTTGGCAAGGCTGGTCTTGGATTCCTCACCTCGTGATCCACCCACCTTGGCCTCTCAAAGTGCTAGGATTACAGGCGTGAGCACCACGCCTGGCCATATCTGCTTTTTTGCTACAATGGTAGAGTTGAGGAATTGTGACACAAAATCTAAAATACTTATTATCTGGCCCAGAAAGAGTTAACTGACCTCTGAACTACTCAATCTTATGAGCAGGTCTAGCTCTTTTTGCAAAAATGCTGCTGTTACGTATCATTAGGACTGAGCCAGTTACTCCATTTTATCCCAGTCATGGCAGGTGGCGAGGCAGACACCCCCAGGTCATCCTCCCACACTGGAGTCTCATCCTCACATGGCTCTGTACATTTCCTGGGATGACCCAGGCTCAAAACCCTGCAGAATCCCCCAAATTCTTCCTCTGTGTCTTCTGATCCCCTTGGCAGTTATCAGCAAAATATTTTGCATCCCTAAATTCTTCATCTTTTGGTCCTAACCGACCCGAGGACGTGGCTTCCCCTGAAGCAGGGTCGGGTGGAGGCTGCTTTCTCTTTAGATGTCACCCCCATGGGTAAGTGTTGTTCCCATTGTTCACGCTCGACCTTTCTGCTTCCTACACCTGTCAGCAGGCAGCTCGTCGGCAGCTGAAGCTCTCAGACGACACTGGCCACCACTCCCTTTTGAGGCAGTCACATGTTAAATGCCCAGTGCTAATCTCACATCCACATGGATCCTTCTTCTGATAGATTGTTCTGGGTTTTTTTGTTTTTTGTGTGTTTTTTTTTTTGTTTTTTGTTTTGTTTTTTTTTTTTGTTTTTTGTTTTTTGGTGGAGTCTCTGTTGCCCAGGCTGGAGTGCAGTGGTGTGATCTTGGCTCACTGCAACCTCCGCCTCCAGGGTTCAAGCGATTCTCCTGCCTCAGCTTCCCGAGTAGCTGGGATTACAGATGTGCACCACCATGCCCAGCTAATTTTTGTATTTTTAGTAGAGACGGGGTTTTACCATGTTGGCCAGGCTGGTCTCAAACTCCTTGACCTCAGGTGACTCACCCACCTTGGCCTCCCAAAGTGTTGGGATTACAGGCATGGGCCGCCATCCCTGGGCGATGGATTATTCTTGACGTCCTCACCTTGACATCCTCAGCTACTGTAGGGTCTGCACTCGTCATTATCTGTAACTGTACCCCATTCGGATTCTCAGTTGAAAGCATCCAGCTCTGTATCTCCCAGGCTTCCTGTCTCACTTCTAGCACTTCCACCCCACAATCTGCCATACAGGGACCCGGAATCCGGTGGCCCAATTTTTTTCACTGTGTCTTAACTGCTCAAGTCTTTATTTCCTATCTGACCTGCCTTGGCTTACCTGGCCCGTCATTTTATTAATTCCCTTACATGTACAGTTTATAATGCTTTATCCCAAGCTCTAAGGGCACAGATGTTTCCAAATTCAGATTTTAAAAAAATTGTAGAAAGATAATCAGTTCTACTGTTATGTAGTATCTCAAATAAGTGGGATCAGTAAAGGCTCTAAATAGCTTTGTGTCTATTCAGGCTGAGTTTCACTGCCAAATGAGTTTTGGATAACCACCAACAACCAACTTGTATTTTCAAAGCTCTTTTGGATTTTGGAATTGCACATAGAGATTGTAGACCTGGACCTTAAGCTTCCTTGCACCATTTTCAGTCCATTTACTCCCCAGTAAAGCTGCCAGCCTGATTAAATGCAACTCTGCCACCTCTGAGCTTGCATCCAAGCAGCTGAACAAAATGTACAACTGAGAGTCTCCCATGAAATCATAACCGGTAACTGCGGGTGGACCCTTAGTCATGGCGATGAAAGCGTCTCACCAAGCCTCAGATATTCTCGCTGCCTTCTAGAAGCACTCACAGTGCTTGTGGAGATGCTTTCGCCTTCCTAACACAACAGTACACTCACGCCTGAACGATTTTTCTTTTCTTTCTTTACATTACGGTGAAGGAATTATGTT
The DNA here is from genome assembly GCF_000001405.40 of Homo sapiens. Taxonomy (NCBI): domain Eukaryota; kingdom Metazoa; phylum Chordata; class Mammalia; order Primates; family Hominidae; genus Homo; species Homo sapiens. The sequence goes on along the minus strand of NC_000004.12, from coordinate 187,983,582 downwards.
GATTCAAAAATGTGTGTGTAGGTAGGTTACATAAACTATTATTTTATTTTCACAATGGTAGCAAGGTTGTTAAAAGCATGTGTTATAAAAAGGGTCATGGGCCGGGCGCGGTGGCTCACACCTGTAGTCCCAGCACTTTGGGAGGCCGAGGTGGGCAGATCACCTGAGGTCGGGAGTTTGAGACCAGCCTGACCAACATGGAGAAACCTCGTCTCTACTAAAAATACAAAATTAGATGGGTGTGGTGGCTCATGCCTATAATCCCAGCTACTCGGGAGGCTGGGGCAGGAGAATCGCTTGAACCCGGGAGGCGGAGGTTGCAGTGAGCCGAGATCGCGTCATTGCACTCCAGCCTGGGCAATAAGAGCGAAACTCCGTCCCAAAAAACAAAAACAAAAACAAAACAAAAAGGGTCATGGGTCTCATGGGGTTGAGGACCACTGCCCTAGTCAATTTACTTCCTCATGATTCTTTCATACTGCTGCCTCTTCCTCTTCCCAGTCCTAGCAGCTAAGTGCCTTACTGCATTGAGAAATAACAACAGAAGAGAACCCCTGTGCAGCGTCCAGCTCACCTGCCTCTATGCGCAGGAGCTTTCTGCTGCCCCTGGTAACATGCACGAACTGGCTGGGCTTCCCTCCAGAGCTGCCCCTTCACTGATCGCTGCGTGCCCCTTTCTCCACGCTACTCAAGGACGATGTTCAGTTATCCCGCTCCCCATTTTGACTTTCCCCCTCTGAACGCTGAATCATCCCCATTGGCATACAATGCTGCGATAGCATGAATCTTAAAAATAATATCCTTGGTCCCACATCCTCCTCTAGTTACTTTGCTCACCCAGTCCTTTTCATTGCTCCTTTTAATATAAAACTCCTGAAATACTCTCTTCCTTTGCTATTCAAATTGTGATCCATCAGTGACATCAATGTCACCCGCCATTGTGGTAGAAATTCAGACTCTCAGTTTCCACCCAGGACCTATAAATCAGAAACTGCACTCCAGCAGGATCTCCAGGATTCACAGTGACTTTAAAGTTTGAGAAGCCCTGGGCTGTGGTGCCAATTTTCAGTTCTCCTTGCATATTTCTCTTGAATCCACTTTGATAAACCTTTTCTTTCTCCCCTTCGCGGAAACATCTGTGCTCCCAGCCACCACACCACCTCCACAATGTTCAAACCAAAGGTCAGGTTTTGTTGTTCATCTTGCTGGACCTGTGCGTCCTCTGACATGGTTGAAATCTGCATTTCTTGTGCATTATCACCTTCAAGGCTATTAACCAGGTTGTGCAGGGGCAGAGCCCTTGAGCCTCTTCTTTCCTCCACTTCCTCCCTAAGTGTCTTACCCGGTTCTATGGCCTTTCGTACTGTCTATGGATATGGCTCCTCTGTTTCCTATTTCAAGCCTTAGTTCAAATACAGACTGCTCATGGGAACATTTACAGATTCTCTTGGCCAAGATCAGTCACCCTTCCTTCAAAGTGATTATTTTCGTTACCCTGTACTTCCAGTTTCTCACTTTTTCCATTTTACTTTGTGTTTATTTGTAAGCTCCTTGACAACAAAATCCATGTCATATTCATCTCTACAGACCCATATTTCATCTGTTTATACACATATAAACATTTATTCTCATGTTATAAGTGCTCAGTAAGTGCTTATCAAAGAAAATATTCCCTCCTTTCCAGGAATAAATGATTAGTTGTAATGTTCTACAGATAATTTTCTCCCGGATCATGGAAATCTATACTGACTGTCTGCCCTGTATCCCCGATAAGCCAATCCTCATGCAGGCAGTCTCCATCAATCTTTTTTTGGAAAGAGCTAAAAATGATGACAAAAACAGGAGGTAATTGTGCACCACTGTATTTGCAAAGTGGCCTTTTCAGACACGCTCAGTGAGACCCAGGGAACACGGAACACACAACTGCAACTCTCAGGAAAGCAGTCTACAGAGCAAATCATGACTATTAGATCATTAGAACCTCTTCTTTCAGACCTTTCTGAGGCTGGCACCTTCTTGTCATTTACATCTCAGCTCTGATGAGATCACTCCAGGGAGGCTTTCCCCAGTTACCCTATCCAAAGTAGTGCTTCTTAGTCCCATTGAATTATGCTGTTTTATTTTTGTCATTTACTTTTGACTCTCTGAAATTATTTATTTTTTATGTTTTTATTGTTCATTTCCTACCCTTTTGGGGTCTGAGCTTTGTAGCTTCAGGGACCTTGCTTGTCTTGTGTTCTATGCTTATCAGTAAACAGTACATGAAACAGTGCCAAGTATGTAGTGTGTGCTTAGTAAATATTTATTGAATGAATGAATGAATGTAGCTTGAGAACACTGGAAATGTTCTTTGGCTCTGAAGCCCATCTTCAGACAATTGAATTATAAATCTTATATTAAAACTTGGTAGGCCAGGGGTGGTGGCTCACACCTGTAATCCCAGCACTTTGGGAGGCTGAGGTGGGCAGAACACTTGAGGCCAGGAGTTTGAGACTAGCCTGGCCAACATGGTGAAACCCCATTTCTACTAGAAATACAAAAATTGGCTGGGTGTGGTGGTGCGTGTCAGTAGTCCCAGCTACTTGGGAAGCTGAGGTGGGAGCATTGCTTGAGCCTGAGAGGTGGAGGCTGCAGTGAGCCAAGACTGCACCACTGCACTCCAACTTGGGTGACAGATTGGGACTCTGTTGCAAAAGAACAAAAACAAAAAACAAAAAAACCTTGGTGATGAGGAGATAAGGAGAAAGGGGAAGAATACTGACTGCCTATGAAAGGTTTAGAGATAAGTCTTTTAGAACTTGAAATGGTGGCTGGGTGCAGTGGCTCAAACCTGTAATCCCAGCACTTTGGGAGGCTAAGGCAGGCAGATCACCTAAGGTCAGGAGTTCGAGACCAGCCATGGCCAACATGGTGAAACCCCATCTCTACTAAAAACACAAAAATTAGCCAGGCGTGGTGGCACACGCCTGTTATCCCAGATACTCGGGAGGCTGAGGCTGCAAGAGAATCTCTTGAACCCAGGAGGCAGAGGTTGCAGTAAGCCGAGATCATTCCACTGCACTCCAGTCTGGGCAATAGAGTGAGACTCTGTTGCAAAAACAAACAAACAAACACTTGAAATGGTAAATGCTTTCGAAACTATCTACCAAACTAAGAAGAAAATATTTTACAGGGGACTTTGGAGTAGGTATTCAACAAATATTCATTGATGGATTGATTTGGCTATTTATTTGGCAGAAGTGATATATAAGTTACTAGTATAATTTAACTCCCAGAGCCTGTGTTTGGAACCTGAAAACCCTACAAAGGGTTACAATAGACTATTTTAAACCAATGTACAATTTCAGATCAGCAACACTGACATTACCTGGGAGCTTGACAGGAATGCAGAATTTCAGCCTTCACTCCAGAATTACTGAAGTAAATTAAAATTTTAATAAAATACCCAAGTAATTCATATGCACATTTAAGTTTCAGGAGCCATGCAGTAGAAACCATGTCTATGGATAGAGAAGCTGAATCCAATAAAGTGAAACAAATGGCTGTTAGTAAGAGTGGATAATGAGAGTGGTATGGGGCAAAGATTGAAGCTGAGAGTGGGGGGTGTCCTTTAACCCATAAAGAGTGGGTTAAAGGAAACAAGTTATCTAAACAAGGCTTATATGGTACTTATTTTTATTTATTTGTTTATTTATTTTTTGAGACAGAGTCTCCCCCTGTCGCCCAGGCTGGAGTGCAGTGGCGTGATCTCGGCTCACTGCAAGCTCCGCCTCCCGGGTTCACTCCATTCTCCTGCCTCAGCCTCCCAAGTAGCTGGGACTACAGGCACCCGCCACCACGCCTGGCTAATTTTTTTATTTTTAGTAGAGATGGGGTTTCACCGTGTTAGCCAGGATGGTCTCAATCTCCTGACCTTGTGATCCGCCCACCTCGGCCTCCCAAAGTGCTGGGATTACAGGCGTGAGCCACCGCGCCCAGCCTATGGTACTTATTTTTACTGCATGGTGAAAATAAGCAACTTGGTTGAAGAGACATCATTGAATCTGTTACCAAAACGCCAGGGCTTCAGTGTAGGTCCTGCTGTTCGCTGTACAGAAAGCCAATGACTGAGACGATGAGTATCTCCAAGAAAGAAGCTTTAATCAGGTGCTGCAGCAGAGGAGATGGGAGATCAGCCTCAGATCCGTCTCCCTGACCAACCAAAGCTGGAGGTTATATAGCAAGGAAGAAATGTAACCCTGTGTGGGAGAACAGGAGTTAGGAAAGGATAAGTAGAGAGAGTTGGTCAACAGGAAGCCGGTGGCCGTTTAGGTAGTCATGATGGGTGAGGGGTCTGGCATCTCATTGTCAAGAGGCAGTGATCTGGTGAGTTTCAGCTCCTTGATACTATCTAGGAAGCCTGATGGTTGGTTTCCTGAGAAAGGAACTCAGAAAAGACAAATGGGACTGTCTCAAATTTTAAGACTGGGAAGGTCAATTTCTATGTGGATTCAAAAGAAACCGTAAGCATCAGTTCTATAAGACAATTGGGCTAGTTTCAAGTCCTGTGACTAGTCTAAGATAGCACAGGTGTTTGGCATTCCATAGAGAAAGGAGGACAGCAAAGCTATTCTCTCAGTGGATTATAGTGAGCCACCCTGCCCGGCTAATTTTTGTATTTTTAGTGGAGATGGGGTTTTGCCACGTTGGCCAGGCTGGTCTCGAACTCCTGATCTCTGGTGATCCACCTGCCTTGGCTTCCCAAAGAGCTAGGATTGCAGGCATGAGCCACCGTGTCTGGCCACATTTTTTTTTCATATTGACAGTTTTAATTGTCTAATGATGCTTCATGAATCTTCTTAAGGCTTTTCAGTACCTTTATGGGAGAATGTGAGTCAGAAGGTGACAGGTCTGGTTCTAGGCAGTACGTTAATTTTAGCCACAAAGGAGGCAGAAGGAAGGCAAAGGTTTGGAGAAAGGGAGAAAAAACTTCACCTGAGGGAGGCTGTGAGTGGAGCAATAAGGGTTGTTGAAATAGTATCAGAAGAGTTTGGCTTTCTTCTTGTTGAGGAAGAACATAAATTGTTTCACTGATGTTATCTGGGAAAGAAGAAAGGAACTGAAACTGTGTTCAAGTAGGCCTTTGGATTTGGGCAGAGGACTCATATCCTGAAAAAAAAATTCAAGAATAAATAGATCTATGCTTATTTGCCTAGATCTGGGGAGTTGCGGTGATTTACTAATGCACTATATTGCCATGACCTCTTCATGAAGTCACTTGAAGCTTTCCTATATTTTTAATTAGAAGTCATTTAGTCGGTCCCTCATTTTCCTGGCAGCAATAGACTTAAATGGCTATAGAATGAAAAATGCATGAGGAGTGGTCACTTCTCCTTCAAACATCCCAGAAAGACCAAGGAGAAATAATCACTCTCTGCATATCAGAGATTTTCTGAAGCAGTGGTTGGAGAAATGGGAAAAGCCTTCTCCCAGTGTCTCTTCTGTTTCAACAGTTCGCCTGACACAGGTCCGTATATAGTGCTTTGTATGAAGCCAAGCATTTCTTGGCTATTCAGACCCTGCAATGACTGCGGTCATTGAATCCTCCTGGCTTTGAATCAAAACATGGAGAGTCTCAAGTTAGGAAGGCCAGCTTCAAGCCTCCGTTGCTGCTGCCGACTTTCCACTCAAGCCCACGCTGTCAACCTGGGTGGACTTGCACTGGGGAGGGGAAGTGGGGGAGTGGAGAGGACCTTTTGTGGGTCTAATCATGGTGCATCCTTTCCCGATAATCTCACAAGCATTTACCTCTGACTTTTCTTATAAATTATCAAGGTCTAGCGGCAAGGTGTTTCAGTCCCCCCTGCTGCCATAACAAATTACCACATACTGGGAGGCTTACATCACACAATGGCATCTCCTCACAATGCTGGAGCTGGAAGACTGAGGACAGGGTGTCAGTAGGGTTGGCTCCTTCTCCAGCCTCTCTCTTTGGCCTGTAGATGGCCGAATTCTCCTTGTGTCTCCACTCAGTCCTCTGTCTGTGTGTATCTGTGTCCCTGTTTCCTCTTCGTATAAGGATGCCAGTCAGATTGGATGAGGGACCACCCTAATAACCTAACTTTAACTTAATTACTTCTTTAAAGATCTTATTGCCAGATGCAGACACATTCTGAGTCACTGGGAATTAGAAATTTAATTTTCTTTTTTTTGTAGAGACGAGGTCTCACTATGCTTCTCAGGCTGGTCTCAAACTCCTGGCCTTGAGCCGTCCTCCCACCTTGGCATCCCAAAGTGCTGGGATTACAGGCGTGAGCCAGTATGCCCAGCAGATTAAGACTTCTGCATGTAAATTTGGGTGAGGGGATATAACTCAGCCATAACACAAGGCAAACACTGTATCAGGTATAAAGACCAGACACCAAGCGGCAGACTTCCAAGGCAGAGTCAGGGAAAATGGAGCCCCATGTTGCGCCACTGTCAGCCTCTCCGCCTCCCTGAACTCCCGGCACTCAGGCTCTCTTGCCACCAGAGGGATTAGAAAAGCAAATAAGAAGACTGCTTCCTGTGAACACTTGCCTCTAATTTACTGTCCATTTTCTACAAGATTTCCTTATTAGTATGAGCTGACTGGGAGAGTTTTAGATGGGCTGCCCCGGTGGTGGTCAAATGGTGCCCTTCACAAATCCAACCCAAGCTCTGCTCTTTGAGCTGTGGGCCAGGTACACTTGTGAGGAAGGGCATCTTTTTCTTCGTGTAAAGCACTGAGGGAGAAGCAAAGGAAAAATCAGTTAGGTAAACAGTTAAGGCTGGTCCTTGGAGAAGCAGCCTGCCTGAAAAATCGCAGCTACAGGCAAAAATAGAGCAGCCTGGGGAAAACTGAGGCTGCACCTGCACAGGCAAGCACGCAAGGTCCGGCACAGAAGCCTTTTGTTCTTCGTGTGATTAACCAGCTCCCAGGGAAAAGTTTCCCCTTCTTTTCAGACAAGTACACGGTGGGCTCCGTGGGAACTTGCACAGAGAGGAGGGGGCTTCCCTAAAACAAACCCACAGTTACACGGACAAGAGAAGCGGTGCATTGTGCTTGCCTAGAGTCATATCCGCAACTACGTGGATAAGGGGTGGGGTTTACAGACAGCTTTTCACATAAGAGAAGTTACTCAAACAGCTACATAGATGAGAGGAGTTTCTTCTAAAAGCTTTTGGACTCAACTGTAAAAACGGCAGCCCACTCAGGCTCCCCTTTGCACAGTGGAGAGCTTGGTTTTTTTGCTCATTAAACTTTTGCTCCAACCTCACTCTGTGTCCACGCTCCTTAATTCTTTTGGTTGTGAGACAACGAGCTTGGATAACACCTTGGACAATGAGACCAGTGTCCCTGACCTGTTTCAGCACCATCTATCCAGGGGCCTCATCCATCCAGAGGGCGCACTTTTTCTAATACATGCCACGGGGAGGCCCACCTTCTCGTTTTTTTTTTTTTTAGAGGTAATTTCTCACTCTGTCACCCAGGCTGGAGTGCAGTGGCACAATCATGGCTCACTGCAACCTTGACCTCCTGGGCTCAAGAGATCCTCCCACCTCAGCCTCCTGAGTAGCTGGACTACAGGTGCACGCCACCATGCCTGGCTATTTTTCTTTTTCTAATTTTTTAAACTTTTATTTTAGATTTAGGGTAGATGTGCAGATTTGTTACATAGGTAAACTTATGTCACGGGGTTTGTTGTACAGATTATTTCATCACCCAGGAACTAAGCGGAGATTCTGTTATTTTTCCTTATCCTCTCCCTCCTCCCACTCTCCACCCTCAGAGTCCCCAGTGTGTGTGTGTTCCCCTCTTTGTGTCCACATGTTCTTATCAATTAGGTCTCACTTATAAGTGAGAATATGTGCTATTTGGTTTTCTGTTCCTGCTTTAGTTTGCTAAGAATAATAGTGGGGGGGGGCCCATCTTAATATTCCTGCAAAATCATCATATAGGCTCTGCTCGGAGGTTCATTTAGTCCTTTTTTTTGCCTTCTGGAAGCAAAACATCTAAAATAGAAAAAAATGATTATTGTGTTCAGGAAATCCTCTGAAGCCATTCTCAGTGAAGCTTCAATTTGGTCTGTGAAGAGCGGTGTAGCCGAGGTTCAGGAGAGGAAACTTTCTTTTTTTTTTTTATTGTTAAATATATTCCTAAGAATATTTTAATCACTGTTATGTACATCTTTTGTTACATCATTATATCTATCATTTGATTGTTTGTATATTGGAAAGCTACTACTTTATTTTACACTAACTTTTTTTTTTTTAGTATTTATTGATCATTCTTGGGTGTTTCTCGGAGAGGGGGATGTGGCAGGGTCATAGGATAATAGTGGAGGAAAGGTCAGCAGATAAACACGTGAACAAAGGTCTCTGGTATTCCTAGGCAGAGGACCCTGCGGCCTTCCGCAGTGTTTGTGTCCCTGGGTACTTGAGAGTAGGGAGTGGTGATGACTCTTAACGAGCATGCTGCCTTCAAGCATCTGTTTAACAAAGCACATCTGGCACCGCCCTTAATCCATTTAACCCTGAGTGGACGCAGCGCATGTTTCAGAGAGCACAGGGTTGGGGGTAAGGTTATAGATTAACAGCATCCCAAGGCAGAAGAATTTTTCTTAGTACAGAACAAAATGGAGTCTCCTATGTCTACTTCTTTCTACACTGACACAGCAACAATCTGATCTCTCTTTCTTTTCCCCACATTTCCCCCTTTTCTATTTGACAAAACCGCCATTGTCATCATGGCCCGCTCTCGATGGTCGCTGTCTCTGTTGGGTACACCTCCCAGACGGGGCGGCTGGGCAGAGGTGCTAGGAGAGGAAACTTTCTTGATGAGCATGATAAAAAGCTTCCAACTCAAAGGCAAGATTCCTACAGAGGGCCTGTTACTGCTCATCTTACCCATGTTTTCACTCAGCTGCCTGACTCTTAGAGAATACTGGGGTTTCAACAAAAATTATTTCACTTGTATAACTTTTGCTATTTTTTGGATAGGTAGTATAGTTACATGTATTCAAATTTTCAAAATCTCATGCCTGAAATTTCAAAATGTATGAAAGTCTCTGCAGCCAGACACCATCTGAGGGGCTCAGCCCTGCTAAAAGTGTGGGTCATGGCCCAGCTGTGTCAGCATCATCTTGTTGGAAATGCAGACCCTGCCCTCGACCTGCTGAATCAGAATCTGCATTTTAATAAAATCCAGGCGATCCGTAAAAATGGAGGACTGTTGTGGATGCGTGAGTGTAAACATTGCGAACAGTGATCCATAAAAATCCAGGACTGTTGTAGATGCGTGAGGGTAAACATGGCGAACCCGAGTCTTCGTGGGCGTAAACGTCGCGAACCTGAGTCTTGGCTACAGCGCTTTCTCAATACCAGCACGGGAAGGCAGCCCAAGTTCAACTACGTCTTATTAGCACCCATGTCTTAGGATTGCCTAATTTACAAATCCGTAACACCAACCTACAGCCACATGGGTTAGTCAACAGAGCCGGCAGGTGGATGGATGTCTAAGATCAACGCAATGAGTTTCACTAGCTTTGTTGCATAGAGCTAATCTGAGCAAGTGTATGAATACAACCCTCCACCCCACAAAACAACTGATCACATGAAGAGGCCTACTTCAGGGGATACAAGTGGCCACAGTTTGAAAGTTCTTGCTCACTTAGAGGAGTGTGAGGAGAGAGAGAATATTGTCCTACTTTTCTTCTACTATTAAAAGGTCACTTATAGTTTTTGAGTTTCTGTTTGAAGGCTCTAGAACTGATTCTGATGAATGTCCTATAATAACTCATCCTCCATTTCTACAAGGGAAGAAAAGAATACTGCAAAGCCTCTACCTAGAAGTTAGAGTATCACGGCCTAACCTCTATCTCAAACAAATACGTGTGTGTTGTGGTAGGCATTAATAGATTTAATTTAGTACTGGATGCTCCTTTTGCTAATTTGGATAATCCTTCAATGAATATAAGTAAGTTGAAAAGCAAATTATGCTTGGTTTCCACTTATTAAATGCAACCCAGTGCTGTGAATATAATGTCAGTTACTGTAGGTCTTAGGCATCCATAATTTCCAAGGACTGTTTCTGCATATATGAGTAAATACTTATATATTCTGTCCCCTCTCTGTCTCACGAAAGGGAGCTTGTTCAAGGCTGTGGGTCCCTTGACCCCAACCTTTCCATTTGTATACATTCTCTCATTTCTGCTGCAAGGACTGACTGTGTGGACGCTCAATTGTGAAGCAGTGTCAGGCATAGAAGCTTTGTTTAGCTGGACTTTGAGCTCCATCAGAGCTGCCTGGGTGAGACCCTCAAGGCTTAAATTATGATAAATGAGACAAAAATGTTATTTGCTGCTCTTTTCTGAAGTCACAAAATAACTTATTTTAAAATTATTATGAATCTGTTTTCTAAAAGGGATAATACATGTAAATGGTACAAACAGTAAAATGAAACAAGGTCAATGGTAAAAGGAAGTCTTTTACCCTTGACCTCAAGTCATCTAGTTTTCTTCCCAAGGGCAACTAACGTTACATTGTCTTCTGCAGCTTTTGTAGTCCCTCATCCAGGTGTCTCTTGCTTTGCTTCCAAGAAGGCAATTTATCACAAAAGAGCAACAGATTGCATTAAACAGTTCTATTTTCTACAGTGGGAGACTTCATAGCTTTCTAAAACTTCCAGGTCTAAACCTGGGAGACAGTGCCCGCAGACTGGCTTTTTAGGAATAAAGGAAACTCCACAGATCCTTGCATGCACTGGGTTGTTCCATATAGAATTAATCCTGCTTCTATTGATGGAGCAAATATTTATTTACAAAATTCCTCTGCTTCTTACTGAGACAGGCATTGAGAAACAGAATGATACGGCCCCTTAGGGCTACCAGTAAAAACCAGTGAGTTCATGGAACATTTCTCATCCTTCACAATGACCTCTCATGTCTTTTTTAGAAGTATCCTCTAAGTTCCTGATTCCAAATTAGTTTGGGTAACACATACAGAAACTGAAAGTGATTTAGGCAACCGCAATTTTAAATATTAACATTTACGTCAAAATAGACATTGATACATTGTGTATTTTTTTTCAGTTTTAACAAAGGATTTTATTTGTTGTTCCCTAAAAAGTAAAATCCAGAACATAGCAAAACCTACTGCAAGAAGAGTTCTACAATAAAACATTTTCAGTCATTCTCTCTTCCTGTCTCATGGTGTACTCTTTCATGTACACGTCATCAGAAAGCAGACTGATAAAGGCAAACCCTGTGTGAAAGGCACATGGCACTAGGATTGCTCACCCCTGCTACACCTCCTTGGAAGCCAAGGGAAGCCTTTTCTGCAGTCTCCCCATTTTGACAGAAACTTATCACAATTTTTTTTTTTTTTTTTTTTGAGATGAAGTCTCACTCTGTTGCTCAGGTTGGAGTGCAGTGGCGCGATCTCGGCTCACTGCAAGCTCCGCCTCCCGGGTTCACACCATTCGCCTGCCTCAGCCTCCTGAGTAGCTGGGACTACAGGCGCCCACCACCACGCCCGGCTAATTTTTTGTATTTTTAGTAGAGACGGGGTTTCACCGTTTTAACCAGGATGGTCTGGATCTCCTGACCTCGTGATCCACCCCCCTCTGCCTCCCAAAGTGCTGGGATTACAGGTGTGAGCCACTGCGCCTGGCCACAAAAAAATTTTTTTATAGCAAAATATTTAAAGGTCTCTTCCCTTGTTCTTCAGTTATCTACTAGAAAGGTACAGAATTAAAAAGTTTTTTTTCCCCCGGCTATGATCCAAACAGTATTAAAGAACATCTGGGTTACTCTAAGTTCCTGGGTTTTATACTTGGATATTTACAGAGGAGTTGAACCTCAAGTTCTGCCACTCTTCAAAATGGGTGACTGAAGACAGGATGTAATAGGACAGTTAAAAAAATTGATAGTCATTCTCTGATGGAGGGATAGTCATTCTCTGATGGAGGGAAGCAAGCTTTCTCAACCATCAACAAATATGACCTCATTGGTCACAAGCCCTGCAGAGATCCAACAAGATTTGAGTTTTAAATACAGAACATATTTCAAAGAGAACCAGTAGAGAGTGCTGATGTATGAACAGAATTGAATGCTGGTGAAGACAGAGTGTAAAGAATCCCAAGAAACTTTTAGTGCCAGTTTTCATTTAATAAGCCAGTAGTATAGCAACCTAAAAACCTTGGTGTGATGACACCAGGATGTTTTCATGGAATTGCAGCAGGAAAACATGATTGGCAGCGGATGTCCTCTGGCTCACAGCACCAACTTCTCCAAGAGACTTAAGGCTGGGGTGTGGGGCGGAGGTATTTCTTGCCAGATGGGAGCTCCTTGGTGAAGACTCCTTTCAGGAAAAGTTTTTTGGCCTCCTCTTCAGGAATCACTGGAAGGACCATGACACTATCCCCACCTTCCAATCAACTGGGGTGGCAACCCTCTTTTCTGCTGTCAGCTGGAGAGAGGTGACTACCCTGAGAATCTCATCAAAGTTCCTGCCAGTGGTAGCCAGGTAGATGATAGACAGCTTCGGCTTCTTATCAGGACCAATAACAAACACCACACGAGCTGTCACAGGCATGTCCTTTTCATCCTTCTCCGCTGGATCCAGCATGCCCAACAGGATGAAAAGGTCCCGATTCTTATCATGGATGATGCGAAAAGGTAACTTTTCTGTGGATTCTTCACCATTGTAAGCATTGATATCCTTGCTCCAGGCAAGACGGTCCTCAACACGGTCTATCGAAAGGGTAATCCGCTAGGTGTGGTGGCTCACACCTGTAATCCCAGCACTTTGGGAGGCTGAGGTGGGCAGATCACGAGGTCAGGAGTTCAAAACCAGCCTGACCAACATGGTGAAACCCCATCTCTACTAAAGATACAAAAATTAGCTGGGCGTGGTGTCGCACACCTGTAGTCCTAGCTACTCAGGAGTCTGAGGCAGGAGAATTGCTTAAACCCAGGATGCAGAGATTGCAGTGAGCCGAGATTGCAGTGAGCCAAGAGTGCACCACTGCACTCCAGCCTGGGCGACAGAGCAAGACTCCGTCTCAAAAAAAGAAAAAGAAAAAGAAAGAAAAAAGAAAGGGCAATCAACTTAACATTCCTCTTGGCAAATTCCGGTGCCAGTTTTGCAGCTCTGCCAAGCTCTGTGGTGCACACTGGGGTAAAGTCCCGAGGGTGGGAGAAGAGAATGCCCAGTGAGTTTCCCAGAAAGTCCTGGAAACGGACGCGGCCGGCGGTGGTATTGGCCTCAAAGTTGGGAGCCACGTCCCCAAGAAGCCGACCTCCAGGCATAGCGGTGGCGGTGACGAGGAGGCACAGCTCAGACGGCAACCAACCCGGTGGTTCTGGCGAAGAAGACATTGTGTATTTACATACAAAAGTCACACGGGGTTTTAAGATAAAATAGAAGCCTTCAAAGAAAAATTAGGCCTGTGATAGCATATTTTACTGTACCACTAGAGGAAATCCTTGGAAAATTTGCCAAGCATTATAAATAGATAAGTCGCTGTGGAAGTTGAATGATGAACTAACCTTGGCATACACAAAATGAAGAGCAAAGAGCAGGTGTTAAAATTGGGATGTGGGAGGTTACAAGTTCTTCAACGCCTCAATCCAGTGAATACAATTTAATGATGTAACCGTCCATGATTTAAATAAAAAAAAATTGATAAAACCCTATTGCATCTAACAATATGTCCTATGTTAATAGGATGTTTTTTGTACATGGTGCAATGAGAATGTTTTTCCTATACTCCTAAAATTAAGATAATTGAAATTCTACTGTCAAACAAATGTTGATTTAAACATTTTTATTGCCTTTATCAAACACAGCATTGTAATACATGTTTTAAAAAAAGGTGAGCTCTAGGATGGGCGCAGTGGCTCACGCCTGTAATCCTAGCACTTTGGGAGGCCGAGGCTGGTAGATCATCTGAGGTCAAGAGTTCGAGACCAGCCTGGCCAACATGACAAAACCCTGTCTCTACTAAAAATACAAAAATTAGCCAGGTGTGGTGGTGTGAGCCTGTAATCCCAGCTGCTTGGGAGTCTGAGGCAGGAGGATCGCTTGAACCCAGGAGGTGGAGGTTGCAGTGAGGCGAGATTGTACCACTGCACTCCAGTCTGGGCGACAGAGAGAGAATCTGTCTCAAAAAAAAAAAAAAAAAGAATAAAAGAAAAAAAGGTAAGTTCTATTGCGTACAGACAGCCAATTTGCTCTTTGTTATTAGAAAAACTAGAGTGGTAGTTAGAGAATAATTATTAAGAAATGGTAAAAAAAAAAAATGTGAAAAGAAAATTTTTTACCCCAATGTTGGTTTGTTGAAAATCTCATGATTTCTGATTTCCTTTTGCTAACATAAATTTGTTTGACTGCTCTGAGATTTTTTTTTTTTTTTTGGTAAATTGATTTAAATTATTTTAATATATTTTAGCATACTGATTTATATACTGCTGATTCATCTGATGGAATGTATTGATAATTAGTATAGAGTGTGGCATATGTGTCAGTGTGAATTAACTTTAATCTACACCTTATAGATGGCTGATTAGCATTTGAACTGCCTCAATTGGCAATCTACACTTGAGAGGTAGACTCAGCAAGACTTCAAATATTGATGTCTAAATCTAAACCACAGGCATTGTGAATTAGCACAAGGAATAGAGGAAAAATGATTTCATTGGTGAAATTAGCAAACTTCTAGACATGTGATGGGAAAGAGAGGTTTTACAGGCTCTACTACCCTTGAAGAAAGGAGTTATAAGAACCTGTTTAAGACCCACATCCAAGTAGTCCCTTGGGGTCGGGCTCCCTTCAATCCTGTGATCCCACCCTCAATGGATGACTATTGAACCTCAGGAAGTTTTCTGATCCTATCAACAAAATATCATTGCATCTGCCTTGGAGTGAACCTTTTGTTTGATGTGCTTGTCAGGGCATCTGAGGACTGAGAGTGGTTAAGAGGCTATATGGCTGTCTTACTGCTTACTTGCTATTAGATATCTGTCGGAGCAACCAAGCATGTCTGAGATTTGCTTTACTTGTAAGACCACTTGGAAGCAAAGGAGTAAAGGTCAAGATTGGTAGAAACAACTGGAATCCAAGGATATCCATCATCGGTTGCTGTTGTCCAGTGAACAAATACTTTTCATATCAGTATTGAACATTTAGGTTTAAATACCCGACCACAGTTGGAGAGGCACTGCTCATCTATCTTGGTGCATGTTCCATGTGCGTTTGAAAAGTATGTGTATTTTGACATTGAGTGGAACCTTCTACCCAGACACCTTAGGTCAGGTTGGTCAAGTTACTGCCATTCAAATCTATATCCTTACTGATTTTCTGTCTGCTCTATCAATTACTGAGATGAGTGCTGAAGTCTCCAGTAACAACTGCATTTGCTGACTTCTTTCATTTTTATCAATTTTTGCTTTATTTATTTGGAAGCTCTATAATTAGTTGACATATATTTAGGGTTGCTACCTTGTCTTGATGAATTGACCCTTTTTATCATCATGTAATGTCCCTTTTTATCCCTGGTAATATTACCTATTCTGAAGTCTACTTTGTCTGATACTAATATAGCCACTCCAGTTAGTTATGATTAATATTTACATGAAATATTCAGTTTTTCCTCTTATAAAAGTCCTATAAACCTTTAGATTCTCTGTGACAAATGAACATCTCTAATGGCAGAAAATGGGGGAGTGTTTGGGTGGAATTTCAATCCCAGATATTTTACTGTCACTAAATTGTATGCCATCTATTATAATAAGTAATATATAACTTCATAGAACAGTTGTTAGAACTGTCTCAGAATCCATTTCTGAGATGTATTTTGTAAATATGAGTATGAACCTCTTCTTTTCTAAATATAATGACTCTAAATATTAAAGTCCTTATAAAAAAATACCTTTAAAATACATTCCTTTAAAATAAATTCATTTTAGGTGTTTTAAAAATGAACCTAAGGCTGGGTGCAGTGGCTCACGCCTGTAATCTCAGCACTTCGGGAGGCCAAGGTGGGCAAATCACCTGAGGTCAGGAGTTCGAGACGAGCCTGGCCAACATGGTGAAACCTCATCTCCACTAAAAATACAAAAATTAGCTGGATGTGACGGTGGGAACCTGTAATCCCAGCTACTCGGGAGGCTGAGGCGGGAGAATCGCCTGAATCCAGGTGGGAGAGGCTGCAGTGAACCGAGATGGCGCCACTGAACTCCAGCCTGGGTGACAGAGCAAGACTGTCTCAAAACAAAAAACTAACCTAATATAAAAGATATAGCCATGATATAGAAGGTATTCTTTTACACAAACTTACAAAACCTAATACTGATCCTCTTTGCTAAAACTATTGAATGGCCTTTAATATTCTCTTGTATGTTCAATAATGTATCTGTCCAGTCTAATGAAATATTGTGCCTCAATTTGTTCAGGGATAATGGTACAATAAAATGTAGGTTTAAGCATGAAAACCTTGTCAATACAATTTATTATTTTTTTTTTTGTAGGTTACAGTGCTGCAAAAAATCATGACATTTTAAAGCTGTGCTTATAAACCATCCAGCATATAACTGTGCTCCTTTCTGAGCTAAGAAAGTTATTAAAGAAAAAAAAATTAACAGTAATTACAGAAAAATATTTATTTTTAGAAGAATTGGTATTCCCGTTAATTAAAACATTATTGCTTTCATTTTTTATGAAAGCAACATTTTCATTTTGATTTAAATGCTGATGTAAAACAAACATAATTATTGCCTTTTTCTTCTAAGTCCTTAAAGTGTATCCTCTCATTCTCCCTTTGCAAAGTGGATTTACAAGTAAACAGCGTTGGTTTATTTCTTCTTCTCTAAGGAATTTTGATCACAGTACCAGAACTTTTTAAATCTATTAGTAGGCGGCAACAAAAGGAGGTTAAAAACCACAAAATACAAAAATATGTTGATATGTTGTAACAAGGGTGTTTAAAATAAAATTCTTTTTTTTTCTTTTTCATTTTTTCTTTTTTTAAGAGACAAGGTCTCACTCTGCTTAGAGTGTAGTGGTGCCATCATAGCTCACTGTAGCTTCAACTTCCTGGTTCAAGGGATCCTCCCTCCTCAGCCTCCAGGGTAGCTGGGACTTCAGGTGTGCACCACAGTGCCCAGCTAATTTTTAATTTTTCTGGAGACAGACTCTTGCTACGTTACCCTGGCTGGTCTCAAAATCCTGGCCTCAAGTGATTCTCCCACCTCAGTCTCCCAAAGTGCTGGGATTACAGGCATGAGCCACTGTGCCTGGCCTTAAAATGAGATTATCGGAGTGGCTAGGCTTTTGGACAGAGAAAGATGAATACCCTTAAATGTCTTTATTTCAAGCAGAGAACCACTAAGAAACAAAACCAAACAAAAAAATCAATTGCTTTATGGGTTTGTCAAGAGTTTAGCTCTGTTAGGGCAGCCACAGTGAGAAAGTTCAGCTACTAGGTCATAGAATGGCAAAGATAAGCTATTGGGGATTAGATGCTGGTGGTGGACTAGAGACCCATAATGCTAACGAGGCGTTGAAGGTCAAGTCTCTCATAAGGCAGCAAAGGGTAGGCAGGTCCGCAGACAGCGAAGGACTGAGATCTGCACGCGAAGAGGTCATCTTAGGCCTTCCGAGGTAGAATAAAACAATCGGAATGTTACAGCTGGGAGGGAAAAGCATTATCTTAACACAAACAATAAGCACATTGTTCATGAGTTTAGAGGAGAGATTGTCCCATAAAAAGAAGACACTCTGTATCACAGTATTAACTGAGGAAAGAAATGGAAAATGTCATGCAATTAGACAGCCACAAATGAGATGTTACATTAAACTTGAATATTACCCACAAGATACTGAGCATGATGTGTTTAAGCATTAATGTCCTAAGCTACTCGTGCTGGAAGAACATTCACGGTATTATACCTGATGTGCCAGAGTACTGCATAAAAGAGGCCCCTTTTCATTTCTAATGAGCAGCCGAAAGTGGCAAAGGGTTGTAGAATCTCTCATACACCATTTCAAGTTTCCAGTGATATTCATTTCTGTGGAAAGGGTGCAGCGAAACCAGCATTTGTTTTGATGGGACAGAAAATTGCAGCAATCTATATCCAATGGCAGACACGATGGTAAAGATATGTTGGAGGCAATAAAGCCACAGAAGCCAATGGATCAAACCTCTGTGCACAAAGATTGTATTTTGAGCAGTATTATAGGGCCAAGATGATAGCTCTTAAACTGCCCTCATGCATTGCTTCTTTTCTTTTTCTTCCTTTTTTTGAGAGAGGGTCTCACTCTACCATCCAGGCTGGAGTGCAGAGGTGCCATCTCAGCTCACTGCAGCCTCAACCTGGAGAGCTCAAGCGATCCTCCCACCTCAGCTACTTGAGTAGCTGGGACCACAGGTGCATGCCACCACAGCCAGCTAGGCTAGCCTTGAACTCTTGGGCTCAGGCGAGCCTCCCACCTTGGCCTCCTGAAGTGCTGGGATTACAGGCACGCACCACTGCACCTGGCCTCATGTATTGCTTCTAGTTTCCCTGTACGATATGCATCTTTCCCCAGTCTTATCCCCAGAGCATTTTGCCCCCAACAAAATAGCCTAGTGAGGAATATGACTGCATCCCACCGACCTCAATTATCGGCCTACGGGGTGGGCGTTCAGGCCAACCAGGGCCAGCCAGGGCTTTTCCGGGCATCTTTCTTCTGTGTTGCTTAGCTGGGAGACTGTAAATTTGTTGTCACCAGCACTCGCTTTTCCTGTCATTGGAAAAAGTCAATCTACATAAAGCCAAGCAGAGATGTGAGGTGGATGCACCAGATAACAGCTCCTGGCCATACTGAACTCTGCCTTCCAAGCCTCGATTTTTGGCAGGGCTTCTTCCAGTTTTGTGAGCTTCATCAGTATTCCTTTTAGTCCTGCAAACCAACCAACTTCCATTCTATTGCTTGAACTGGTTTAATGTATATTTCTATCCTGCGCTGTCTAAGGAGTCCTGAATAATATAGAAAGGAAGCAAAGATGGAAAAAAGAGCATATAGAATTGACCAGCATGAAGGTTATTTTGTTATAACTAGAGTAGCTAAGTATTGTTACTAGCTTCTTAGAATGAAGGAACTATAAGTTGAGATTATAAATAACTTTAAATCCAGTCTATTTATTGTGGAAGATGGCATGCAAGAAGCTGTACATAACCGTCAATACAGAGACAGTGTTCAGAATTCTCAAGTCTTTTTGCCCCAATTAAAGCACCCCAGTCATGCATTGTAATAAGAGATGAATACTACTTGAATATTGTTATTAAGGTTCCAGTAATTATAATGATCGAAACAAGATTATCATAAAAATTTCTCACTGAGTGTAGGACACGTCACCTGGGTGGGATTGATCCTAGGCTCCAGCAAAGTTAATCCAGCTCCTTTGCATAATTTGAAGATTTCAGGACAGCTTTTTGATAAATTGTTCCCTTGTGTAGTAACATTCTCTCTCTCTCTCTAGCTATATATATATTTATAAAATATATGCCAATCAATAAATATTTGAGTCTTTATCTGAAAGTAGGAGAAAAGCTTATAGGCTATCTGATATGACCTGCCTCCCACTGTGGACCTCTCCTTGGCGAGCTTTCTCTCAGGTGGTTAGCCAGCATCAGGCCAGCACCAGCTTGAAAGCTGACATTGACTGGGCTGTTGCTGTCTCAGAGAATGTCTTACTGCTGCTGGAGAACCTTAATTGTCTCTCCTATATTGAGTACAAGGTTAGCACATTAAATTTGACATGTATTATATTAACTGGCTCATAGCAGATAGACAGTTAACACTTCGAAAGACTGGGAAACAAACAGGTTACATTCTCAGTGAGGAAGTAAAATTTTTAAATGATTAGAAGTTGAGATGCTTCCAAGGAGACCATACACATTTAGTCTCCCCTTTGCTTGCTCAGAGAACAATATTATAATTACAGAATTCATTACAGAATTACAATATTGTTCTCTGAGCAACCAAAGGCTAGTCACCGGGTGACTGCTAGTTCCCCAAGAACCGGAAGGGTAACTGTTCATACAGAACATATTCTGACAATTTCACTTTTTTTTTTTAGCTCATATCATTTCTGAGTATGGGCATGTAAGTTATAATTATTCTCATCATTCATTTCATTATTACCCTTGTAATAAATGAACATCTACTCCCGTGTGACCCCAGTCCTTTCTTCTCTGTTTGTCAAGAGGATTGTAGCTAGACAGAATGAGGGAAGGGAAAGAAAAGCTAAACAGCCAGGGCATTTGGCAGAAACCTTTGAAACTGGATGTTCAGAGGTTTTGCTTGCTAGTTGAATGAATAAAGCTAAAGAAAGAAAACTCACAACATTTAAAAAAGGGAGGTTTAAGGGAAGACTCCAGATGTTTCCTGCTGGAATAGACTTCCGTCTTGTGGGATGAAGCTGATCCTGGCATTCTTTTCTTCTGTTTCTGTCTCTGTAAGTTCATTCTCTCTATGTAGCTGTGTTTATGCTCACAGGAAAACTGTAGAGCTTCAGACACGAGAAAGGCATTTGCTTGATTTTTTTGGGTTCCAAACAAACAAATCTGGAAAAGGGCTTTCTTGATACAGTTTAGCCTAAGTTCCCATCGCAAATCCAGTCGACAAGGACTGAAGTATTGTGATTAGCCCGGCTACAGTCAGTTGCCCATACTGCTGTCTTTGAATTCTGGCCAGGGTTTTGGGTTTTCAAAGAACACAGTAGCACCTGTGAGCCGCATTAGAATGGGAGGGGAAGGGAGTGCAGTTCCCAGGGGAGTGAGACAACTTACTGGGTGCCCACTACAGAAAATGGTAGGTTTAACCTTGTACTAGTTCCACGAGAGAAATAAGGAGAGACACCCTCTCAGTAAGTAGTATATTGTGGAACAGTTGGGAAACTGCATTCTTTGTTAGCATAACATAAACAGAAAGTTTAACAATCTTCAGAAAATCCATTTGATTAAACACTTTGCCTGGAAAACGCCACACATACCCAATTCTACAGAGATAAAATGTTTTTGGAAAATTTTCTCCAGCGTCCACTTTCCTCTCATTTTCAAACCGTTCCTTTTGTGTGGAACGTCTCCCACTTTCCCACTGAGCTAGCGGGTGATTTCTCCTCAAGATACAGATTTGGTATCATTTCCTTCAGGAGTTGCTACTGATTTATCTTCTTCCCACATGATCATGTTTTTATAACACCCTGTGCATATTTTTATACCATTTATTACATAGTAATATGATTGTATGTTTATATGCTGGTCTTTAGATTATTATTAGACTCGTGAGATCTTTAAAAAGAGAATTATATCTTATTTGTCTGTAATCTGTTGTCCTTAACACTAAGAAAAATCATTCCATAAATATTTGTTGAATAAGCACTTTTCTCTTTCAGTATTCTAGACAATTATTGCCCTATTTAGTTTGAATTCTTCTTATTCTAATTCTTCAACTAAAATACCACTTTGGCAATAATAAACTTAGTTATTGAGAAGACAAATCCTATTTAAATTCAATATCTTTTTTTTTTTTTTTTGAGATGAAGTTTTGCTCCGTAGCCCAGGCTGGGATGCAGTGGCGCGATCTTGGCTCACTGCAACCTCCGCTTCCCGGGTCCCAGTTCAAGCAATTCTCCTGCCTCAACCTCCTGAGTAGCTGGGATTACAGGAAGGCGCCACCATGCCCAATCAACTTTTGTATTTTTAGTAGAGACGGGGTTTCACCATGTTGGTCAGGCTGGTCTCGAACTCCTGACCTTGTGATTCACCCGCCTCGGCCTCTCAAAGTGCTGGGATTACAGGCGTCAGCCACCGCACCCAGCCAAATTCAATATCTCTTTAACTATTATTGCTTTTACAATATTTTCCCCCATTTGTCTAATTTTATAGGTGAAGGTTTTAGTTCAGATATTCATGTTTATGAGTATTATTAAAAAGGATAAATGGATTTGTACTTTGATGCTAGAAAACATTAACACAAATATGAATATAAAAGCACCAGTTTCATTTAAATTCCAGAAATAAACCAGAAACATTTCTTTTTTCAGGATTGTTATTGCGTAGATTAAGCTATGTAATTCACAGTAAATTGCAAAACAAAGTATCATTTAGTGAAGTAAAGCAGCAGCATTTCCAATGCCGGATCATTGCAGGGCTGGCCTTAAGGGAGTGGGGATAATGTCACCATTGTTTTCTGTCTTCAGTGTTACCTCAGATTTGAACTGTGGAACAAGGGATTATTCAGAGTATATCTTCAAAACAGATACAATAAACATATTACTCT
The DNA here is from genome assembly GCF_000001405.40 of Homo sapiens. NCBI lineage: Eukaryota > Metazoa > Chordata > Mammalia > Primates > Hominidae > Homo > Homo sapiens. The sequence goes on along the minus strand of NC_000004.12, from coordinate 187,961,256 downwards.
ATTATAAAGACAGCCCCTATTATATATTTTTTGAAGTACAATTTAAAGAGATAAGGGGTCAAATGTTTTTTAGTTCTAGAATTTCATACAAGATAAATATTTATATTTTGGACTTGTTTTTTTCCATTTCACATATTGCTGGATCTAGTTTGTTACTTTTTTTTTTTTTTTTTTTCTTTTTTTGGAGATGGAGTCTCGCTCTGTCACCCAGGCTGGAGTGCAGTGGTGTGATCTCGGCTCACCGCAACCTTCGCCTCCCAGGTTCAAGCAATTCTTCCTGCCTCAGCCTCCTGAGTAGCTGGGACCACAGGCGCATGCCGCCATGCCTGGCTAATTGTTGTGTATTTTAGTAGAGACGGGGTTTCACAATGTTGCTCAGGCTGGTGTCGAACTCCTGAGCTCAGGCAATCCGCCCGCCTCTGCCTCCCAAAGTGCTGGGATTACAGGCGTGAGCCACTGCGCCCGGCCTTTTTTGTTATTGTTATGTGTAGTTTTGCGGGGGGATTTCTAATCTGAATTAGTGACTAAAATTGGCTGCTAGTTTTTGAAACTGTCATTTTCTGGCCTTTGCATAGGTTGTTTGACTTTTGCGATGATCAGTTTCACATATCCACTTGGCCAGTCGCTGGTACCCGGTTATTCCATCAAACACTAAATCAGGTGATGCTGTGAAGGTATTCTGTGGCTGTGACCGAATTCTACAATCAGTCGACATTACTTAAGAAGATTATTGTAAAATATTTATTGTCTCACTATTCTAGATTATCCTGGGTGAGACTGATTCAATCAGCTGAAAGACCTCAGGAGCGGAACTGAGGCTTCCCTGAGAAAACATAAATTCTGCCTATGGACAGCAATTTCAGTTCACCCCTAAAATCCCACCCTCCTCTTTCTGATGGCCTGTGCTGTGGACTTCCGATGTGCCTTGCCAGCGCCCACAATCATGTAAGTCAGTTCCCTGCAATCAACCTCTAAGTGTACATCTCCTACTCATTTTGTTTCTCTGGTTAAACCCTGATGGATACATCCTTTATAAAATGAGTTTCAGGGTAACCATTTTTTTTATTCTTTGAACTAATTTGTGTAAGATTGCAATTAAAAGTTGGTAGAACTTGCCTTTAAAGCTCTCTGGGCGTTGTCAGTCATATAACTAATAAGAGATTGATAGCTATACAGAATAGATAAAGAACTCCCACATCTCAACAACACAAATATCAAACAGCCTAATTAAAAATAGGTAAAGAACACACATTGACATTTCTTCAGTGAAGATACACAAATAATCAATAGGCACGTGCAAGGATGTTCAACATTACTAAATTAGGGAAGTGCACATCAAAACTACAGTGAGATACCACTCTATACCCATTAGGATAGCTACTATCAAAACCCAGAAAATAACAAGTGTTCAAAGGAAGTGGAGACATTGGAATCCCTGTGCACTGTTGGTAGGAATGTACGATGGTACAGCTACTGTGGAAAACTATATGGCCATTCCTTAAAAAGTTAAACACAGAATAACCACATGATCCAGCAATTCCACTCCGAGTATACATCCAAAAAAAGTGAAAGCAGGGACCCAAACAAATATTTGTACACCCATGTTCATAATAGCATTATTCACAATAGCCAAAAGGTGAAAGCTGCCCAAGTGCCCACTGACAGGTGCATGGATATACAAAATATAGAATATACAGATAATGGAATATCACTCACCCTTTAAAGGAAAGAACATTTTGAGACATGCCACAACACAATGGATATACCTTGAAGACATTATGCTAAGTGAAATAGGCCAGTCACAAAAGCACAGATGTTGCAGGAGTCCATTCATAAAAAGTTCCTAGAGTAGTGAGATTCATAGAGAGAGTAGAATAGGGGTTGTCAGAGGCTGGGAGACGGGAGGTTGGGAGTTGGTGTTTAATGGGTACAGAGTTTCAGTTGGGAGAGCTGGAAAAGTTCTGGATGGTGGTATACTTGCACAACAATGCGAATGTGTCTAATGCCACAGAAATGTACACTTAAAAAGGATTCAATTATAACTTTTCTTTTTTGAGATGGAGTTTCGCTCTTGTCACCCAGGCTGGAGTGCAATGGCACAATCTCGGCTCACTACAACCTCTGCTTCCCGGGTTCAAGCGATTCTCCTGCCTCAGCCTCCCGAGTAGCTGGGATTACAGGCATGTGCCACCACGCCCGGCTAATTTTGTATTTTTAGTAGAGACAGGGTTTCTCCATGTTGGTCAGGCTGGTCTCAAACTCCTGACCTCAGATGATCCGCCTGCCTCAGCCTCCCAAAGTGCTGGGATTATAGGTGTGATCCTGTACCCGGCCACCGCACCCAGCCAAATGGTAACTTTTCTTACGTATTTTACCACAGTAAAAAAACAAAAAACAAAACAAAACAAAAAGCCTTTTGAGTCTAATTTTTTCATTGTGATAAGTTTCTCAAAAATTCCACATTTCCTAATGGTCATGGGACTACCCAGACATTATATTTCTTTTTGTTGTTTCGCTACCCCCTTACTAATATTAATAAAGTTAAAAACAATTTTATTTTATTAGTCTTCTCAAGGAATTAGTGTTGCCCCACTGTCTCTGCTAATTATATCTTGGCTTTATATTTTATTAATTTCTGATTTTAGTGTTATCTTCTTTCTTTTACTCTCTTTAGGTTATTTCTTCTTCTTCACTTAACTTCTAAATTTGGACATTTAAAGTAATTTACTTACAGTCTCTGATTCTTTTCTCATCTCTGTATTTGTTCCTGTGTTTGCTTTTTTTGAGACAAGGTCTGGCTCTGTCACTCAGGCTGGAGTGCATTTGCACCATCTTGGCTCACTGCAGCTTCTGCCTCCCAGGCTCAAGCCATCCTCTGACCTCAGCCTCCTGAGTAGCTGGAACTACAGGCACACGCCACCATGCCTGGCTAAGTTTTGTATTTTTTGTAGAGATGGGGTTTCACGGTATTGTCCAGGCTGGTCTCAAACATGTGAGCTCAAGTGAGCCACCCTCCTTTGCCTCCCAAAGTGCTGGGATTACAGACGTGAAGCACCACACCTGGCTTGTTGGCTTCTTTTGAGACAGGGTCTTGCTCTGTCACCGAGGCTGGAGTGCAGTGGTGCAAACTTGGCTCATTTCAGCCGCAACCTTGTGGGCTCAAGCAATCCTCCCACCTCAACCTCCCGAGTAGCTGGGACCACAGGCACATGCCACAATACCCGGCTAGCTTTATTTTTATTTTTTAATTTTTTTTTGTGGAGACAGGGTCTCACTCTCTTGCCCAGGCTGGTCTCGAACTTCTGGACTCAAGCAATCCTTCTGCCTTGGCCTTCCAAAGTGCTGGGATTACAGGCGTGAGCCACTGCACCTGGCCTCGTCGCTGCGTTTGAGTGCATGAGTCTGCCTTTAAAGTCTGCTTTTGGCTGCATCCCACCAGTTTAGATATGTATTCTCATTATTTTTATTCCCACCAGTTTAGATATGTATTCTTGTTTTTATTTGTTTGTTTTAGAGATGGGGGTCTCACTATGTTGCTCACACTGGTCTTGAACTCCTCACCTCCCAAACTATTGGGATTACAGGTGTTAGGCACTACATCTGGGCCTAAATATATATTATTTTAAATGTGATGGAAGAGCAAACAATTTTCTTATTTTCTCTGTTAATAAAACTTTACCGTTTTCTCTGGGAAATTCATTCCCCAGAAAGATAAGTCTGCAAACCAATAAATAACTTCACTACTTGCTTTAGGAAATTATTTCAAATCAATTTATGTGGGCAAATAATTTGTTTGTCAGAAAAAAATCCTTTGCTTATTAGGAAAAACAGCTTGATTCTCACCAAAACATTGTGTTCATCAATACTAAAAGACCTTGCCTTGCTTTCTCCACCAGTCCCGAAACACATGTCACAAGGTTTGTCCAGTTCCAACAAGTTCCTGGATAGAAAGTTCTACCTTAAACTATTTGAGCCCAGACTACAAAATCATATACCCTTCCTGAAGTCTTCTAGTTTGGAGGCACTGTCTTGTTTCAGCTCACTATTTTTTCTGTAGGCCCCTGGAACTTTCCCTTACAATTTCCAAAGACCAGCCATTCATTAAAAGATAGTTTGTGTCTTTTATCTAGTGTCTATATTACTGAATAGAAAATTTTTAATTTAATTTTTAAAAATTATTATTATACTTTAAGTTCTAGGGTACATATGCACAACGTGCAGGTTTGTTACATAGGTATACGTGTGCCATGTTGATTTGCTGCACCCATTAACTTGTCATTTACATTAGGTATTTCTCCTAATGCTATCCCTCTCCTCTCCCTCCACCCGACGACAGGCCCCGGTGTTTGATGTTCCCCACTCTGTGTCCAAGTGTTCTCATTGTTCAGTTCCCACCTATGAGTAAGAACATGTGATGTTTGGTTTTCTGTCCTTGTGATAGTTTGCTGAGAATGATGGTTTCCAGCTTCATCCATGTCCCTGCAAAGGACATGAACTCATCTTTTTTTATGGCTGCATAGTATTCCATGGCATATATGTAGCACGTTTTCTTTTTTTCTAAGTCTTTTCTTAATTATTATACTTTAAGTTCTAGGGTACATGTGCACAACGTGCAGCTTTGTTACATATGTATACATGTGCCATATTGGTGTGCTGCACCCATTAACTCGTCATTTACATTAGGTATATCTCCTAATGCTATCCTTCCCCCCACCCCCCACCACATGACAGGCCCTGGTATGTGATGTTCCCCACCCTGTGTCCAAGTGTTCTCATTGTTCAATTCCCACCTATGAGTGAGAACATGCGGTGTTTGGTTTTCTGTCCTTGCAATAGTTTGCTCAGAATGATGGTTTCCAGTTTCATCCATGTCCCTACAAAGGACATGACCTCATCCTTTTTCATGGCTGCATAGTATTCCATGGTGTATATGTGTCACATTTTCTTAATCCAGTCTATCATTGTTGGACATTTGGGTTGGTTCCAAGTCTTTGCTATTGTGAATAGTGCCGCAATAAACATACGTGTGCATGTGTCTTTATAGCAGCATGATTTATAATCCTTTGGGTATATACCCAGTAATGGGATGGCTGGGTCAAATGCTATTTCTAGTTCTAGATCCTTGAGGATTCGCCACACTGTCTTCCACAATGGTTGTACTAGTTTACAGTCCCACCAACAGTGTAAAAGTGTTCCTATTTCTCCACATCCTCTCCAGCACCTGTGGTTTCCTGACTTTTTAATGATCACCATTCTAACTGGTGTGAGATGGTATCTCATTGTGGTTTTGATTTGCATTTCTCTGATGGCCAGTGATGGTGAGCATTTTTTCATATGTCTGTTGGCTGCATAAATGTCTTCTTTTGCGAAGTGTCTGTTCATATCCTTTGCCTACTTGTTGATGGGGTTGATTTTTTCTTGTAAATTTGTTTAAGTTCTTTTTAGATTCTGGATATTAGTCCTTTGTCTGATGGGTAGATTGTAAAAATTTTCTCCCATTCTGTAGGCTGCCTGCTCACTCTGATGGTAGTTTCTTTTGCTGTGCAGAAGCTCTTTAGTTTAATTAGATCCCATTTGTCGATTTTGGCTTTTGGTGTTTTAGACATGAAGTCCTTGCCATGCCTATGTCCTGAGTGGTATTGCCTAGGTTTTCTTCTAGGGTTTTTATGGTTTTAGGTCTAACATTTAAGTCTTTACTCCATCTTGAAATAATTTTTGTATAAGCTGTAAGGAAGGGATCCAGTTTCAGCTTTCTACATATGGCTAGCCAGTTTTCCCAGCACCATTTATTAAATAAGGAATCCTTTCCCCATTTCTTGTTTTTGTCAGGTTTGTCAAAGATCAGATGGTTGTAGATGTGTGGTGTTATTTCTGAGGCCTCTGTTCTGTTCCATTGGTCTATCTCTCTGTTTTGGTACCAGTACCAGGCTGTTTTGGTTACTGTAGCCTTGTAGCATAGTTTGAAGTCAGGTAGCGTGATGCCTCCAGCTTTGTTCTTTTGGCTTAGGATTGTCTTGGCAATGTGGGCTCTTTTTTGGTTCCGTATGAACTTTAAAGTAGTTTTTTTCAATTCTGTGAAGAAAGTCATTGGTAGCTTGATGGGGATGGCATTGAATCTATAAATTACCTTGGGCACTATGGCCATTTTCACGATATTGAGTCTTCCTATCCAAGAGCATGGAATGTTCTTCTATTTGTTTGTGTCCTCTTTTATTTCGTTGAGCAGTGGTTTGTAGTGCTCCTTGAAGAAGTCCTTCACATCCCTTGTAAGTTGGATTCCTAGGTATTTTATTCTCTTTATAGCGATTGTGAATGGGAGTTTACTCATGATTTGGCTCCCTGTCTGTTATTGGTGTATAGGAATGCTTGTGATTTTTGCACATTGATTTTGTATCCTGAGACTTTGCTGAAGTTGCTTATCAGCTTAAGGAGATTTTGGGTTGAGACGATGGGGTTTCTAAATACACAATCACCTCTGCATCAAATCTCCTTCTGACTTTCTCTTATAAGGACAACTGTCATTGGATTTAAGATCCACCTGGATAATCCAGGATGATATGATCTTGAAATCCTTAATTGCATCATCAGACTCTTTTCCCAACAAAAGTCACGTCCACAGGTTCTAGCAGTTAGGACATGGACATATCCTCTGAGTGGCCATCATTCAACTCATTACACTTTCTCAGAGGGCCATTATGAGGATTAAATAAAATAGTTCATGTAAAAATGCTTCACATAGTCCCTGAGGTGTAGAGATTTTCCAATAAATAATAGTTATTATTTTTACAGGAGCTCGAAACAAACAAACAAAACTAGCCAGGTGTTGTGGCATATGCCTGTAGTCTCAGCTACTCAGGACGTTGAGGTGGGAGGTAAAAGTAAAAAAATTAAATAGTAAAAGGAAAGGTCCTACCAGAGATTAGAATATGCTGCAAGACAAACATAATTAAAATACTGCAGCATTGGTACAAAAATTAATAAATAAATGAAAGGAAGACAATAGAAAGTCTAGAAGAAAATTGGTATAGACCTATACATTTTGGCAGCTGTTACGCATTATATTTCAAGTCAATAAGGAAAGGTTATGATTGAGACTACTGGTTATCAATTGACACAAACAAAAAATTAAGGGTAGATTCCCACCTCAAACCAGAAAAACTACAGATGAATTATAGAGATAAAAATAGATTACAAAATTATAACAATGTTAAAGGAAATTTCATGAGAATAGAAAATATTTTTAATCTCAACATTGGAAAAATCTATGCTAAACATAGGCTAAGAATTCATAAAGAAAAAAATGACAGATATGTCTATATAAAAATCTAAAGCATCTATGTCAAAAACCCACATGAAAAAGTACAATGAAAAATCATGGGAAAATTATTTACAATACAGCATTAATCTCTATGATAATATCAAGCACATAAAGATCAATAAAAGATAACAAATCTGATAGAAAACATGTAATGACAGAAAATTATACTTAGTATCACATAAAACTAGTTAATAAGGCAGATTAAATTAAGACAAATGTAATTTTTATTCATGAGATGAGGACAAATGAAAAAGACTGATAATATTCAGCATGGAGGAAGAGGTAAGAGAATAGGAACTTTCAAAAACTGATAGTGGGAATTCAAATTTCAGGGCTTTTTTGGTGGGGCATTTGCAAGTATATGTCAGATTTAAATATAATGTAACCTTTCACCCAGTAATTTTACGTATGAGTAGGGAGAAAGAGCACATATTATGTACAAAGGATATTCATTATAGTCACATGTATATACAAAGATTAATGTAAAATAGTATTCTTTAACAGTGAAGAATTGGATTTAACAAAAATATATACTGTCTGAAGGCTGGGGGCGGTGGCTCACTCCTGTAATCCCAGCACTTTGGGAGGCCGAGGCAGGCAGATCACTTGAGGTCAAGAGTTCGAGACCAGCCTGGCCGGCGTGGCGAAACCCCATCTCTACTAAAAATAAAAATTAGCTGGGCATGGTGGCAGAAGCCTGTAATCCCAGCTACTTGGGAGGCTGAGGCAGGAGAATCACTTGAACTTGAGGAAGAGGCTGCAATGAGCTGAGATCATGCCACTGCACTCCAGCTTGGGTGACAGAGCGAGACTCTATCTCAAAAAAAAAATTATGGTACACATGATATGTAATACACCACAGCAATTAAAAAGACCGAGGCAGATATATATGTGTGTGTGTGTGTGTGTGTGTGTGTATAAAATGCATATATATAATGCATATATATATGTATTGACATAAAAAGTTTTCACAGATAAGTGGAAAAAAGGCAGGTCATTTAATAGGATATGATCACATTTTTGGAAAAAGCAGCATTTTATATTTGAACTGTGTGTGTGTGTGTGTGTGTGTGTGTGTGTGCTGATGTCTAGGAAAATGTTTGGAAAGCACAAACAGTGCTCACATATGGTCAGGGAAGTGGAATCGAAAGAAGATATGGAAGGAAAGAAAGTGTAACTGGGTGCTCAAGGAGGTTATTTTAACTTAAAAAAATCTAGACGTTAAATATTTGATATAAATATATATATTATTCTCCCATAGAATGTATTTATATCAAACTATTATGTAAAATACATTTTTAAAAGTGAAAAATCTGTCATGTGAGTTCTTATTGTTTTTGTGATCATTTTTCATGTAACTAGTATCTCCTCAGCATCACTATTTTAGGGCTACCCTTTCTTTTGGGTATTATGTAATCTTAGGTGTAATCTTATGTAATTTTGGGTATTATGTAATCTTAGAGGGGGCATGGGGGAAGCCCATCCCTGACAAAAATTACATCCTTGCTCACAACAGTATAGTATTTAATGAACCACACAGAGTTGGACGTTTTTGCTAGTTTCAACTTTATTGTTATAAAGGACACTTAGCTTGAATGGTGTGGACAAGTCAAAACTACTAAGAACAGAGAGAAAGAAAATGTTCTGGAAGGTGAAGCCACTGTTTGTACACATTGCCTTGCTGTAGGCTTCAGGCATCAGCAAAGGCCGTGGGTCATCCCCACTAGAGAGGGTCAGACAAACCCTATCCCTCTTTTCACGCCATGGACCATCCCACACTTGTTGAAGTTAGAGACCACTAGTCCTAAACACCACTGAGTCAATTACATGAAGAATAAAACTAATATCTAATGATTCAGGATGATTAAGGGACATTTTTATTATTGTCAATGTTTTTACTTGAAAAGGCAGGAAAATGTTTATTTTAGAAAAACATCCGTCCAAAAAGAGGTAAAAATTTAAGCTTCTGACTCTTACATTTTTTAGTTTTAGATATCTATTACAAATTCGTTTTTCCAGCCTGATTTCTATGCTAAGTGCATCAGATATCAAGGTTTTAGCAAACAGGATACTTCCAACAAAATCTGATTTTATAAAGAGAAATTAGGGCCAGGAGAGATGGCACGCTTGTAATCTCAGCACTTTGGGAGGCCAAGGCAGGTGGATTGCTTGATCCTAACGGTTTGAGCCCAGCCTGGGCAAGATGGTGAAACCCTGTCTCTACAAAAAATACAAAAAATTAGCTGGGCATGGTGGTGTGCCCTGTGTCCCAGCTACTTGGGACAGGCTGAGGCAGGAAGATTGCTTGAGCCCGGGAGGTGGAGGGTGCAGACAGCTGAGATCATGTCATTGCACTCCATCCATGGTGACAGAGCGAGATCCTGTCTCAAACAAAACAAAACAAAACACAAAAAGAGAAATACATTAAGAATAAAAACTAATATAGTAAAAAGTTATCCATTCATCTTTAATTTTAGATATGGAGCTTTAGAAGTTAAATGCCCAAAGCCTTGGGAGCCCACCCCTAGCATCAGTGTGCCCTGGATGTGAGGGATAGAATCAAAGGAGACGATTTTGGAGCTGTAAGAGTTAATGACTGTTGGGTTTCAGACTTGCATGGGGCCTGTGGCTTCTTTCTTTTGGCCAATTTCTTCCTACTGGAATGGGAGTATTTACCCAATGCCTGTACCTCCATTGTATCTTGGAAGTAGCTAACTTGTTTTTGATTTTACAGACTCATGCATGGGAGGGACTAGTCTTGTCTCAGAGGAGACTTTGGACTTTTGAGTTAATGCTAGAATGAGTTAAGACTCTGGGGATTATCACAAAGGCATGATTGTGTTTTGAAATGTGAAAAGGACATGAGATTTGGGAGGGCCAGGAGCAGAATGATATGCTTTGGATCTGTGTCCCCACCCAAATCTTATGTTGACTTGTAATCCCCAATGTTGGAGGTGGAGCCACGTGAGAGGAGACTGGATCATGGGGGCAGATTCTTCACGAATGGTTTAGCACCATCCTCTTCATACTGTCTTCATGGTAGTGAGTGAATTCGCCAGAGATCTGGTTGTTTAAACGTGTGTAGCACCTCCCTCTCCCACCTCTCTCTTGCTTCTGCTCCCACCATGTGAGATTTCTTGCTCCCCCTTTGCCTTCCACCATGATTGGAAGGTTCCTGAGGCCTCCCCAGAAACAGAAGCTTCCATGCTTCCTGCACAGCCTGCAGAACTGTGAAAGTACTTTGCTTGAAAATATTTTAATTACTTATACAGAGAAGATGCTTCCAAAGAGACAAATGAATCCATGATTATATAATAACTTTAAAATGAAAGAACGTCAAACATCCCTGTCTGACAGCTTTGAAGAGAGTAGTGGTTCTCCCAGCACAGAGTTTGAGATCTGAGAACGGACAGACTGCCCCCAAAGACAAAAACCACATGATTATCTCAATAGATGCAGAAAAGGCCTTTGACAAAATTCAACAGCCCTTCATGCTAAAAACTCTCAATAAATTAGGTATTGATGGGATGTATCTCAAAATAATAAGAACTATTTATGACAAACCCACAGCTAATATCATACTGAATGGGCAAAAACTGGAAGCATTCCCTTTGAAAACTGGCACAACATAGGGATGCCCTCTCTCACCACTCCTATTCAACATAGTGTTGGAAGTTCTGGCCAGGGCAATCAGGCAGGAGAAAGAAATAAAGGGTATTCAATTAGAAAAAGAGGAAGTCAAATTGTCCCTGTTTGCAGCTGACATGATTGTATATTTAGAAAACCCCATCGTCTCAGCCCAAAATCTCCTTAAGCTGATAAGCAACTTCAGCAAAGTCTCAGGATACAAAATCAATGTGCAAAAATCACAAGCATTCCTATACACCAATAACAGACAGGGAGCCAAATCATGAGTAAACTCCCATTCACAATCGCTATAAAGAGAATAAAATACCTAGGAATCCAACTTACAAGGGATGTGAAGGACTTCTTCAAGGAGAACTACAAACCACTGCTCAACGAAATAAAAGAGGACACAAACAAATAGAAGAACATTCCATGCTCTTGGATAGGAAGACTCAATATCGTGAAAATGGCCATAGTGCCCAAGGTAATTTATAGATTCAATGCCATCCCCATCAAGCTACCAATGACTTTCTTCACAGAATTGAAAAAAACTACTTTAAAGTTCATACGGAACCAAAAAAGAGCCCACATTGCCAAGACAATCCTAAGCCAAAAGAACAAAGCTGGAGGCATCACGCTACCTGACTTCAAACTATGCTACAAGGCTACAGTAACCAAAACAGCCTGGTACTGGTACCAAAACAGAGAGATAGACCAATGGAACAGAACAGAGGCCTCAGAAATAACACCACACATCTACAACCATCTGATCTTTGACAAACCTGACAAAAACAAGAAATGGGGAAAGGATTCCTTATTTAATAAATGGTGCTGGGAAAACTGGCTAGCCATATGTAGAAAGCTGAAACTGGATCCCTTCCTTACAGCTTATACAAAAATTATTTCAAGATGGAGTAAAGACTTAAATGTTAGACCTAAAACCATAAAAACCCTAGAAGAAAACCTAGGCAATACCACTCAGGACATAGGCATGGCAAGGACTTCATGTCTAAAACACCAAAAGCCAAAATCGACAAATGGGATCTAATTAAACTAAAGAGCTTCTGCACAGCAAAAGAAACTACCATCAGAGTGAGCAGGCAGCCTACAGAATGGGAGAAAATTTTTACAATCTACCCATCAGACAAAGGACTAATATCCAGAATCTAAAAAGAACTTAAACAAATTTACAAGAAAAAATCAACCCCATCAACAAGTAGGCAAAGGATATGAACAGACACTTCGCAAAAGAAGACATTTATGCAGCCAACAGACATATGAAAAAATGCTCACCATCACTGGCCATCAGAGAAATGCAAATCAAAACCACAATGAGATACCATCTCACACCAGTTAGAATGGTGATCATTAAAAAGTCAGGAAACCACAGGTGCTGGAGAGGATGTGGAGAAATAGGAACACTTTTACACTGTTGGTGGGACTGTAAACTAGTACAACCATTGTGGAAGACAGTGTGGCGAATCCTCAAGGATCTAGAACTAGAAATAGCATTTGACCCAGCCATCCCATTACTGGGTATATACCCAAAGGATTATAAATCATGCTGCTATAAAGACACATGCACACGTATGTTTATTGCGGCACTATTCACAATAGCAAAGACTTGGAACCAACCCAAATGTCCAACAATGATAGACTGGATTAAGAAAATGTGACACATATACACCATGGAATACTATGCAGCCATGAAAAAGGATGAGGTCATGTCCTTTGTAGGGACATGGATGAAACTGGAAACCATCATTCTGAGCAAACTATTGCAAGGACAGAAAACCAAACACCGCATGTTCTCACTCATAGGTGGGAATTGAACAATGAGAACACTTGGACACAGGGTGGGGAACATCACACACTGGGGCCTGTTATGGGGAGAGGGGAGAGGAGAGGGAGAGCATTAGGAGATATACCTAATGTAAATGATGAGTTAATGGGTGTAGCAAACCAACATGGCACATGTATACATATGTAACAAAGCTGCACGTTGTGCACATGTACCCTAGAACTTAAAGTATAATAATAATAAAAAAGAAAGAACATAGCTTTGGATCTCAGTGTGGCTACCTCATGATGTCAGGGTGCCTTAAGCTGATCTTGCTTTCCCATTTGCTATTGCAGTAGCTGCTTAGCAGATATCCCTGCTTCCTTCACTGTCACGTTCCCCGTATCCATATGCTTTCTAGAGCACAAAAGCCAGAGTCACTTTCCAAGACTGAAATATGCAATTTCACTACACATCTGCTTAAAATCCTTCAGTGGTATCCCACTGTTCTTAGATTGTGATCTGGAAGCTTTCGTCCTGGCTAGGAAGACCTCGCGGGAATCTCATTTCTGCCTACCTCTTTACCCATGGGCCGAAGCTTTCCCCTAGTGTCTGAGACTCAGTGTGTGTGCGCATGTGTGTATACATGTGTATATAAGGAAGTCACAGATGAGGCTTTCTAGACCTTTTCTTTACTAGTCATGTGGGTTGTATTTCGCCATTAAAAAGTAACTTAACAAAAATTATTTCGGCATCTTAACAATCTTGTGAGGTAAACAGTATTTTCGATTTTTCCTCTTTCATAATTAGAAAAAAGAGGCTTGGAGATTCAGTTGCTTAAGGTCTCCAGTTGGTGCATAATGAACTTGGAATTCAAAGCAAGTATTATTAGCTCTGTATTCTTAGCAGCAAGCAATGATAAACACTTATTAACCAATTTCTATTTATTTTTTATGGATTTTAGCAAAATTCATAAGATATATGTTCATTATCTTCCAAGATACTTAGAATTGGAAAGAGGAGATACAGCTAACTACGAAGCAAAGTAGAATAACATTAGGGTTGCGATCTGGGAAAAAAGAAAAGACTATAGAAGCACAGATTAGGGGATAATTTTGACACAAATATTGGAAACAACTCAAGAGAAATTTGCTTTTAATTTAACTTTTGCACCATATTGTTCAATAAACAATGTAAGGTAAAATAAATTAGTAGGGGAAGCACAACAAGATAGCACAAATTAAACTTGCCATCAGCAAATAATGAAAAATGTGGGTTGGAAATAGAAAAGAAAGCCAGAAATCATTTGAAATCATGCAGATAATGACCACATCTTCCACCAGTGGGTCACAGATTGGCTTTAAACTTTGTAGCAGCAAACTCATAAAGAGAAAACGGATTAGTTACATGCTTCCTAACATCCACAAGATAACAAAAAATCCTTATTGCTCGAGACAAATGTCACTCCTTTAAGAATCAGAAGAAATTACTCCTGGAAATTTGCCATGAAGAGAAAATTGTAATGTACTCCACATGCTTGAAAATACCTTCTGAGTTAGTGAGAGTCCTCAACAGGACGAATGTGACTGGGTCATGTATTGTAAGAACAAATAGGCTGGTGGTGGCATGTGGAAGCCTGGATGCGGAGAGGTCAAGAAGCTTCTGTAGGATACTAGTACAGTTCAGCGCCGGTTTCCGATTCTCAGCTGATCTAGCTGATCCAAGAGTGGATTTTAGGAAAAGCTGGAAGAATATGGAGATTGCTTTAGGAAAGCAGCATTTAAGTGAAGCCTGGAGAGACAAAGCCAAAACTGCATAAAAGCAGATTGAGGGAGTGACATGAGCAAAAGGGGGGAAAAGATTCTTTGACTGGAGCAAGGTCAGTCGCTCGATGTGGTGAAAGCCGTGGTTCTCAGCACAGCCCACACGTTAGAATCACCCGGAATGCTCCCCGCAGAGCCCAGACCTTAGAATCACCCGGAATGCTCCCCGCCGAGATTCTGACTCAGTCGGTCTGGGCTGGGTCCTAGGCATAATTATTTTATTTTTATTTTTTATTTTTTTGAGATGGAGTCTTGCTCTATCACCCAGGCTGGAGTGCAGTGGCGTGATCTTGGCTCACTGCAACCTCCGCCTCCTGGGTTCAAGAGATTCTCCTGCCTCAGCCTCCTGAGTAGCTGGGATTACAGGCATGCACCACCATGCCCGGCTAATTTTTGTATTATTAGTAGAGATGAGGTTTCACCATGTTGGCCAGGCTGGTCTTCAACTCCTGACTTCAGGTGATCCTCCTGCCTCGGCCTCCCGAAGTGCTGGGATTACAGGTGTGAGCCACTGCACCCAGCCATAATTTTTAACAGCTCCCAAGGTGGTCCTAAAGTGCACCCGGGAATGGGGATGCTGGGCCAGCACTGTGTTCCTTAAGTGTGGACAGTGGGATGGCATTCGGGTTATAAGCCGTGACAAGTAAGCTGGGCTAGGTGTGCAAGGTCTTGCATATTGTTCTTAGGAAAATAACTCTTAAAAGCTCCTCAGTGACACTGTCACCACAGCCTAACAATTTTCTTAATTGCTTTTACAAGTGATAACATTTGCCGTTTAGCGCTGGGATATTGCCTCAAAAGGTCATGACTTGGTTTTTAAATAACAATTGTTTTCTATTTTTCTAGGTGCAGCAAGTTGCCTTTTTAAAATGTGCACTTTGGCCGGGTGTGGCAGCTCACTCTTGTAATCCTAGCACTTCGGGAGGCCGAAGTGGGAGAACTGCTTGAGGCCAGGAGTTCGAGACCAGCCTGGGCAACATCGTGAGACCACATCTGTACAACAAATAAAATTTAAAAAAATATTAGCCAGGCATGGTGGTGCATGCCTATAGTCCCAGCTACTTGGGAGGCTGAGGCGGGAGGATCACTTGAGTTCAGGAGGTTGAAGCTTCAGTGAGCTGTGATCATGCCAATGCATTCCAGCCTGGGCAACATACAAGATCCTGTCTCAGAAAAACAAATACAACATACACCTTCTCCTCTGTTGTCTCTGTCATAGGAACTAACCGTGCTGTACTCTGTGCTGGTTATGGGTCTCACTCTTTATTTCCTTTCCCTCCAGCCATGCAAAGCCTTTTGTGCTATTCTGTCCAAGTTGCAGTCAGCAACTTTAGTGCACAGGTGATAAAATTACATCATATTTCAGGTAAAACAATCGCATGATTTTCTTGAGTTCCTTAAACCATATTTTGGAAGAAATATGAAGTCTAATAATAAATCATCCAGACACAGCAGGAACAGTGTCAGCAATTTTAGTGAAATTTGTGTCTCCTGAGTTTACTAATGAAAATGAATGGGGCAACTTCCACGTTCCCACAAACTCTTCAAAACCTTTGCTACTTCTCAATAGACAGCAGTTGTAATTGAATAGAACACTGAGATTGATGTTAGGATTAAAGGTTATGAGCTATGAAGACAGCTGAATACTTAGTTCCATAAAGTCTATGAAAGGCAGGGTATTGAAATGGAATTTTATGGGCTTTTTTATTTGTTGCTTTGTTTCTTATGTGTCCAAGGCTAATTATACTAATTAGATCAGAAGGCATGAATGGGTACTACAGAAAAAGCCATTCAGGAAAAAAATAATAAAGCATCAGAAATTGCTGTGTTAGTTGATAACTAGAGGGAGGCTGAAGAGCAGCTTCATCCTTCACCAAGCCCTGTACATATATTACATGGAAATGGAATTCTTCTGAGCAGAGGTCATATTCTGTGCTCATGCTGTTACATTATCTTGGTCATTGAATTTGAGGGCTAAAAATGAAACAGAGTAAGCTCATAAAGAAATAAAATGTAGTATATAAAGGATCAGGAAATCCATAAAGTAGAACCAAAATCATATCTGAGTTGAATATTTGTCAAAAATTTCTGTGAGATGTCAGCAGTCCTATAAAAGTAAAAAATTTATTTGCCACATCACCTCCAAAAGCAATCATAAAAGCATCTAGCTGCATAACAAGTGCATATGTTATCTGGAGAATTATTCTGTTATGGCCCAAGCAGTGTCATCATACCATTGTCACACAATGGCATTGTGGCCTCGTTGAATGGCACAGCAGAGAGCATTGTTGAGAGAGAAATTGCCGGCTCCGATTCACTGGCTGCTTCTTCAGAAAATTCACTCGTTCATTCGGCAAGTGTCTCTTTAGCGCCTCCCTCATCCCAACACTGTGTTAGCTCACTGGAGGGAACAGTGCAAAGATGCGGGTCATTATGAGAAGTTATGAGAACTCAGGGAACCCTTTATCCAGTTCTTGAAGGATTAAGGAAGTCTTTGGGAAGGAAGAAAACTAAAAGCTTGGAATGTGATCAAGTGGTTGAGTAGGCATTAGCGAATGAGGTGATGTAGGCAAAGAGAGTAGCATATTTAAAACCTAAAGGCAGAAAATGGTAGGTTCAGGTAGAGTTTATGTTTCTGCTGAGAGGGAATTGTGTCAAAAGAGGATTCTAAAGGAATGGCAGAAACGTGCTTATGAAGGACTTTCTTAGCCACATTCAGGAGTATTGGCTGCATCCTGAGGCAGAGAGAAGCCAAGACTGGTATTAAACTGGCAGAAATGTGTGACTTATTCAAGGAGTTACTCTTGAGAAGCCACTGATCATAGTGGAGAAAGTACATTGGAGACATAAAGAATTTGCTTTTTAACCCCAACAGGACTTCTCAAATTACTATAGAATATACTGTTATACTTAAATGCGTGTGTCAAAGTGCAATCTTCAACCAAAATGGGAATTTGTTTCTTGAAGATGTTTTGAAGAAGCTGGTAGGTGAGTGAGATGGACCGTAATGCACTACCTTAAAAATCCCAAGGAGGGCCGGGCGTGGTGGCTCACTCCTGGAATCCCAGCACTCCGGGAGGCCGAGGCGGGTGGATTACTGAGGTCAGGAGTTGGAGACCAGCCTGGCCAACACGGTGAAACCGCGTCTCTACTAAAAATACAAAAAATTAACTGGGCCTGGCCAACATAGTGAAATCCCGTCTCTACTAAAAATACAAAAAATTAACTGGGTGTGGTGGTGTGCGCTTGTAATCCCAGCTATTCGGGAGGCTGAGGCAGGAGAATTGCTTGAACCCAGGAGTCAGAGATTACAGTGAGCCAAGATCAGGCCACTGCACTCCAGCCTGGACAACAAGGGCGAAACTCCGTCTCAAACAAACAAACAAACAAACAAAAAACACAAAACAAACAAACAAAACACCAAGTAAGCAGCAATCTGGTCTGAGAGGCGGAAAATCTGTATTTTTTGGAATATTCCTCATGTGTTAATATATGATATTGTTGTTAACTTAGTGTGATGTTTACTGAAAGTCGCAAGTCAGCAATAATAGATATGTATTGAGTGGCCACTATGTGTCAGGCACTGATCTAAGCACTTGGGAAGCATCCACAAATACCCCTTTCCTCCCGGAACTTATTAATACAGTCAAATAGAAAGCATTTGTTTCCAATAAATAAAAATGATAAGTGTAACAAATCAGTAAATGATGTGATAATTAGGTGATACGCACATACCTGCTATGGAAGAAGGAAAACAATAGAACATGATCAGAGCAATTGGGAATTTAAAATGAGTTGTAATTTTAAACAGGATGGACAGGTTGAGTCTTATTGGGACGGTGCATTTAAGTGACAATGTGAAGCAGGTGAAGGAATTTGCCAAGTTGATCTGGGGAAAGGAAGTCCTGGACAGTGAGAAGAGCCAGTGCAAAGCCAGTGCAGAGAGCGTGCCAACTTTGTCCGAGGAGATTGAGGGGCAGGGCAGCGGCAGATTAAGTTAAACTGGTAATGGGGAGGGAAAGCTCCTCAGGCCTTGTGTGGACTTTGTCTTTTATTCTGAGTGATGCTGAGAGACAGCATCTGATTTAGGTCTTACCTGGATCACTCTGACTGCTATGTTTAGAACAGTCTTTAGGGCAAAAAGGAGGCAGAAGTCACTTTGGTGGAAGTGAATGAGGTCAGATGTGGGATATGTGCAAACTTCAGGTAACTAGGATTCCATAATGGATTGGATGTGGGGAGTGAGAAAAGCAGAGTCTAATATGACTTCCAGGGAGTTTGGTCTCAGGAATAGAGAAGAATGAACTTGTCATCAACTGAAATGGGGAAGGCTGCAGGTTTAGGGGGAAAGTCAGGACTGGGTTTTGGACACCTAACACGTAAGGTTTCTGTTTAGACATTCCAGTGGAGATGTCAAATAGGCAGTTGATTGTATAAAACTTTGAGAAAAAATTGTATGTGGAGATGTGCATTTGTGTTACTGTGATACAGAGAATAACAGAAGCCATTAATCTAAACAGATTATTAATTTGTACATAAATTAAAGTTAAAAGGCTGTCATTGTAATTCCTCAAATGATCTTAAACATTATAACATAAAGTACCAAGTAGAGAGGGATTCTTTTTAATACAAAATATTATATCTTGGCTTTGATTCTCTTAAACATTTTCACGTAGTTCTTAATCTTCCTCATGTGGAAAGATAGCCTACTGAAAAAGATTTACCATCTCAGTGAAACGAGGTTATCCAGAATACAGGTTATAAAACTCAAACCTTGATGGGATCCTAAGACATGTCAATATCTTTTCCATTTAATTTTAAAGATTTTTGAACTTGATGTATTTCTTTATATAGGGGACCTAATTTTTTATGGCTACTTAAAATGGCAGCAGACTGAATTTTAGTATTTCACTTGAATTCTCAACCCTTGAGGTTATTCAGCGAACATGTCTTTAACAATGGCATTTCCTGAAGTAGGAAATGCTGGAGAAAGTCAGGCAGTTCCTCCTGGTTGAGATTGATTCAAGGTTCCTATGAGATATTTCAAGAAAGCGTTTTGATTTCAAGAAGTCTGAATGTTTGAAGAGTGTTTCAGGGCTAGATTAAAAATTTGGTCATCAGCAGCCACAGAGAGAAGGTATTTAAAACCATGAGGTTGAATGAGGTTATCTGAGGAGAAACTAGGGGAAAAGGAGGGCACATATTTCACCATCTCTACAAAGGAAGGATGTTTTAAAATTCATGAAAAGAAGCCTTGCCTATGTTTCCATAAACTACCTTAGAAGAATTGTTTAGCTTGGTTGTCATGACTATTTACCTTTTCAATTGAGTTGCAACTGAATTAGTTATGTAGTAATTTATATTGAATGACCTGATTCCACTATGACCCAGTTGTGCTTTTTAGTTCATCATGAAATTAGGATGGATTAAAACTTACACATTTGGTCTGAAAAGTCATTTTGATTTGCTTAGATTTTAAAAAAGAACCTGAGATGCTAATATAGACTAAAACAAAATCAGCTGCTATTTAAAACACAACCCCCAAAGTCACACATATCTAAATATGCATCTATTTTTTACAATAAAAATTATAACTTAGAGGCCGGGCGCGGTGGCTCACGCCTGTAATCCCAGCACTTTGGGAGGCCGAGGCGGGCGGATCACGAGGTCAGGAGATCGAGACCATCCTGGCTAACACGGTGAAACCCCGTCTCTACTAAAAATACAAAAATTAGCCGGGCGTGGTGGCGCGTGCCTGTAGTCCCAGCTACTCGGGAGGCTGAGGCAGGAGAATGGCGTGAACCTGGGAGGCGGAGCTTGCAGTGAGCCGAGATCGCGCCCCTGCACTCCAGCCTGGACGACAGCGAGACTCCGTCTCAAAAAAATATATATATAACTTAGAGGTGAAAGAAACCTCAGAAAATCATTGTCTACCCTTTGCCTTTTGGTGGTTTGGTGGTGGTAGTACTTCCTTTGTGGCTGTGAATGAGGAGGGGGTAAGAAGGGAATAAATGAGAAGCTTGAATTTTTTTCATTGTTGTTGCACAGCTTCATCATTAGTACTGGCTATAAGAAAGTCTTTCATCATAGAAATAAATGCGGAAAAACGCTTTTTAGGAATCTTGCCCTTCACCTATGACCGCTTGTATTAGTCACTTTGTGCTGTAACCGAAACCCTCTGTTGATTTCTTCTTCACACTGCACGCGGCTGCTAGGCAGCTGAATCTCTGCTGGGCTCTGCGTGTTTTCTCATGTCAGGGTTCACACTGAAGAAGAAACCTCTGTTGTGACTGAGGCGGAGAGACACACTTACACACACACACACACACACATACACACACACATACATACCCACACATACACACACACACACACACACACACACAGAGGGGAAGCAGTAAGCATGTAATCACATTTAACCCAGATAGAAACAATTACCCATTTACAACACTATTATTAACTGTTTGGTATGTAGTCCCTCAGACATTTTCTAAAGCATGTCAAATATTTAATATGTCTTCAAAAAATAGAATCACACTTTATGTTTTGCTGTATGCTTTTGCTATCTAATAGTATATCTTGGAAATTTTTACAAACGAAAGCATTCATCCTATTTGCTTTTCTGTGTTTCCTGAAAAATTCACATCTTGCTTCTAAAATATATTGATTTTATTCCAGTTTTACATGAATCTTGATACATTTACCATTCCCCATTGTTTGAGTTCTGAGTGAAGGGTGAACAGATCCTGCATCAGATGACCTAAACTGTTGCTTATCTCTCCATCTCTCTCTCCCTCTCTCTCTCTTTTTTTTTTTTCTTGAGACAGAGTCTCACTCTGTCATCCAGGCTGGAGTTGAGCGGTGCGATCTCAGCTCGTGACAACCTCTGCCTCCCAGGCTCAAGCGATTCTCCTGCCTCAGCCTCCCGAGTAGCTGGGATTACAGGCGCGTGCCATCATGCTCAGCTAATTTTTTGTATTTTTAGTTGAGACGGGGTTTCACCATGTTGGCCAGGCTGGTCTCAAACTCCTGACCTCAAACGATCCACCGGCCTCGGCCTCCCAATCTCCCTCTCCCTGTTATGCATATGCACACACACGTTGACTATCACATTCCTAGAGTATAGCTCAGATTTTCTAAACCTTTTATAACCCCTTTCCTTCTCAAGTGTCTTCTTGAAAGCACATTTAGTGACTTATTGTGGAGGCAAGTTTCATGCTTAAGTTTTTTTGACTCTGACGATAGCTCTCAAAAATCATTCCAGATAGAGTGACCGTAATTTATGAAACTAGGACATTTCTAAGAGTAAAAGGAGATTGACATTAATTATTAATGCTTACACTGGGCCATCCTGAGCAAATCAAGTTATTCATTCAGTCTACTTCTGGAGGATATTTGCAGATGGCAGTCTATTTTTTCACCCCAAATTTCCTTGCTACTTCCCCCGTAGTATTTTGTTTCCTATAGGAAATAATTTAAAAAGAAGAATTTTCTCTATTTTGTTAAAAGGCCCTCAAAGTACACGTCGGATTGGAATCATGAATATCTATCAATCAACTCTTTCATAGTCCATTTCTGCAGAGTGGATCTTCTCTGACCTATTCCATGCTATATCTTTTGGTTCAATTTAGTATCTATACTTCATTACACACTTGAATAGCTATTTAATCTTGCACAAACACCCATATGGTGAGGTTTGAAACCTGGCACAAGAGATAAAGGCAAATAATTACTATCCTCACTTAACATTTTATCTTCTTGCCATTTAAAACCTTTTTGTAGAAGTGCTGATAATCTGGATGATTAAATGGCTTAGGTCCTTCTGATAGATTTTTATGGCCTGGACTCAACAAAAACTTAGGTTTTAAAAGTTCAGTTGCAATTTTATCTGAAACCTGAAGATAGTTTCTTATACCTGCAAAAAATGAACTCATATGAAATGAAAAATATGAAGTGATGTTGTAGACTGAGCACGTTATTACAGACTCTGCTCACACAATGGAAGTGCTAAGAGGAAACATGAACTATTTTTTTAAAAATGGCTGAGAATGCCACAATCATGCCTCCTTATTTGCTTCCTGTAATACAATTATTTTACTGACATATGTTCAAAATGTCCTCTTTAACAATCATTTTGGAATACTGTTTAAAGCATATCAGAAGTAGAGTGGAAAGTGTATTAAACATGGAGGAAGGGATCTGTGTCACAATCCAGATTCCGATATTGATTAGCTCTGTGATCTTGAAAATAAAAATCACCTTGCTGAAGTCTGCATGCCTCTTTGTGTATGCGAGTAATCCTCAAAACAGGCAAGCTGCAGTGGCTCATGCCTGGAACCCCAGCACCTTGAAAGGCCGAGGTGGGAGGATCACTTAAGGCCAGGAGTTTGGACCACACAGCCTGGGCAGCATAGTGAGACCATCCCTACAAAAAATAAAATAAAATCTTGGCCAGGCGTGGTGGTGCCTGCCTGTAGTCCTAGCTAGTGGGGAGGCGGAGGCAAGAGGATCGCTTGAGCCCAGAAGTTCAAGGCTACAGTGAGCTGCGATGACACCACTGCACTGCAGTGTGGACGACAGAGCGAGACTCCGTCTCTAAAAGCAAAAGGAAACAAGTCATATGAGGTAAGAATTAGTCCTAATGCAGGGGGTTTGGTGACTGACAAGCTGGCCCACTCGCGGCGGCTTTCCCCTCCCTACCGCAGTCCTAGAGGCCTCCAGGACTGGAGGGAGATGAATGTGTGGGACTCAGAACAGCCACGGAAATCCCAGGGGCAGATGACGTTTCGGCTCTGGGTAAGCGGCAGCACTCAATGGAAGAGGGCGGCACAGAGAGAAGAGAGCGGAGGACAGGTGCCAGGGCAGGAAGCAGCAGCAGGCGCGTGGGGGCCGTGTGGCGCGGGGGCGTGTGGCGCGGGGGCGTGTGGCGTGTGTTGGCCGTGTGGCACGGGGGTTGTGTGGCACGGGGGTTGTGTGGCACAGGGGGGTGTGGCACGGGGGGTGTGGCGCGGCAGGTGCGCTGAGAACGCTGGCCTGGGCAAGTGGAGAGGCAGGGCTGAGGCTGCCACCTTAATGTTCTCTGCTTCCCGGCAGGGGCTCTGCCTCTGCCTGTCCCAGTCCTTCATCCTCAGAGGCCTTGGAGGTGACAACTGCGAACCGTGGAGGACGGAGAACACTGAACTAAATCGTGCGCTTCTCATGTTGGGTTACGCACACGACTTTTGTTCCAGTGGTATAGGAAGTAGCCACTTCGCAGAAAGAATGGGGAGGTTATGAGTATGCTGGCAGCAAATTATTTAATTTTCTTAGAAACAAGGTTGCATAAATGCACGTACATAAACGTCTAAGTGCACATTTAGTAGGTAAAAGCATAGAAAAAGGCTGGCAAGTATGTTCCAAACTGCTAACTTTTAATAACCTCGGGGGAGGGGATATGGCAGACTTGCCTGTTTTCCTTCAGAAATTTTTCTATTAGTCGCCTTTGTCAAGCTTAGCATGTGCTATTGCAGTTTTTTTTTTTTTTAAGCATAGGATTTAAAAATTCCATTTTAGGCCAGGCAAGGTGGCTAATGCCTGTAATCACACTTTGAGAGGCTGAGCGGGGAGGGAGGATCGCTTGGGGCCAGGAGTTCCAGGCTGCAGTGTCATGATCGCCACTGCACTCCAATCTGGGTGACAGATTGGAGACCCTGTCTCTAAAAACAAAATTTTAAAAATATAAATTTCTTTTTTTGCAACAACTGTATTGAAATAGAATTCACACATCATACAATTTACCCATATAAAGTGTACAATTCAATGATTTTTAGTCTATTCAGAGCCGTGCAATCACCACCACATTCAATTTTAGAGCATTTTCATCACCCCAAAAAGAAACCTATTCTCTTTGTTCATCACCTCTGTATTTCCCTGTTCTTTCTGGCTCTAGGCAACCACTAATCTACTATCTGTCTATAGATTTACCTATTCCGGACATTTCACGTGAATGGAATCATAAAATATACAGTCCTTTGTGACTGACTTATTTCACTTACCGTTTCCAAGGTTCATCCAGGTTGAAGCATTCGTTTTCATAGCCAAATCATATTCCATCATGTGAATACATCACATTTTGTTTATCCATTAGTCAGTTGATAGATATTTGGGTTGTTTCCGCTTTTGGCTATTATAATAATGTTGCTATGAGCATTTGTATACAAGTTTTTGTGTGGACATGGGTTTTCATTTTTCTTGGGTAGATACCTAGGAGTGGAATTTCTGGGTCATATGGTAAGTCTATATTTCACCATTTGGGGAATTGCTAGACTGTTTTCCAAAGCAGCTGCAGAATTTTACATTCCCACCTGCAATGTATGAGAAGAGTCCAACCTCCCCACATCCTTGCCAACACTTGTTATTATCTGTCTTTTTTATTATAGCTATACTAGTGGTTATAAAGTGGTATCTTATTATGGTTTTTATTTTTATTTTCCTGATAACTAACGATTCCATTTTAACTGAACTAGGATATGATATGCAGTAGAATGAACAATTTACATGAATTTTTGAGATTAAATGTGAAACATTCACTCAGCATGGTGGCTCACACTTGTAAACCCAGCACTTTGGGAGACTGAGGTGGAAGGATCACTTGAGGCCAGGAGTTCAAGACCAGCCTGAGCAACATAGCAAGACCCCCATCTCTACTAAAAAATGAAAAAATTAGCCAGACATGGTAGTGCATGCCTGTAGTCCTAGCTACTTGAGAGACTGAGGCAGGATGCTTGCTTGAATCCAGGAATTTGAGGTGCAGTGAGCTATGATAACACCACTGTACTCCAGCCTGGGGTACTGTGTCTCAAAAACAACAACAACAAAAGAGACAGCAAAAACATGTTTTGTTTGAGACAGGATGCTTGGGCCGTCACCCCACATTGACTAGGGGTATACATTTGCTTTTCTTCACCACTGGGGTTATTACAGCAAAACAGTATGAGACCTACTAAGTACATGAACACCAATGTCAATATCCTACATAACTCAAAGTATTTATTTTTCTGTTTGTGCTAAGGAAATACTTTGTTCAGCCTCTTCCCTCAGATGCCGGCAGACCAGATGTCCTTGAAGCAGGCAGCAAGGCTTCGTGCAACGCTGACGGCCTCTCAGCTTGTCCCTGGACACTCTTCTCAGAACTCTGGTTACAGTTTACCTCTGCTTCTCTAATGACACTTAATCACTTTTTATCTTAAATTACGGTGTGGTTTTGTTTCCGTTTTGTGTTTCTGATCATGCTTAATGGCTCATTAGAGAGTCTGGCTCTTGGAGCTTGAAGGCAGGCGGGCCCCACATTTGTGTGTGTTTGTTTTCATGTTTGTTCCCTCCACAGCACCTGGCTGTGCATGCTCAGTGAACAAATGACTGCAATGTGCAGTGATCTATTTACAGTTGTCTGAGAAATGTCATTTATGGTGGTGGATAATCCTAAAATATATATGAAAATATATGGTGCCATGATCAAATTTTCCTCCTAAAATAACCTGTGCAAGGTGTTCATACTTTTATACCAACACTGACATTTTCATTCTTTAGAACCTTAACATTTTATGTCTGTGACTTTAATAAACATGAACATGAAAACGTGGAAGAGGCTGTTTGTATCTCCTGCTAGCAAGAAGCAGAAAGAACATATTTATGTGCTATATTCAGGATATCCTTGCCAGTTGTGTTATTACTGCAGGGAAAAGGCCCTGGCGACATTTAATGTTGCTTTTTCTTTTTCCTGGTTGGATGGCAACCAGGTTTCATCCATCACGCTAGAAACTTCTGTGCAAATTCAATGCACAGTCTCCTAGACCTGAAGAAGGCAGCTTGATGTTTCTTCTTCTTTTTTTTTTTATAAATGCATTTGGTTTTCTTGTGTTTTCAGCTTCTCCTTTTGCTCTTCCTTTGGTGTTTCCTGATGCAACTCCCTGTCTCCGGTGGCGTAGTCTGAGACATGTTCAGTATTAGCAGAAAGATCACTGACCTTCACACTCTCCTCACGCTTAGATTGCACAGTGGTCAAATGGATCCTTCGTGAGAGCTCCAGTCTTAAACACGTCACATAATCAGAAGGTATTTTTGACAGTCACACTCCTCTAGGATGCTTTAAGCGTTGCAGCGTATCTCCTTTCCTTGATTTAAATGATTTATTCACCAGCTTCAGTTTTGTAGGTTCTTACTAGAAAATGCACAGCAGGCCTCTTGTTTTAGGAAAATTACTGTGTCTTTGCCATTGAAATGGGAGCTACTGAGTTTTAAACATACTTTCCCCAGCCTAAGTAAATTCCCTTGGATTTATTCCCACAATAATGTAGGAGTGTTCCTTATCATTTTTGTTTGGGATAATCCTAACCCAAATTTGAATTCAACCTTGACAACTGAATTCTGGATGCTGAACCCTGCAATTTGGGAAAGTAATTCTATCTCTTGCGTCAAAATCCTGTTTAGGCCTTTTCAGCATCATTATCAAACTTACCTGCTTCCGTCTTTCCTGTTTTTGGCCCCTTTCTTACTTCAGAACGTCATTTTCCTTGTGTCACTCTTTTTGGGGGTAGTTTGCATTTTCTATTCATTATCCTCAAGCTAGTTCACCTGCAGCCTCTGGGCTTTGTGTCTGCCAGATCCATTTGTCTGAACACCCAGAAGTGCACGTTCTTTTGCGAGCTTCTTGAATTTATCTAACTTTGGGCCCTTCCATCATCCTCTCTATCACAAACATCAAATGAGAGTGGACATCTTCATCTGCTCTTATATTAATGCCAGGAAATTTTGCTGTAATTTGTTTAGCCCTCTTCAAATATTTATTTTTATTTTTACTTTTTTTGAGACAGAGTCTCGCTCTGTCACCCAGGCTGGAGTGCAATGGCACGATCTCGGCTCACTGCAAGCTCCGCCTCCCGAGTTCAAGTGACTCTCATGCCTCAGCCTCTGGCATAGCTGGGATTACAGGCGCACGCCACCAGGCCCAGATAATTTTTGTATTTTTAGTAGAGACAGGGTTTTGCCATGTTGGTCAGGCTGGTCTCAAACTCCTGACTCAGGTGATCTGCCCTACTCGGCCTCCCAAAGTGCTGGGATTACAGGCGTGAGCCACCACACTCAGCCTTCCCTACTCGGCCTCCCACAGTGGTAGGATTACAGGCGTGAGCCACCACACTCAGCCTTCCCTACTCGGCCTCCCACAGTGGTAGGATTACAGGCGTGAGCCACCGCACTCAGCCTTAAAATACATTTTCATTTCTGTGTTACACTTCAACATTTTCTTGAGCCTCTTCTAGTAGTAAACAGAAACTAAACATTCTTTCTTACATCCCTCTTCCAGTGTCTTAGTTATAATCTCTGGTATTTTAAGGTAATATTTCTACTTGGTTAATAAACAATGTCACAAAGCACAAGTAATGGCAATAGGAGGATTTGTTTTTATTTTCTTATCTTCTTCCATTTCCAACAGGGCTTTACCCACTCATTTTACAACAGTCTTCTAGCAGTCACTCTTTTTGCTTCTCTGATTCTCTGAGGCACATCTTTTTCACCTTTTCCAAATGCATCTCACTGAGCCTGAGAGGGGATTTGCATGGATTGCTTCCGTCTCTCTGGGCCAACTCCTGTTAAGTGTGGACCGCCAGGGTGAGTGCTCAGAAGTGAAGACATCGCCTGCCCTAGCACGTCCCAAGGGCATGTTTACCTCCTGCTGGTCGCCTTCCTAGGGTTGTCAGATTTAGCAAATAAAAACATAGGATGCCCAGTTATATTTGAATTTCAGATAGACAACACCTTTTTTTTTTTGTCTTGAGACAGAGTCTCACTCTGTCACCCAGGCTGGAGTGCAGTGGTGCGATCTTGGCTCACTGCAACCTCTGCCTCCTGAGTTCAAGCGATTCCCTGCCTCAGCCTCCGGAGTAGCTGGGACTACAGGCACCTGTCACCCCGCCCGGATAATTTTTGTATTTTTAGTAGAGATGGGGGTTTCATCATGTTGGCCAGGCTGGTCTCGAACTCCTGACCTTGAACAACACCTTTTTTTTTTAAGTATAAGTATGTTCCAGTATTATATAATATGATTTCCTAAAATTGAACTGTAACTGGGCAGGCTGTGTTTAATTTTGTAAATTACCCCTTTATCTCTTGTCCCTGTGACTTGAGATCCAGCTTTGTGGGCATCACAGCAATGGCTCTGGGGTATGATTAAGATGGATCTGCACAACTTCTGCCCAGATGAGCAAGTGTAGTTTAGCTGTCTCTGACGATGGATTAGTTTCCTAGGACCATTGTCACAAAGTATCACAAAGTAGGTGGCTTAGAGCAACAGCAATTTATTATCTCACAGTTATGGAGGTGCCAGAAGTCCAAGATCAAGGAGTCAGCAGGGCCATGTTCCCTCTGAGGATCCTGGGGCAGGATCTCTTCCAAGCCTCTCTCCTGGCCTCTGGTAGTGGCTTGGCTGGAGGCAGCATAACTGCAGTCCTTGCAGGGAGTCTCTCTGTGTATGTGTCTGTCTCTTCACATGCCTTCTCTTTCTAAATAAGGATTCAAGTTACTATATTGGATTAAGGGCCCACCCCTACACACCAGTATGAGCTTGTCTTAACTAACTACATCTGCGATGACCCTATTTCCAAATAAGGTCACATTCTAAGGTGCCAGGGGTTAGGACTTCAACATACCTTTTTTCAGGGACATAAATCAACTCACAACATATTAGGAGACACTTTAAAAGACTCCATTTCACTATTATTTACACTGAGATAAGACAGCAGCCCAGGGACCTAAGAAATCCCTGTAAGTTAACTATTTAAGCAAATAGGAACATTTTTATGTAGAATAAAAATTCATTCTTGAAACTTGGAAGAACTTCATTAGTCAACAGCAGGATATTGCAACTATACAAAAGTGTAGAACGCAAAAGTTTGGTGATATGAGAAATATTCATATTATAGTAAGTGAATAAAGCTTATATGATTATAGTAATTATTTAATGAAAGTATTTTCTGGCATCTCAGTTATGTGCTGAGTGTTCAAGCACTCAATCTGCACACACGAGCTTACAGTCTGTAAGAAAAGACAAAAATAGATAATTATTCCAATTATTAATTTGTTTATAACCGTAACTATAATTGATGTGGTAAAGAAACATAGGGTATTATAAAAACATAGGTACTTGGAAGGATTCGCAGTGAAAGAATCTCAGGTATTTTATAAGAAAATGAAAACCAGAGCTATTTGCATTTGGGAAAAATACATTAATAGGCGTGAATTAGGCCGGGTGCGGTGGCTCACACCTGTAATCCCAGCCCTTTGGGAGGCCAAGGCGGGTGGATCACCTGAGGTCAGAAGCTTGAGACCAGCCTGGCCAATGTGGTGAAACCCCGTCTCTACTGAAAGTACAAAAATTAGCCAGGCGTGGTGGTGCATACCTGTAATCCCAGCTACTGGAGAGGCTGAGACAGGAGAATCACTTGAACCTGGGAGGCGGAGGTTGCAGTGAGCCGAGATCGCACCATTGCACTCCAGCTGGGGAGACAAGAGTGAGACTCCATCTCAAAAAAGAAAAAAAAATAGGCGTAAATTTATTTAAGTAAAAAGTGAATAGTGGATATAAGCTGCTTCACAAACTTTTTGCGGACAATATATTCACTTAAAAAATTCCCAATTAATTACTTACACATCCCTGACTTTCAGTGACTCCCCATGGCCCTTAGCATCAACTCTAAACTCCAGGCTATGACTTGTGAGTTCTCCCTTTCTAGTTCTTGTCTCTCTTCAACCTCATCTCCTGTCACAGTCCTTCCACTCTGTCATAGCTTGCTATTCTCCAACTACCCCAGTCTTCTTGTGGTTCCTCAAATATGCCAAGCTCGTTCCAGCCTCAGGGCCTTGCACCCACTGTTTCCTTTATGTAGAAAGCTGTATGCTCAGATCTGGACAGGGCAACACCTCTGCTCATCATCTGAGAGGGCATCTGTGACAACTAAGACAGCCCTTCATGCCAAACCCGCTCTCTTTCTATTGTATTTTTTATTGGTTTTATAGCAGTTGCAGTGTCAGAACTGATCACATTTTAAAAATCTGGGTTTTTTTTGGTTTGTTTTTGTTTTTTAAATTCTCTGTCTTTCCCCATTTTAATGGTGGCATTGTGACAGCTAGTGCTGGGAATGTAATTAGATGGGGGAACACATTTTCCAAAAGGCTCACCTACTCTACAAATGCACGGTATTTTGCTGATGTGATGTTTGTTTTAAGACTTTTTTTTTTTTTTTTTTTGAGACGGAGTCTCACTCTGTCACCCAGGCTGGAGTGCAGTGGCGTGATCTTGGCTCACTGCAAGCTCCGCCTCCCGGGTTCAAGCGATTCTCCTGCCTCAGCCTCCCGAGTAGTTGTGACTACAGGCACGCGGCATGTTTTAAGACTTTGATGAAAGTGGGAGGATCTTGGCAGACGGGAGGCAGGACTAGATTGCAGCTTCCACTCAGACAGACAGAGCAGCATGTGGAGCCTTGCACTGTGAACACTTGCTCCAGAGCGACTGCAGGAACAAATCAGGAAAGCCGACAGAACCCATAGACCCTCTGAGGGAAGTGGATTGCTCCTGCAGGAGCCGGGAGATACCTCAAATACTGTGAGTGCCCAAACTGCGGAAGTGGGAAAGCAGGATTGTCTGCCCCCAAATACACACCTTCACTGGGAACCCTGAAGGTCTAGATCACGGAAGAAGATTCTGACCTTACCTGGAGCTGAGTCAATTTAGAGAGCCAAGTGAAATACAGGGGTAGAGGAAGCAGCAGGAAGAGCCC
Organism: Homo sapiens; assembly: GCF_000001405.40. Classification (NCBI taxonomy): domain Eukaryota; kingdom Metazoa; phylum Chordata; class Mammalia; order Primates; family Hominidae; genus Homo; species Homo sapiens. Next base: position 187,929,897 of record NC_000004.12, on the reverse strand, counting down.
TATGGGCTCGCTCGATGGGTCCCGTAGCAAGCCATTTCTGCCCTGCCTCACGGGGGCCTTGAGGAGGGCTGCCAGAGGCACTGGGAGAAGGCCACAGGGAGAAGGAAACCTCCAGCTGAACTTTGTAACAATTTGAGCTGATGGAGAAGTCTCCTGGCCAGAACCCGGGGGAGGGCGCGAGTCAGACTCCACAGTAGGGGAAGCATGAAAGCCCTACTTGCTTTCACAGCTGGGAGGTGGGGAGCCTGGGGCGAGTTCTCAGCCCTGTCACCCACTGCCTGGAAACAGATTTGGTGCTGTTGCGGGGGCATGGTGGGAGTGAGATTGGCCCTTTGGGTTGCATGGGAGCTGGATGAGGCCTGTGACTGTGGCTTTCCCCCACTTCTCTGATAAGCTGCATGACACAGCAGAGGCAGCCATAATCCTCCTAGTAACATCACTCCATTAACCTGGGAATCTCACCCCCATCCCCTACAGCAGCCACAGCAAGACGCACCCACAGAGAGTCTGAGCTCAGACATGCCTAGCCGTGTCCCCACCTAATGGCCCTCCCTACCCACCCGGGTAGCTGAAGACAAAGGGCATATCCTCTTGGGAGTTCCAGGGCCCTGACCACCACCTGTTCCTCCCTATACTTCCACAGCTGATGTGCTCTTGAAAACGCCACCTCCTGGCAGGAGCCCAAACAGCACAAAAATCGTGCATTAAACAACCAAAGATAAGGACCCTCACAGAGTCCATTTCACCCTCCTGCCACCTCCACCAGAGCAGATGCTGGTATGCACGGCTGGGAGACTTACAGATGGTTCACATCACAGGACTCTGCAGACAACCCAGAGCCGGGTAGACTTGCTGGGTGGCTAGACCCAGAAGGGAGATAACAATCACTACAGCTTGGCTCCCAGAAAGCCACATCCCTAGGAAAAGGGGGAGAGTACTACATCAAGGGAACACCCCGTGGGACAAAAGACTCTGAACAACAGCCTTCAGCTCTAGACCTTCCCTCTTGACAGAGCCTACCCAAATGAGAAGGAACCAGAAAACCAACCCTGGTAATATGACAAAACAAGGTTCTTTAACACCCCCCAAAATCACACTAGCTCACTTCGATTCAAACCAAGGAGAAATCCCTGATTTACCTGAAAAAGAATTCAGAAGATTAGTTATTAAGCTAATCAGGGAGGCACCAGAGAAAGGCAAGGCCCAATTTAAGGAAGTCAAAGAAATGACACAAGAAATGAGGGCAGAAATGTTCAAGGAAATAGATAGCATAAATAAAAAAGAATCGAAACTTCAGGAAACAATGGACACACTTATAGAAATGCAAAACGCTCTGGAAAATCTCAGCAATAGACTCGAACAAGCAGAAGAAAGAACTTCAGAGCTTGAAGACAAGGCTTTCAAATTAGCCCAATCCTGCAAAGGCAAAGAAAAAAGAAGAAAATATGAACAAAGCCTCCAAGAAGTCTAGGATTATGTTAAATGACCAAACCTAAGAATAATTGGCCTTCCTGAGGAAGAAGAGAAATCTAAAAGTTTGGAAAACATATTTGGGGGAATAATCAAGGAAAACTTCCTCATCCTTGCTAGACACCTAGACATCCAAACACAAGAAGCACAAAGAACACCTGGGAAATTAAACACAAAAAGATCATCACCTATGCACGTTGTCATCAGATTATCTAAATTAAGATGAAGGAAAGAATCTTAAGAGCTGTGAGACAGAAGCACCAGGTAACCTATAAAGGAAAACCTATTAGATTAACAGCAGATTTCTCAGCAGAAACCCTACAAGCTAGAAGGGATTGTGGCCCTATCTTCAGCCTCCTTAAGCAAAAACAATTATCAGCCAAGAATTTTGTATCCAGTGAAACTAAACTTCATAAATGAAGGAAAGATAAAATCTTTTTCAGACAAACAAATGCTGAGAGAATTCACCACTACCAAGCCAGCACTACGAGAACTGCTAAAAGGAACTCTAAATCTTGAAACAAATCCTGGAAACACATCAAAACAGAACCTCTTTAAAGCATAAATCTCACGGGACCTATCAAACAAAAATACAATTAAAAAAAAAACAACCAAGGTATACAGACAACAAATAGCACAATGAATGGAATGGTACCGCACATCTCACTACTAGCATTTAATGTAAATAGCGTAAATGCTCCACTTAAAAGAGGCAGAATTGCAGAATTGATAAGAATTCACCAACCAACTATCTGCTGCCTTTCAAGAGACTCACTTAACAGATAAAGACACATCAACTTAAGGTAAATGGGTGGAAAAAGATATTCCATGCAAATGGAAACCAAAAGTAAGCAGGAGTAGCTATTCTTATATCAGACAAAACAAACTTTAAAGCAACAGCAGTTAAAAAAGACAAAGAGGGACATTATATAATGCTAAAAGGCCTTGTCCAACAGGAAAATATCATAATCCTAAATATATATGCACCTAACACTGGTGCTCTTAAATTTATAAAACAATTACTAATAGACCTAAGGAATGATAAAGACAGCAACACAATAATAGTGGGGGACTTCAATACTCCACTGACAGCACTAGACAGGTCATCAAGATAGAAAGTCAGGTCAGGCACAGTGGCTCATGCCTGTAATCCCAGCATTTTGGGAGGCCAAGGTGGGAGGATCACCTGAGGCCAGGAGTTGAAGACCAGCCTGGCCAACATGGTTAAACCCTGTCTCTATTAAAAATGCAAAAATTAGCTTGGTGGTGCATTCCTGTGATCCCAGCTACTTGGGAGGCTGAGGCAGAAGAATCACTTGAATCTGGGAGGTGGAGGTTGCTGTGAGCCGAGATCACACCACTGCACTCCAGCCAGGGCGGCAGAGCAAGACTCCCTCTTAAAAAAAAAAAAAACAGAAAGTCAACACTGAAACAATGGTTTTAAACTATACCCTGGAAAAAATGGATATTGACAGATATTTACAGAACATTCTACTCAACAACCACAGAATATGCATTCTCTTCATCAGCACATAGAACTTTCTCCAAGGTAGACCATATGATAGGCCACAAAATGAGCCTCAATAAAATTAAGAAAATTGAAATTATATCAAGCACTCTCTCAGACTACAGTGGAATAAAACTGGAAATTAACTCCAAAAGGAACCTTCGAAACTATGCAAATACATGGAAATTAAATAACCTGCTTCTGAGTGAGCATTGGGTCAAAAATGAAATCGAGATGGAAATTAAAAAATTCTTCAAACTGAATGAATAACGACACAACCTACCCAAACCTCTGGGCTATAGCAAAGGCAATACTAAGAGGAAAGTTTATAGCCCTAAACACCTACATCAAAAAGTCTGAAAGAGCACAAACAGACATTCTAAGGTCACACCTCAAGCAGCTAGAGAAACAAGAACAAACCAAACTCAAACCCAGCAGAAGAAAGGAAATAACCAAGATCAGAGCAGAACTTAATGAAGTTGAAACAAATGAACAAACAAATGCAAAAGATCAATGAAACAAAAAGCTGTTTCTTTGAAAAGATAAATAAAATTGATAGACCATTAGCAAGATTAACCAAGAAAAGAAGAGAGAAAATCCAAATAAGCTCAATAAGAAATGAAACAGGAGAGATTACAACTGACACCACTGAAATACAAAAGATCATTCAAGGCTACTATAAGCACCTTTAGGCACATAAACCAGAAAACCTAGAGGAGACAGATAAATTCCTGAAAAGATACAATCTGCCTAGCTTAAATCAAGAAGAATTAGATACCTTGAACAGACCAATAAGCAGCAGCAAGATTGAAATGGCAATAAAAAAATTACCAAGCCGGGCATGGTGGCTCATGCCTATAATCTCAGCACTTTGGAAGGCCAAGTTGGGTGAATCATGAGGTCAGGATATCAAGACCATCCTGGCTAACACGGTGAAACCCTGTATCTACTAAAAATACAAAAAATTAGCTGGGTGTGGTGGCACATGCCTGTAGTCCCAGCTACTCGGGAGGCTGAGGCAGGAGAATCTCTTGAACCTGGGAGGTGGAGGTTGCAGTGAGCCAAGATCATGCCACTGTACAACAGCCTGCGCGACAGAGCGAGACTGTGTCTCAAAAAAAAAAAAAATTTACCAACAAAAAGAAGTCCAGGACAAGACAGATTCACAGCAGAATTCTACCAGACATTCAAAGAAGAATTGGTGCCAATCCTATTGACTCTATTCCACAAGATAGAGAAAGAGGGAGTCCTCCCTAAATCATTCTGTGAAGTCAGTATCACCCTAATACCAAAACCAGGAAAGGACATAACCAAAAAAAGAAAACTACCGACCAATATCCTTGAGGAACACATATGTAAAATTCCTTAACAAAAGACTAGCTAACCGAATCCAACAACATATCAAAAAGATAACCCACGATGATCAAGTGTGTTTCATACTAGGATGCAGGGGTGGTTTAACACATGCAAGTCAACAAATGTGATACACCACATAAACAGAATTAAAGACAAAAATCACATGATTATCTCCATAGATGCAGAAAAAGCATTTGACAAAACCCGGCATCCCTTTATGATTAAAACTGTCAGCAAAATTGGCATACAAGGGACATACCTCAATGTAAAGAAGCCATCTGTGACAAACCCACAGTCAGTAGAATACTGAATGGGGAAAAGTTGAAAGCATTCCCTCTGAGAACTGGAACAAGCAGGGATGCCCACCTCACCACTCCTCTTCAACACAGTACTAGAAGTCCTAGCCAGAACAATCAGATAAGAGAAAGAAATAAAGGGCATCCAAATTAGTAACGAGGAGGTCAAACTGTCGCTGTCTGCTGATGATATGATTGTTTACCTAGAAAACCCTAAAGACTTCTCCAGAAAGCTCCTAGAACTGATAAAATAATTTAGCGAAGTTTCTGGATACAAGGTTAATGTATGCAAATCAGTAGCTTTTCTATACACCAACAACGAACAAGCAGAGAATCAAATCAAGAACTCAACCCTTTTTACAATAGCTGCAAAAAACAATAAAATACTTAGGAATATACCTAACCAAGGAGGTGATGGACCTCTACAAGGAAAACTACAAAACACTGCTGAAAGAAATCATAGATGACACCAACAAATGGAAACACATCCCATGCTCATGGATGGGTAGAATCAATATTGTGAAAATAACCATACTGCTAAAAGCAATCTACAAATTCAACGCAATTCCCATCAAAATACCAACATCATTCTTCACAGAACTAGAAAAAAAAACCTAAAATTCATATGGAACCAAAAAAAGAGCCCACATAGTCAAAGCAAGACTAAGCAAAAAGAACAAACCTGGAGGCATCACACTACCTGATTTCAAACTATACTATAAGGCCATAGTCACTGAAACAGCATGGTACTGGTATAACAATAGGCACATAGACCAATGGAACAGAATAGAGAACCCAGAAATAAACCCAAATATTTACAGCCAACTGATCTTTGACAAAGCAAACAAAAACATAAAATGGGGAAAGGACACACTATTCAACAAAATGGTGCTGGGATAATTGGCTAGCCACAGGTAGGAGAATGAAACTGGATCCTCATCTCTCACCTTATACAAAAATCAACTGAACATGGATCAAGGACTTAAATCTATGCCCTGAAACTATAAAAATTCTAGAAGATAACATTGGAGAAACCTCTCTAGACACTGGCTTAGGCAAGGATTTCAAGACCAAGAACTTAAAAGCAAATGTAATAAAAACAATTATAATAATTATATAATTATAAATAGCTGGGACTTAATTGAACTAAAGAGCTTTTGCACAGCAAAAAGAACAGTCAGCAGAATAAACAGACAACCCAAAGAATGGGAGAAAATCTTCACAATCTATACATCTGACAAAGGACTAATATCCAGAATCTACAATGAACTCAAACAAATTAGCAAGAAAAAACAGTCCCATCAAAAAGTGGGCCAAGGACATGAACAGACAATTCTCAAAAGAAGATCTACAAATGGCCAACAAACACATGAAAAAATGTACTAATGATCAGGGCAATGCAAATCAAAACCACAATGTGATACCACCTTACTCCTGCAAGAATGGCCATAATCAAAAAATCAAAAAAATGACAGATGTTGGCATGGATGTGGTGAACAGGGAACACTTCTACACTGCTGGTGGGAATGTAAACTAGTACAACCACTATGAAAAACAATGTGTAGATTCCTTAAAGAACTAAAAGTAGAACTACCATTTGATCCAATAATTTCACTAGTTGCTGTCTACCCAGAGGAAACGAAGTCATTATATGAAAAAGATACTTGGACATGCACATTTATAGCAGCACAATTTGCAAGTGCAAAAACGTGGAACCAACCGAAATGCCCATCAATCAACGAGTGGAAAAGTAAACTGTAGTATATATATGCAATGGAATATTATTCAGCCATAAAAAGGAATGAATTAATGGCATTCACAGAGACCTGAATAAGATTAGAGACTACTATTCTAAGTAATAGTAATTCAGGAATGGAAAACCAAACATCATATATTCTCACTCATAAGTGGGAGCTAAACTATGAGGATGAAAAGGCATAAGAATGACACAATGGACTTTGGGGATTCAGAGGGAAAGTGTGGGAAGGGGATGGGGGATTAAAGACAACAAATTTTGTGCAGTGTATATACTGCTTGGGTGATGGGTGCACCAGAATCTCACAAATCACCACTAAAGAACTTACTCATGTAGCCAAGCACCACCTGTTTCCCAATAACCTATGGTAATAAAAAAATAATAAAAAAAAGATTTTGATGAAAGGTTGTAACAGGAAACAGTGTGGAAACAAGGCCAGGAACATGTCAAGAAGACAGAAGAGTGGTCTCTCACCAACAGTGACCCAGGCCCTGCCAGACTTCTGACTTTGAAGGTTCCAGCCTGGTTATGCCTCTACTGGGAATCTATACAATTTTTTGAATGAATGAGTAAAGGAAGGAAGGAATGAAAGGAAGGAAGGAATGAAAATGCTTATATTCTCTAGGGATAAGTTCAGTATTTTTTTCTTGAAATCACCCTGCCTCATTCCCATTCATTTTAGAACCCTTTATACTTCCTCTGTCTAAATAGTTCTACCTTCTGTCTAAAGTCCTGCTTCTAAACCCTGAGAATCTGACAGCATCCTTTTCTCTACTAAACAAGCTTCTGCTCTGCTGTAAGAAGTAATCCTAAAAATAATATTTCTGTTTAAGAGTTAAGATAACATTTATTTCAAGTCTTTGTTTTGGCCTAATTCAGAAACTCCTTGCTAGGAGACATTTTGCCAATCAAACAAAGACAAGGGAAGTATTGAAGGGCGTAGTAGAAGGGTTTGTGCTCATGCTGTGTTTATAGTTCGACAAAAGTTCCACGCACACGCAGGAGGAATGTTTGATTTCCTTCTCTTTTCCTTACTCACTGAAACATAAATATTTAATGCATGAGATTCTGTTCAGAAGAAAGTGGCTGGGTGCCCATTCTGGGTTAGTACCCTGCCTGAGGACACGAGCAAACTGCTACAAACGATGCCAGCTATGTATATACAATGTTGTCAGTACAAGCTGTAATAATCAATAGGCTTTTTGTTTTATTCTAGTACTTAAACCAGCATCTGCTATATCCTATAATAAAAATGAATGGTTTTTTTCAAACTGTATTTTATTATCTGCTCAGCTTTGTGTTTGAAGATCGATACTGTTGCTCACTTGATTGCATTTCATCATTACCAGTCAGTTTTCCCCGCAGGCTCTTTTTAATTTGCTGAAATTAGCTGCAATCAGAGCTTCTTATTCTTGTCTATAAAGCCCACATTTAAATTAAAAATGAGTTCTTCTCCAAAAACAGTTTGCTGCTCCTGGCTATGTTCTGCTCACTATCAACACACACATGTATACACACACAGAGAGAGGAAAAAAAGAAAACACCCAGGCAGATAAACACAGCATTAAATTGAGAAAAGTAGAACAGAGTATACTTTGTAAACAGTCATTTTACAAACTTATGGATATTGTCCATCAGAATGTGTGAAAGTTAAGTGGAGACTGACATGGCCTACTGTGATGACATTCTGATGGTGCTGCACGAGGAATCTCTGTTGTATTATATTTTCTCTTGGCATCCGTAAGCACATCTTACTTCTATTTAACTTTAATAAAAGATAAAAGGAAGAAATATTTAGTATTTAATACTCTTTTAATCTTGGTCCACATCTCACTTAGATAGATAAAATGACTTTCTGCATATTTAAGTTCAACAGTAGGAAGTTTGACTAAAAAACTCCAGAACGTTTTGATTTCTAAGTTTAAAATATTTCTTACATCTTTGTGGATAGACTCCTCCCTTTGCTGATAATTAGATTTTTCATTCTGCTCAGTGTCTAACCAATTATGTTCCAAGCATATTTAAAACTTCACATTAGAAATAGCTTTTTCAACATTTATCTGAAGGTATTTATTTGACAACATGTCTTGCCTGTAGCTACCTATAATTCATTTCCAAACATTTATATAAAACTTGAACTTTTTTAAAACTTTAATTCTAGGAGAAAATGTGAATGTTTTCTCTGCATTTTAATATACCTATTAACCTTTGTTATAGATAAGAGACAAGAAATGTCAGCTTCAAAGAATAATCTTTTACAAGGAACTGAAAACAGAGTTAGAAGAGAGAACCATGTGTAAGCTTAACCAGGGAATTTATTGTCATAAACAATATAATGAGAACAAGTTATATTTGCTACTATTTTGTGCCTTTTTAATTTTCAATCTTAATCACAAAAATAAATTTCAATTATGCCAGTTTTAATAATACTTTAACAAGTTTTTGTCAAAATGATGGCATCAATAATATTTTTTAGGAAAGATCCTTGAAAAAAGAAATTAGAATACCAATGGGACCGATAGTCATAGAATCAGGTGACATGCAACTTATCTAGAACTAATTTGAGAAACGCCTTTTGTTGTTGATATTTATTTAGCCAACATCATAGAGTGCCTTTTGGGGTGATTAAGCACTTTTTGGCTAGTCACAGATGCTTATCATCACCATGAGATGCTACCCCTAGTACAGTTGCCTTCGTATTAATGACTCTTATTTTCATACGTGTAGTTAACATAATTATACCAAATGTGAAGATCCCATAGCAGTTTTATAACAATATTTGTTGCTGACATTTATTAAGCAGTTATTATGAGATAGGTACTATATAATTTCATTTATTTATATTAACCTGCCTTATTTATCTATACAGACTCATTTATGCATTTAGTCATTTAGAATCTAGGCAGTGTCTGACACATGGCAGGCACTCTGTAAATACTAATGAAATTAAGGGTTTAATTAATTCTGTTTACCTAAATTCAACTATTTTAAATTTGCATCTGTCCTCTTATCTTAATGGTTGCTTTAAATGTGTTTTCTTTTCCCTGACCTATGAAGCAAAGTAATACAAGAAATTAGGTAAAATATTGTATTTGGCATACCTGATACAACATTATGCTATTACAATTCTTGTGTTTCTAGTCTGTAGATCAAAAGGGCATAGCCTATTACCCAAGATAAATTGTCTGTATAAAAGATGTGAAAAGATAACAAGAAATTTTATGAAAGCTTTGGGTAATCATCTTTTTTTTTCCACCTCACTCTTCATTCCATTATAACCAGTAAGTGTCCATTAAGTTTTGCCGCATCAGACATTTTCAGTGTTTAATGACTGTTATAAAAGAGGCAACAATACATCAGAGAACAAACATTGGAGAACTGGAATTCCATAAAAAGCTGAGTTGTTGCTAAGTAAAACACCCAGTAGGCAAATCATTCCTTCAACCGCAGTGCCAGACATTAGGTCCTACTTTATGTTGGAGCTTCGAGAAATCTTCCAGCCAGGGGCAGATACATCAATAAGCCTGAAGACATGTCTCTTTTTTTTTTTTTTTTGAGACGGAGTTTCGCTCTTGTTGCCCAGGCTCGAGTGCAGTGGCGCGATCTCGGCTCACCGCAACCTCCGCCTCCCGGGTTCAAGTGATTCGCCTGCCTCGGCCTCCCAAGTAGCTGGGATTACAGGCGCCCGCCACCACGCCCAGATAATTTTGTCTTTTTAGTAGAGATGGGGTTTCTCCATGTTGGTCAGGCTGGTCTCGAACTCCCGACCTCAGGTGATCCGCCCGCCTCGGCCTCCCAAACTGCTGGGATTACAGGCGTGAGCCACCGCACCCGGCCAACATGTCGCATTTAAAAAATCGCTGCCACTGTTGGTTGCCATTCTCTTTCACCTGGAAAATCTGAGTTTACCTAGAAGGACATCATCATTATAAATAATGCTGTTTGATGTGAATTCTCTGGGAAAAAAACAAAAAAGGGAGGAAAGAAAGTAAAGAAAAAAAGAGACAGAAAGAAATACACCTTTATCCAGTCTTACAATGCTTGAACTAAATAACTCTGAGGTGTGTCTGTGCGGTGGTGGTGGTGTGCGTGGTGTGCAGCTTGGGCACGGAAAGACACTTGACTGCCTCCCTGCCTCCTCCTCCTCTCCACCCCATTCCACATGCTAGTTCTGTCTCCGGTCTTCTCTGAGAGATTCAGACTTCTGGCTTGCATCCTTGCTCCAGGATTTCTTCCCTCTGTTTCACCTTCCTCATCGCCACCAGCTCTCCGTTTTAGAGCATCTCTCTCTGAGCCTCTCGGGCCATGGCTTGTTGCTGCCAGTGTCGCCATTTACTCATTTTTCTCTAGCCACAGAAGCTGTTCCTTGAACACACTCAGCAAGCTTCCACCGTATGGCCTTCCTACTTCCTCTCCCCTCCCCAGAGAAAACGCCTTCCCTGGATCAATACATTACTTGCTATCTCAATTTGCTTAGGACTGTGCAAAGTTACCTCCTTGGGCAGGCTTTCTCCCACTAGCCTCTACCTCAGAGGTTGCAGACTATGGCCCACAGGTCAAATTCACCCAATGCCTGTTTTTTTATGGCCTGTGAGCTAAGGATATTTTTTATAATTTCAAGTGACTGGGGAAAAAATCGAAAGCAAAAATAGTAGTTTGCAACACATGAAAATTAGGAAATTCAATTTTCAGTGTCCACAAATAAACTTTCACTGGAACATAGTCACATTCACTCATTTACTTATTGTCTATTTCTGCTTTTGCAGTACAACCGCAGAGTTGAATGATTGTGAAACAGATTGTAGGCTCATAAAGCCTAGAATATTTACTATCTGGCCCTTTACAGAAAAAGCTTGTGGATCTCTGCTATAAATAATATCTATGACACTGACCTGCCACTCTCTAAGTCCCTTACCCAGCTTTACTTTTCTTCATAGCACTTGTCATTGCTCTATTAAGTAAATATTTTTATCAAAATGTGGTATTCAGAAAAAAGCAAAGACAATATGGATTACCAGATCTGCTACTCAGATCAAGAAATTGAATATTACAGCACCCAGATGACTTCCAGAAAGACCCCACTCATAATCTTCCTCCGATACAACAACTGTTTTGATTCATAATACATTAATTTTATCTCTATATAATTTTTATATAATGGGATCATACCATATATAATTTTCATATCTGACATCTTTCACTCAATGTTACATTTGTGAGATAAATCTACATATTTTTGTGTAGCAGTACTACATTCAGCTGAATTGCATATAGTATTCCATTGTATACACAAAAATACACCTTGGTTTTAAAAATTCATTTTATTAATAGAGTTTTTTTTTTTTTTTTTTTTGAGACAGAGTTTCACACTGCCACCCAGGCTGGAGTGCAACGGCATGATCTCGGCTCACTGCAACCTCTGCCTCCTGGGTTCACCCAATTCTCCTGCCTCAGCCTCCTGAGTGGCTGGGATTACAGGCACCCACCACCACACTCAGCTAATTTTTTTGTATTTTTAGTAGAGATGGTGTTTCACTATGTTGACCCGACTGGTCTCGATCTCCTGACCTCATGATCCAGCCGGCTTGGCCTCCCAAAGTGTTGGGATTACAGGCGTGAGCCACCACGCCCGGCCTAATGGACATTTTAATTGTACCTAGTTTTGGACTGTTACACATGCTACTACTATGAGCATTCTTGTACATGTCTTTTGGCACAGATACACATGCACTGCTGTTAAACAAACACCTAGGGGTAGAAGTGTTGAATCACAGGGCATGTAGATCAGCTTTGGTAGATACTGCTAGCCAGTTTCCTAAAGTGGTTGAACCAATGTCACTCTCACTAGAAATGGGTGTTCCATTTACTTCCTCCACATGCTTGCCAACACTTGTTTTTTCCATTTTTTAAACTTTGGATGTTCTGCCTGATTCTTCCAACTAGAATGTGACCTTCAAGGAGAACAGGAACTTTATTTAGCTTAATTACCATATGCACAAATGCTCGAAACTGCAAGTGTTCCGCTAGTGTTGAACACTTAAGTAGTAAGGCTGTAGGAAGAGGCATAGACTTCATTCCAGAGCCTAAGATCCTTTCTCTGCTGGCCCTAACTCACCCTGCTCCGAATTGTGATAGCATCTATCTATATCTTTGCAATAACTTTTAAATCTCTACACCATTCATTATATAGTTTAATGTATTTTCTTATTCCCCCTATTGGGATCAGGGTTTCTCTTGCCGGTATTGACCTTTTGAGCCAGGTAATTCTTGGTGGTGGAGGACGGCCCTGTGCACTGTGGGATGTTCAGCAGCATCCCTGGTCTCTACCATTAGATGCCAGTAGGACCGCCTCCCCACCCCCACCCTCCACCCCACAATAGTGACAACCTAAAATGTCTCCAGACGGCCGGGCTCGGTGGCTCACGCCTGTAATCCCAGCACTTTGGGAGGCCGAGGCGGGCGGATCACGAGGTCAGGAGATCGAGACCATCCTGGCTAACACGGTGAAACCCCGTCTCTACTAAAAATACAAAAAATTAGCCGGGCGTGGTGGCGGGCGCCTGTAGTCCCAGCTACTCGGGAGGCTGAGGCAGGAGAATGGCGTGAACCCGGGAGGTGGAGCTTGCAGGGAGCCGAGATCGCGCCACCGCACTCCAGCCTGGGCGACAGAGCCAGACTCCAGCTCAAAAAAAAAAAAAGTCTCCAGACATTGCCAAATGCCCCCCAGGAGGCAAATTTATTCTCAGCTGAGAATCACTGTGCTAGATAATAAGCTACGTAAGGATAAACTCCTTTCCCCCAAGTTTAAACACGGAGTTTTACTTGTAGTAAATGCTTCCGCTATTACAGATTTTTGTCAATCTTCTCCTTGGTGTTAATCAGTCATCAAGAGGGCTTTAAAGAACTACAGGTCCCAGAGCAACCCAAACCCTATTGAATCCAAACCCTTGGGAGTGGGTCAAGGAATCTGTAAAGGGAAATGTCGTCCAGGTCATGCCAGTGAGCAGCCGAGTCTGTGAATGGCTACTTCACATGCGTGCTATTGATTAACTGAGAATAATTCAGTCCCAATGTCAGACCATGCTGTGCATCTACATGTTGACACAAAATTTTTCTCTCTTAAGAAATGGAGATATGTGCTGCATTCTATCAATTTATTATCTGGAAAACCTATTCAATTCATGGATATTGTCTTGATCTAGGCAATCTGTAGTGCTTGCATTTAAGAGTTCTTATTTTTCATAAGCTCTTTACTTGGTTTTGAAACATATCTGCTGGTGCAATTATATTTTCTTGCTTCCAGTTTTCTGTGAGAAATGTCATGAGAGAAGAATTTTGTTAATTATACCACCTTTACACTGTCAGCATCACCTTTTGGGATAAAAATTGTAATAGCAGTCAGAGCAGATGGTAATGAAAAAGAAAGAGTGACTTCTTGAGAAATAAAAGAAGGAACCAATTTATATGTGCTTTGCTCTCCTGACTTTAAATTTTAAAATCAACAGTATAAAGCACAAAAGAGATTGCATTTTGCAACGACATTTTTTCAAGTGATACATACATTGGGCTGGTGAAATTACATTTTTATGCAATGGAAAGGCATTTTTTATATTTAACTTTTAGTTTTTATTGATTCTTGGGTAGTTTATTGTTAAGCTTTTGTATATTTCCTAGATACACCAAGTAAAAAGTGTGTGTGTGTGTGTATACATATATATATATATATATATACCTAAATTTTTATTTTATTTTATTTTAAATTCCGGGATATATGTGCAGGATGTGCAGGTTTGTTACACAGGTAAACGTGTGCCATGGTGGTTTGCTGCACCTATCAACTCAACACCTATGTATTAAGCCCCGGATTCATTCGCTATTTATCCTAATGCTCTCCCTCCCCTTGTGCCCCCAACAGGCCCCAGTGTGTGTTGCTCCACTCCCTGTGTCCATATGTTCTCATTGTTCAGCTCCCACTTATAAGTGTGAAAATGCAGTCTTTGGTTTTCTGTTCCTGTGTTAGTTTGCTGAGGATAATGGCTTCCAGTTTCACCCATGTTCTTCCTGCAAAGTACATAATCTCGTTCCTTTTTATGCCTGCATAGAATTCCATGGTGTATATGTACCACATTTTCTTTATCCAGTCTATCACTGATGGGCACTTGGGTTGATTCCATATATATGCTATTGTGAATAGTGCTGCAATGAACATAAGCATGCGTGTATCTTTATAATAGAATGATTTATATTACTTTGGGTATACAGCCCGTAATGGAATTGCTGGGTCAAATGGTATTTCTGGTTCCAGGTCTTTGAGGAATCACCACACTGTCTTCCACAATGGTTGAACAAATTTACACTCACTCCCACCAACAGTGTAAAAGTGTTCCTATTTCTCCACAGCCTTGCCAGCATCTGTTACTTCGTGACTTTTTAATAATCATCACTTTGACTCGCATGAGATGGTATCTCATTGTAGTTTTGATTTGCATTTCTCTAATGACCAGTGAGGTTGAGCTTTTTTTCACGTTTGTTGGACACATAAATGTCTTCTTTTGAAAAGTGTCTGTTCATGTCCTTTGCCCAGTGAAAAGTATATTTTGACTTACTGTCACAAACTACAATATTGATAGGATAATGCAAATGTTGTTTTATATTAATAAAAATTCTGGAGGACCTGAAAGCAGTTACCTGAAAGAAGGGAGACAGCTACTCATTTTCCATTTTTCTCTCTCCCAGAAATTTCCTTTGTTTGTTCCCTTCTTTTTTAAAAAAAAAAATTTGAGATGGAGTCTCACTCACTCTGTTGCCCAGCCTGGAGCACAGTGATGCAATTGCAGCTCACGGCAACCTCCACCTCCTGGGTTCAAGCAATTATCCTGCCTCAGCAGGATTAGCTGGAACTACAGTCGTGCACTACCATGCCCGGCTAATTTTTTGTATTTTTAGTAGACATGGAGTTTCACCATGTTAGCCAAGCTGGTATTGAACTCCTGATCTCAAATGGTCTGCCTGCCTTGGCCTCCGAAAGTTCTGGGATTACAGGCATGAGCCACCGTGCCCGGCCTGTTCCCCTCTTCAAAGGTCATTATTGCACACCCACTAAGCAACCCAGAATGATTGTTAAATTACAAGTCTTCTTCATTGTATACATTTAATTTATTGATGACTGGAATTGAATTTCAAGCCCATTACTAAAACATTTTAATTTTCAAAAATAATCAGCGATGTATGCTGCTGGTTCTCTATGTAATATACATTTGCTCTTTCTTTCTTAAATATACAATGTGATTTTTTTTCACAGTGGTAATGAGTCCAGCTTAAAACAACCACCAAATCCCACATACTCCTTGAAGCTATTATATAATCAGAAGTCACTAGGTAGGGCTTCTAGGAGAGCTCTTAAAAGAGATATGGACACTGGCAACTACTTCTTGCCTTTTTCTCTTTGCTCTTCTTCCTACCCAGAACTTGAAGGTAAAGCAGACACTGTTCAACAATGAGGTGAAAAGTCATGAGACGAAAAGGCGCAGGAGAAGCCTGATGCAATAGAGAGAGAAGAGTGTGGGTTCAATAGAGAGAGAAAAGTGTGGGTTCAGGAGAGAGAGAAGAGCATGGATTCAATAGAGAGAGAAGTGTGGGTTCCATAGAGAGAGGAGAGTGTGGGTTCAATAGAGACAGAAGAGCGTAGGTTCAATAGAGAGAGAAGAGTGTGAGTCAGTTGAGAGAGAAGAATGTGGGTTTAATAGAGTCAGAAGAGTGTGGGTTCAACAGAGAGAGAAGATTGTGGGTTTAATAGAGAGAAAAGAGGCTGGTCACAGTGGCTCATGCCTGTAATCTCAGCATTTTGGGAGGCCAAGGCAGGCGGATCACCTGAGGTCAGGAGTTCAAGACCAGCCTGGTCAACATGGTGAAATTAAACACGGTATCTATTAAAAATACAAAACTTAGCCGGGTGTGGTGGCGGGCGGCTGTAATCCCAGCTACTGAAGAGGCTGAGGCAGGAGAATCACTTGAACCTGGGAGACAGAGGTTGCAGTGAGCCAAGATTGCACCACTACACTCCAGCCTGGATGACAGAGCAAGACTCTGTCTCAAAAAACAAAAACAAAACAAAAGAGAGACAGAGAGAAGAGTGTGGGTTCAATAGAGAGAGGAGTGTGGGATCAATAGAAAGAGAAGAGTGTGGGTTCAATAAAGAGAGACAAGTGTGGGTTCCTGAAGACGTCATGATGCATTTGAACTAACCTGCCTTGTTATAGAGAAAATACAAATATTATTCATGCTCCTTTAAAATGTATTTTCAATTATGTTCTGCTGAATTAATTCTTAACCGATAGGCCATTCATGCACTATAACCTTATGACAGGCCTTGTTCTTGCCTCTCCTGGTCTTTTTGGCAACCTCCTTTCTCCTTATTGTTGAACTTCAAGCAATTTTCATATTCATCCTGTCCTTAGCAGCGTTGCTGCCAGAGTTGTCAATTCCACTATCTTCCCTGTGTAATCTCTACACATATCCATTTTGGTCTTTCATTATATTCTATATCTTCTGTTTTAGACAGCCGGCTGTATTTCAGTATGTTTCCAGTGTTTGCTCATTCTTAATCCTATCAAAGGATGGTGATCCTTAGCTGTCTGCTTATATTTAAGAGTGAGGCCCTAGAAGATTGATTGGAAATTCTAGGTGCAAGCTTCACATCAGCTTGGGCTTCACTCTCATTTAAATAGGCCCAGCTATCTGGAGATCCTCTCAATTCCCTAGAAAAACCCTCTTATTTCCTGCATGGAAGGTACAACTCTGCCACCTGCATTTTAGGAGCCACAGAAGGAAAGATCCAGTTGTAGTCTCAATATTCCTTACATCAACTTTGCTTCTCTTGTTTCCAGTATATGACCCGCCTCTCCTTCTTGGTATCTCCATTACAGGGACTCTCCGTTTCTCCCATTCCACAGAATAAGCTCTAAGCTTCTCCAGGGTGGAGGACGGATCGTTCCATGGCATGCAGGATGGTGTGGAAATGAGGACCACGGTAGGGGAGCTGTTGACCTGCTTCCTTAACAGCCTGTTTTTCTGTTGCTGCTCGTTTCTGAGGCTCTGTGGGTTTTCTGCTGTAAACCATGTTGCTTCTCTGCTTTCCCATCGCCAGCCTTGATTTATGCTTGAACTGGTCTCTTAGTCCATGATTGCTCATTTGTTTGCTTTCCACCCCCATTATTTTGTTGTTATTGTTTCCTCTGTTGATATTTCTGCTCTTATGGGTTTACAACTTAAAATAAAACAAAACAGAACACTTTTTGTTATTTTTATTGTTATTTTTATTGAGACTTGAGAGGAAGGTTAATACCTATTTCCAATTTTTTATCTTTAATAGGGAAATTATTTTTTATTTTACATTTTTTATTATTAATATGGAAGAAATATTCATTGTGGTTAATACTGGACCATGCTTAAAACTGATTGCTTGCAGTCATTAAAAAGAATGAGATCATGTCCATTTTTGCAGGAACATGGATGGAGCTGGAAGCCATTACTTAGCAAACTAATGCAGGAACAGAAAACCAAATGCTGCGTGTTTTCACTTATAAGTGGGAACTAAATGATGAGAACTCATGGACACAAAGAAGGGAACAACACACACACTGGGGCCTCCTTGAGGGTGGAGGTTGGGAGGAGGGAGAGGAGCAGAAAAAATAACTATTTGGGTATCAGGCTTAGTACCTGGATGACTAAATAATGTGTACAACAAACCCCCGTGATACCAGTTTACCTTTATCACGAAACTGCACACGCACCCCCAAACCCACAATAAAAGTTAAAAAAAAGTATGAGAAAAAAAACTGATTGCTAACGTTGCTGTATTTCTTTGTCATTGTTTTCCTGACATATATAATAAATTCAATGCCAATTTTAATATATTTAATATGTAAATATATAACATGAATTTTCAAATTATAAAAATATAAAATTTATAAAAAATAAAAAATATATTTTTATAAATATATAATATATAATATATAATTTTAAATATATAATATACATGACATATATAAGAAATTCAATGCCAATTTTAATAGGTTTAATATTTAAATGTAAATATATAATTTAATTTTTAATATTTAATTTTAAAATATATATGAATTTTAAATATATGACAATATTTAAATATATAATATGAATTTTCATATTATATAAATATAAAATTTATAAAAATATATAAAACAACAATTTTCCATAAATGCTTATTTAAGTAATTATCACCAATCTTGTAGTCTACTTTAAACAGTTTTCCAGTCTTGTAAATGAACACAAATTTATTGAAAACATTTCTTTCTTGTTGAACACTAAGATTATTTTCTGGAATTTAGTTTGTTTTCGACAGGCATCCAGCTCCTACCTCCGTTCCTGTCCACAAGTGGGACACTTAACTTTGACCAGACTCCATGGCAAAGAGGCATTCCTTGACCTCTGTTTATTGACGAAGAAAACCTTCTCAATCAGCTCTGGAAGAGCCTTTGAAAAGGCTCCAGAATATCCTCCCTGAGGAGCAGAGAAAGGGTTGCTGGAACCTTTCCCTGCACCTGTTGTTGCTGCTGCATTGTGTGTGTGTGTGTGTGTGTGTGTGTGTCTGTGTGTGTGTGCACGCACAGTATTGTTGGGGAGAGGGCAATAAAAATTCCTTCTTTTTTAAACCCATATTGGCCACCCAGTATGCAGGATCTTTGCACTCTCTGTGGAGCACTGTGGCCATGCTAACTGTTACAGAAATATCAGTTTGACATTCTCACGGCAAACAAATTGAGATTTTTTCCTCCCGGAACAGCTATTGGATTTGAGACTAGATAGTCTATTCATGTAAAGCATTTGCATACACATTGGCTGTTTACTTTGTTTTACTGATTTTGACAGAATTTTAAATGTATAGTCATGACACCCGATTTTCTAAGAATCATGATTTCTTCTTTTAAAATACGTGTCTGGTATGGAGTAGCTTATTTCCAATAAGACCCCACATTCCATTTCCATGACTGCAAACACCAAATGCACTCTATTGTATAATACTGAACATTTCTTGAGTCTGAAGACCAGTTTTGCCACTTAGCCATTTTCTAGACTGTGAGCTGAACGTCAAGTCATTGAATCACAATGAGGTTGTTTATCTTTTCGAAGCCTCACTTTTCTCAGAAATAACATATATCTCTCTTGGTTCCTATCAGAGGATTGATAACAGGTGCAATGAGATAATTTCAAATATTCATTAAAGATTTTAAGAAGGTTGCAGAAATCCAGAGTCCTGAGAACAGGAGCGATGCACTCATTTCTCTAATTTGGACGCCAACTTCTTTGTAGCAACATCCTATGTTTTCACAGCATTTTCCACAGGTATAGACAGGATTACCTGATTCCTCTAGAGTCCAGAACATGAGCTTCATGCAGGCGGGGATTTTGTGTCTGAATCTTCAGCCTTAGCTGGTGATTGTGAATTGAATTTTAAGTGGAGAGTGCTTTGAAAAGCACTTTATAAATGTAAAATACTTGGTAATAATGCGTTCTGTGTAGGGCTATGTAGTGTGCAAAGTTCTCTTACATATATTATTCATTTTCTCTTCCTTGATCTTCCCAGCAATCCTGTTGAAACAGATATTAATTTTTTCATTTTATAGAGAGGGCTTAGTGGGAGATAGGTTTTGGGGTAAGAAATGAAAACAAAACTATTAAGTACCCCTTGCAGTTTACATGAACTTATGAAAAGGAGTCCCCTGGTTACTGAGTGTAGAATAGGGCCTCCCTCTGACTAGGGCCTCCCTCTGACTGTCAGTTTGACAGACTGAGGCACATTCAGGGTTCGCTTCTTCAGCAACATGAAAAGTATAATCATCAATTGATATCTATTTATCAGCAACATGGAAAGTATCATCATCAATTGATATCTATTTATCAGCAACATGGAAAGTATCATCATCAATTGATATCTATTTATCAGCAACATGGAAAGTATCATCATCAATTGATATCTATTTATCAGCAACATGGAAAGTATCATCAATTGATATCTATTTATCAGCAACATGGAAAGTATCATCATCAATTGATATCTATTTATCAGCAACATGGAAAGTATCATCATCAATTGATATCTATTTATCAGCAACATGGAAAGTATCATCAACTGATATCTATTTATCAGCAACATGAAAAGTATCATCATCAATTGATATCTATTTATCAGCAACATGGAAAGTATAATCATCAATTGATATCTATTTATCAGCAACATGGAAAGTATAATCATCAATTGATATCTATTTATCAGCAACATGGAAAGTATAATCATCAATTGATATCTATTTATCTTTAAACATCTGGATGAACTAATCAGACATGAATTTAAAAACTTATTGTCCTTTTAGAAAAACGAAAGCCATATTTTCTTGTTATAATAAAATGTTTTAATGTTTGGTTCTTGTTTAGAACTTGTTCTCTCTACCCTGGTGGTTTCAACTTAATTTTGTATTCCTTTTATCTGTAATCTCTTTACCTTTAAATGATCTTTTATCTTTCTTGGAAATAGCTGACAATACTGTTTTTCAGTTCAGGACTTTTTCATAATTACATTTTTATCCTTGAGGGAAAATTGTACACCTCATCAAATCCTCTGGCTCTGTGACTGAGTAAAGTCAGCTTGCTGCTATTATAACTTAATTGTGAATTAGGAAAAACAAAACTGCCTTATGACTTCTGACAGTGTTAAATTCTGTTACAAATCGAAGCATTTTATACAGTGTTTTGATATTACAGCCAGTCAGTAGTCTGGACTCTGAAATGTTCAAATCCAGGGAGAGGCCTTGACCCACCGAACCCAAATCAATCAACGCCTGTTTAATCACATTTTATATCTTCTGGTGCAAAAGTATTCCTCACAGTCACAACACAGTGCTGTGTTTTGTTTTCTATTTTCTTTATTTAATAGCAATCTTTTGTTTGTAAATTCAAGACTTTTCAGTACTGTGTTTTAGCTGGGCTGTTTTCTCACACTTTGCATGCCAGCTGGAGTTTGTGAAGAAGTGTGACTGGGGCTAGCTTAGGTAGACCTGCCAAGTAGCTGTGTTGATTCTTCCTTCTGGGAAGCTACCCAAAGGATACATATGGAAAAGCCTCTGTTAATTTTGGTATTCATCAAACTTCTTTCTCTTTTTCAATAGTTATGATTCATATTGAGCTGACTGTTGCATTAGTCAGTTATTTTTCCTTTAGAGAAGCAAAAAGAGAATATTGTTGAGTATGTCCACAGAAGGAATTCTGACTCACACATTTACTTCTATGTACATGTAGAGCATACGAGGCCCTTCACAATCTGTTGCGCGCTCAGCTTGATGTTCTCGGCCCCGCTCACTTTCCTCCAGAAATCTTACCCTCCGGCCACACTGGAATGACACCTCTTCTATCCACAGCATCTCAGGGACAGCATGCCCTGCCTTTCCTCATGCTCCTGCCTCACAGAAATTCCTCATCTGGCTTCATTTTTCAATGTCCAGCCTAAATGTCGCCCCCGTCCCTAGGTTTTACTGTGTTGAGCCTCATACCTGTCCTTCATTCCCTGCCCCTTCCAAGTAGAGAAGGTTTAAATGGTCCCTCATTAACAAAAAATACTGTTTTAGGCTGGGTGCTGTGGTTCATGCCTGGAATCCCAGCACTTTGGAGGCCGAGGTGGGTGAATCATCTGAGGTCAGGAGTTTGAGACCAGACTGGCCAACATGGCAAAACCCCATCTCTACTAAAAATACAAAAATTAGCCAGGTATGGTGGTGGGTGCTTGTAATCCCAGCTACTCGGGAGGCTGAGGCAGGAGAATTGCTTGAACTTGGGAGGCGGAGGTTGCAGTGAGCCGAGATTGCTGCCATGTGCATTCCGGCCTGGGCGACAGAATGAGACTCTGTCGCCAAAAAAACAAACAAACAAACAAAAACAATAAATACTGTTTTAGTATATTATAGTTATTTGTTTTCACGGTGCTTAATATAACCATATGGAGATCAAGCTTCCCTCTCAGCATTGCATTGCTTAACTGACATCCATATATTTCAGTATGTTAAGTTTTCACTGCTACATTGGTTAAAGTATTTTCTGACTTCTCTGGTAATTTCTTCTTTGGTGCTTGGTTATTTGTAACCATATTGCTTAATTTCCAAATAGTTTGGGGCTTCCCAGATATTTTTTTCATTATTGATTTCTAGTTTAATTCATTTGTGGTGAGAGAACCTATTCTGAAGTGATTTCAATTCTTTTAAATTTCTCAAGACTTATTTCATGGATCAGCAAATGATCTGTCTTTGTGAATATTCCACAGCACATGTGAATAGTGTGCAGTATGCTGTTGTTAGGTGTTATTTTGTACAAATATCAGTCAAGATGTG
The DNA here is from genome assembly GCF_000001405.40 of Homo sapiens. Lineage (NCBI taxonomy): Eukaryota > Metazoa > Chordata > Mammalia > Primates > Hominidae > Homo > Homo sapiens. The sequence continues at coordinate 187,907,100 of NC_000004.12, read as the reverse complement.
TTGATTGATAATGTTCACATTTTCTATATTCTTAGTGAATATAGTTCACTAGTTCTACCAGTTGTGGAGAGAACAGTGTTAAACTATCCAATGTAAATATGGATTTTTGTCTATTTTTCCTTTCAATTGTTTTTGTTTTATGATTTTGAAGTTTTGTTATTAGATGCATGCACATTTAGGATTGTTATAGTTTCTTGATGAATTGACTTCTTTATTATGGAATATTCCTCTTTACCTCTAGTAGTATTTCTTGTCTTTAAGTTTACTCTGATGCTACTATAGCCACTCCACCTTTTTTGATTAGTGTTTGCATGATATTTCTTTCTTTTTATTTTTAACCTATATGTATCATTCTATTTAAAATTAGTTTATTGCACACAGCATGGATTTAAGATTTGTTTTTTATCCAGTCTGACAATCTCTAACTTTCCAACATCCCTGCCATATCTGAGCCTTGTTCTGGTGCTTGTTTTGTCTCTTCAGATTGTGTTTTCTACTTTTTTTTTTTTTTTTTTTTTTTGAGATGGAGTCTCGCTATGTCCCCAGGCTGGAGTGCAGTGGCACAATCTTGGCTCACTGCAACTTCCGCCTCCCAGGTTCAAGCGATTCTCCTGCCTCAGCCTCCTGAGTAGCTGGGATTACAGGTGCACACCACCACACCTAGCTAATTTTTTTTTGTATTTTTAGTAGAGATGGGGTTTCACCGTGTTGGCCAGGCTGGTCTCGAACTCCTGACCTTGTGATACGCCCACCTCAGCCTCCCAAAGTGCTGGGATTACAGGCATGAGCCACCACGCCTGGCCTGTTTTCTACTTTTTAATGTGCATTGTAACTTTTGTTGAAAGCTGAACATGCAGGTAGAAGGAACTGTGGTAGATAGGTCATTAGTGATGTGGCGGGAAGGTGGAGTGGGAGGGAAAGTGTCCTGTAGTCCGATGATTAGGTTCCAGTCTTTTAATGAGCTTGTGTTCCTGTGCTGTGACCTTCGCAAATGCTTTGGAGTCTCTCTCTTCTTTCCACTTAGGTGGGACAGGATGGCCAGAGCAGTCTGAAGTTGTGTATTTTTTTTCACTCCATGTCAAAGGCCAGATGGGGCTAGCTGTGGTAAAATACGTCCTTTTGAGGGCACGCCTTGTTAAAAAGAGCAGAATGCTCCGGGCATATTTCAAAGTAGTTATTTTTCTACTCTCTCTGTCAAAAGCATGAGGAGTTTTGCTATTGTTGAATCTCTCTGAACCCCCAAAATTTGTGTGTTGAAATCTAATACTAATGGTACGGAGTTGGGGCCTCTAGGAGGTAATAAGGTCATGAGGGCTTGTCTTCATAAATAGGATTAATATCCTTATACAGCTTGAGGGAGTCCTTTTGCCCTTCCACCATGTGGAGATGGAGAAAGAAGGCTCCATTTTCAAAGCAGAGAGCAAGTCCTCATCAGACACTGGATCTGCCCACACTTCGTTCTTGCACTTCCCAGCCTCCGAGTGAACAATTTTTATTGTTTATAAATCACCCAGTTCAAAGTATTTTGTTATAGTAGTCCAGACAGACTAAGACAGACTTCTTCTCTAACCTTCACTATGAGACTCTGGTGGTGCTGCTAGAGGTAAAACTCAAAAGTGTGGAGGTCCCCCTAAAACTGCCCCACCCCGATTTTAACTCTCAGAATTGTCCAAATCAAGCCTGTAGCAATGTACAGATTACAGTTCAGGTTTTCCTAGCCTAGTATTCGCTCCCATGAGGTTTCGCGCAATGTATAGATTACAGTTCAGGTTTTTGTAGCCTAGTATTCGTTCCCATGAGGTTTCCCACAATGTATAGATTACAGTTCAGGTTTTCGTAGCCTAGTATTCATTCCCATGAGGTTTCACGCAATGTATAGATTACAGTTCAGGTTTTCCTAGCCTAGTATTCATTCCCATGAGGTTTCGTGCAATGTATAGATTACAGTTCAGGTTTTCCTAGCCTAGTATTCGTTCCCATGAGGTTTCGTGCAATGTATAGATTACAGTTCAGGTTTTCCTAGCCTAGTATTCGTTCCCATGAGGTTTCTGCTCTGGTGAGTGGGACCTGTCTGTATCCACTAGTGTCTCTTCAGTTTTGAGGGCTGCAGTTTGTCCTATGAGCTCACTTCTCTGATAGATGTAGAAGACTTGTTGATTATCAAGTTTTTCAGCTTTTTACTTATGGTTAGGAGACAGTGATGATTTTCAGGTTCCTTTTATGCCGGACTAGAAATTGGAAGTCAATTTCTGACTATTAATTGAAATATTAGATGATTTACATCTGCTGTGATTATTGGTATGGCTGCGTATAAATCTACTATCCTGCTATTTGTTTTCTGTGTGTGCCATCTTCTCTTCATTCAACCCTCTTTATTTTCTGCTTTAGTTTCAATTGGTTATCTTCTAGTGTTCTGTTTTATGTCTTCTTTTAGCTCATTAGCTATGCTGCTTTATATTTAAAGTGGTTACTCTAGGATTGATAATATATATATTTAAGTTAACACAGTCTACCTTCAAATAAAATTATATTGTTATGCCATTTTACATATAATATCAGAAACTTACAACAGCAGTTCTGTTTTTTTGTTGCAGATGTTGTCTCAGATTAAATTAAGTATTTAAACATTTTTAGTGGTAGGGAGTGAACCTGTCTATAAAAGGAAATAGAAACCAAAATATGGTAAAGTAGTATATCAAAATCTAGTACTTGAAATTAAATGAATATCATAAAGTTATATAACAGAATATAATACATTGATAATAAAATATATTAGAAATAGCAGAACCCATTTGTACACAATAAATTTTTAATTATATGATGAGTATTTTCTTGATATTTTTTCACTAAAATTTAATAGAATTTATACTTCAAGCACTTTTCAATTTTAGTTTCTATTTCACAGAAATAATATTTTATTACTTTAAAATAGTATTTGCAGTCCAAATATTTTTGAGGTCTCATACTTAATCTTAAAAAGAAATATATATATATATATTTAAGATATATATATCTCCTCACCATGTAGTGTCAGTGTAAAATTTCCTAAGTAATTTTACATTCCAAGTATATGGAGAAGGAAAGCCAATATCTTCTCTACACTTATATCTCAGTCTCAAGTAGCCTGATTAAATCTTACTGAATAAGAATGGCATTCATTACATAAACTAAAGAAGACATCTCCACGAATTCCAACCTGCAGTCTATTCTGTGGACATTCTTTATGGTATTAAATCAAAACATTGTAAATTGTATTCCCACTACCACTTCTCATGCTTAATATGGCCTTGTTTTTGATCTGCAATTTAGATTTTCTTTCTCCAAGTCTGTGACATTTTATCTAAATGTTTGCTGAGAAATGGTTTATTATGTTAGAAAAGGGTGAAATAAAGCTGTAGAAATGTAAAGAATCTGGAGAAAAAATAGAAGTACTTGTTAGTTCAGATTTCTGCCTAAAAAGAACCCAAACTACAAATGTGTGCTGCAAAATGTAAAGTAATGCTCCAAGGTGAGAGCATTTTAATTTTTTTTTCAAACGAGCTTAAAAATATGAATTAGGGGTTGTTGTATAACTTAAGCAGTACTGTCAAATGAGTTATATAATACGCCAAACAATAAAACAAATTTGTTCCTTGATTCTTACACTAAAGAAAGACAGTGAACTCACCAAATGTCACAGTGTAATCGAAGGCTACAGCTCAGTTTTCATTTCTTTATTATTACAAATTCTTCTGCCTTTCTCATTGCTCATAGATTAGACGAGCTTCACAGAGCAGTTTGGGTTAATCCCTATAATGCGAGACAGTGCTGTGGTTTTCAGAGAGGGCCAATTCTTCAGCTTTTAAGAGGGAGGGATTTATCAGTGTGTTTTGAAGAGTCTACTATTCAACAGATCCAGGACCACTATGTAGTGACTGATTTGTAAACTCCAACACTGGGTGGGCCCTGGGCCCTGTTCTATAATTCTTCCATGTCTTCGTCCATGAACCTTTGATGTGCCCTCAGTGGCTTGATCCAAAATCTCATGAATCCCCCTTGAGACCTCAGATGTTCTGTCCCCCGACTTTATTCACTTCCCCCTTTTATCCTCAGGTGACCCATTCCTACTTTCCAGAGAAAATTAAGCCTGTACAAACATACTTATAACTGCTTCCATCCTTATCTTTGAATTGGATGGTGACGCCATTGACTGAGGTGATCCCAGAGCCAACCTGCCCGCTGCTGGAGAGAAGAAGCTGCCTCTAAGCCACTTATGCTCCAGCTCCCACACCAGCTGCTATACAGTTCATCCCACAAAGAAGAGCCCATTTCTAGCCTCCTGCTTCACAATGGGCCACCCTTTTCATATGGGCCACACTACCTTCCCTTTAAGAAGAAGAAACACTCAAACCATTTGGTGCTTCAGCTTCCAGGAAGATTAATTGTTATGGAGACTCTCTTTCTCCCCTTGGTTGCCGTAATACTGGCTTCTGCAGGAAAGCATGGTCAGCCAGTGGACCCATAACATCTGTCTTGAACTGGTTGCCCACTTCTCTTCAGGAAATAATCAGCACTGAGCTCATTATGCTCACATCCTTCATTCCCTCATTCACCCAGAAACCAGGTCCCAGGTGTAAAAAGTAAAGTAGAGGTTCCTCTTCAAAGACTTTCCTCCCCATCTAATTAGGAATACATAGTAACTTCTCTTAGAAGCAAAATTTATTCATAGACCTGTGCTAACATTCTTAAATATCTGCTATCCATAATAAAGAAATCAATGTACTTTATGTTCTTAGCTCCCACAGTTTAGCCTAAATATTTGCCCTGGCATGCTTATACTGGTCCAAGCAAGCATTAGGCCATAGCCTGTTCCTCTTCCTTATTTGAAGGTGTTTTTACCTTTCTCAGCATGCCACAAGTTACTTCCTCCTTCCTTTGTTCTCCTCTGCCTTTGTCTTTTTAAAAATTTTCTAAGTTACTAGCCAATCAGGACAAATACAGAATGTGAGGCCCCATTCCAGCCAATGGAAACCGGACACAGCAGTAGGGTGGATGCATCAGGTTATAAATGACCCTGTCTCCGGTTTGTTCGGTGTGCCGTTGTGGCAAAACTGCTGCTGCTGTACCCTTTCTGCAGAAAGTATGAAATGGCCTTGCTGAGAAAATTAAATTTATGTTCAAGTGCTGTTTCTTTATGACACCAAGGAAAAAGCATTTCAAACACAGGCCATCCATCATGACGCAGGCCCTCAACCTTGTGCTATCTGTATATCCACTACCATGGCTGGATTTTCCATGTGTCTCCGTATATAGCTTCTTAAATGCAAGCTCTGCCATTTGTTAGGATATTCTCTGAACTTTCCTTTCACCTTATTGCTCAGACTGAAACCTGGTTGTCCCTTGGAAACACTACTTCCCACGAATCCATTCAAGGGAGGTGCTTTCCAGGTCCCCCAGGGCAAAAAGTGGGGTAGGCACTCTTTATCTCTTTTTTCTACCTTCCAGTAATTGCATTCTCATGCTTTGTTTTTCTGCTTATTACCAAAGATGAATGTTCCCTACTCCTAGGAGAGCCAGTTTCTCCATTTGTATGCAGACTCACCCTCTTCTCCTCATGAAAGGAAATCATGCCAGCAATTTCCCCTATTTCTCTGCTATTCAACCTTTTTTCTCTTTCCACTGGCATATTGACATCAGCTTGCCACTGTGCTGTAATTTTGGTCAGGTAAGGAGAAAAAAACCCTAATCTTGTTTTGATGTTACCTTCCCCACCATTTCCCACCCCATTTCCTTACTTTTCTCTAGAGCGCAGGTGTTTATTTTACGAGAGTTGGTAGACTTGCTTTTTCCAATTGCTCTCCCCCTTTTTCTCCCTCTCCTCATTTTCTTTCTGTAATTTCTAAAATCTACATTCCATTATACATAAAAGTTAAAATAATAGTACAAGAAACTATTCTATAGCTTATATTCAGACTCATCATTTGTTTATGTTTTGCTCTAGTTACTTTATTATTCTATTATCTATCCATACATGCACACACACACACACACACACACACACACACACTTCGTTCTTCCTGAGTAATTTGAGAGTGAGTTGGAGACGCCATGCCCCTTATTCTGAAGCACATTATTGTATATTTCCGAAGAAAAAGAGTATTCTCTCTCATAACTGCAGTAAAGTTATCAAAATCAGAAAACTAAACATTGATACCACATTACTATCCAATATGTAGTCTACATTCACATTTTGCCAGTGATCTCAATGCAGTCCAGGGTCATATGTCACATGTAATTATCATGTCCTGTTAGTAGCCTTTAATCTGGAACCATTCCTTAGGCTTTCTTTACCTTTGTTGACTTTGACATGTTTTTGAGTGGCTCCTGTTAGGCATTTCCCTAGCATGGCCAATAACCTCCGCAGTATGAATTCCAGTGGAACTGCCCATCTCATCTGGTGGCAGCACTTCACACAGCCGACCACCCGGTCCTCTTTGACTCAAGTTCATAAAGCCTATCAGGGCCCCACAAGCTGTTGGTGTCCCTCTCGTCTCCCTGGCCTCTCCTTCTCAGTTTGCTGGTTCCCCCTCTGTCTCTTTCTTAGTTCTAGGTTCTCTTCTCTTTACCCACACTCATCCCCAAGTCATCTCACACTGATTTAATGGCTCCAAATACTGTCTACATACTAATCAGTTCTAAGTGCACATTTTCAGCTTAGCAGCATTGGCCTCAAGCGTCTAACTGCTGGCTTAGCATCTCCCTTGCTGCTGAAACCTTTCTTCTAGTGATATCCAGATAGGCAATTCCAATATTCACCTCTCAGTCCTGCTTATATTGAATATTTCTGCTTCATTCATTTCTGTTAACCAGTGCTCTGTTTTAAAACTTGAGTTCTTTGGTTTTTGCCACATCAGTCTTTTGGGTTTTCTCCGATTTCCCTGTTTTGTTCAGAAACTTTCAGGTCTCCATTTGTCCTTCCCTTCCTTCCTTCTCTTTCTATCAGTTTTGTCCTTAACCACCTTCTATTTTCTTTAAACACTTTGGGTGATTTCAACCAGAATTTCTGCTATCCACAAGTTTTATACTGACCATTTCCAATATTTTTCTCTAGCTTCTATTACTCTGAACAATAAACTTGTATATCCAAATACCTGGTTGAGAGTTAAATAGCTACAGGGCAAAACGCTCCAAACTTAGGATCTTTTCAGTAAGAAAAGATCTTAATTCCTCCCCATCTTCTATGTTGATAAATTCTGTCTTCCACGGGCAGTCACTCAAGCAAGAAATTATGGCACCATCTTGAAGTTTTCCTCATCTCCTGTGTAAAATTTAACACGTTTGGTTGGCTCTATTTCATTACAATCTCCTATTTCCCTCTCTTTCTCTCTAGCCCATCTACCTTAAGCCAGGCTCCTACCATTGTACCAAGACTATGGGACAAGAGTCTGTTAATGTTCCTGTTTTGAAAACTCTACACATTGTCACTAGGATTAATCCAGTGATTGTTCAAAACATAGTTTTATTAACAAAGCTAGTCAGCAAAAACATTTTACTATTGAGAATGCTTTTATTTTAATACCGCATTATTATCTTATTACAAAGAGAGTGAATTTCTTTTAATTAAAATATAGATAGTTTAGAAAACTGAATTTCCATTCTTCATATTATTAAGGACAAATGTGCATTTGATTCTTTCACAAAATTGAGCAATTATGCTAAAATATCTAGTAATTGAATGTTTTCCAGAGAATTATTTCATTTAATTCTTAAGCAAAGAAATTTTTATATGTAAGCTATGTTTAGTGTTATTTATCTACAAAATATAATTAGTCTAATGCGCTTCCTATGAGAATATAATTTTTTCAAGAAGGTTTATTTGAGACCGGGCACAGTGGCTCATGCCTGTAATCCCAGCACTCTGGGAGGCCGAGGTGGGCAGATTCCCTGAGGTCAGGAGTTCAAGACCAGCCTGGCCAACATAGTGAAACCTCATTTCTATGAAAAATACAAAAATTAGCTGGGCATGGGGGCGTGCGCCTGTAATCTTAGCTACTCGGGAGGCTGAGGCAGGAGAATCACTTGAATCTGGGAGGCGGAGGTCGCAATAAGCCGATATTGTGTCACTGCACTCCAGCCTGGGTGACAGAGCGAGACTCTGTTTCAAAAAAAAAAAAAAAAAAAAAAGAAGGTTTCTTTGGTAGCATGAACAAAATAATTGAAATAATGAATTCCAAGAGACTAAGCCCAGGAATCTAAGTTTCATTTTTTATTTCCTTAAGAAAATAATCCTTCTACTGAATAGTATTTGACAAAAATCTGCAAAGTTTTATTTTCCTTATCCTCTAGATGTTTTTTTTTTTTAAGAAAGAAAATAGAGCAGCACAAAATATCCAAGTGAACTAATGAAAAAAATTCTCTTTCAAAACTGGTGTTGGTGTACAGAATAGGCAAATCCACAGAGCCACAAAGTTGATTAGCCATTGCCAGGGCTGGGGGAGAGGCAGTGCAGAGTGACTGCTAATGGGGATTATGTTTCTTTTTGCTTCCTTCCTTCCTGCTTTTCTTCCTTTCCTTTCCCTTTCTTTCCCTCCCTCCCTCCCTTCCTTCTTTTCTTCCTTTCCTTTCCCTTTCTTTCTCTCCCTTCCTTCCTTCTTTCCTTCCTTCCTTTTCTTTCTTTTTTGACAGGATCTTGCTCTGTCACCCAGGCTGGAGTGGTGCAATCTCGGTTCACTGCAACCTCTGCCTCCCAGGTTCAAGCGATTCTCCTGACTCAGCCTCCCAAGTAGCTGGGACTACAGGCACCTGCCACCACTCCCAGCTAATTTTTGTATTTCTAGTAGAGATGGGTTTTCATCATGTTGGCCAGGCTGGTCTCGCACTCCTGAGCTCAAGTGATACGCCTGCCTCGGCCTCCCAAAGTGTTGGGATTACAGGCGAGAGCCACCATGCCCGGCCTAGGGTGTTTCTTTCTGGGTTGATGGAACTGTGCTGGAACTCGATAGTGGTGATGTTTGTAATGCCTTATGGATATACTAAAAAGCACTATATTGTACACTTTCAATGGGTAAATTTTATGGTATGTAAATTATATTTCAATTTTAAATATTGGTTTTAGTATCGAAATATTGACTTCCAAAAGTATCTTGAGCTTTTGCCACATTGACGGTCCATTCAGTGATGATGATGAGTCCCTCCTAAGACCCACATGTAGAGTGCAGAGTCATTAAGTGGGTTCAAGAATCTTACAAGGGAGGAGGTGCACACCAGTATTTTTGACCTCAGGGCAGGGCAGATACATTCAATTTATTTATTTATCAAGTTGGGAGAGTCATAAGCACTGAAAGAATTATAATTATGAGTTGTTAATAAAAGCGTGAAAGATTGATTGAAAGTGTAAGATATTTATATCCTTGGTGAAGTGGGTAACATTTAATCATTTTTCAGGAAATCCTCTAATAGCTTAACTTCTGGGGATGTTATCAAATGGCATATCTGATCATTTTGAAAAAAATCACTAGAACAATTTTAATGATGTCTACTTACTTTTTTTCTAGAGATCTTGATTTCATAAAACATGTTTTTCTTTCAAGTGACATCCCATGAGATTTTGCTTTGTATAAAAATTTTAGCTTATAAAAGAACACATTAGGGGAGGTGAGTATTCATTTATATTATTCATATATATATATGTGTGTGTATATATGACAAAGTCGGCTTCCCCGGGACATGCTAGGTTGTATGTCCTGTCTCTCCTCACAAGCTTGATTCTTCGGAAACAAATACAGTGTGTGCCAGAAGTGGGGTAGCACTCAACACTGGGACTCCCATTCACATCAAGGACGTTTGCCCTGAAATGCTATGGCCATTTTACCACAGGAGGTAAATGTAAAAACACTTCAAATGAAATATGTGAAGCTTAATATCTTCCCTGCAATCTGAGCCTTTGTGTTTTACAAACTAAAGGATCTCACAGTATATTGCAACCTGTTTCCCAGCTCTCCTGCACTTCTGCACCTCTGACTTCCCATCAGAGAGCCTTCCAGAACACGATGTTGTCTTTCCAGACATGGGTAAAATCAAACACCATTCTTTTCTTTCTTTTTTTCCTGTGAACCTGTTGATTATACTGAACACTATTTCTTTCTAATTTATGTTTGATGCATGAAAATATTAGCTATACCTGAATATTTGCTACTAATACTTAGCGAGGCAAAAAAGAACATAACTTTTTTTATTCAAAGTTGAATTTTTTTTTTTTTTTTTTTTTTTTGAGACGGAGTCTCGCTCTGTCGCCCAGGTGGGACTGCGGACTGCAGTGGCGCAATCTCGGCTCACTGCAAGCTCCGCTTCCCGGGTTCACGCCATTCTCCTGCCTCAGCCTCCCGAGTAGCTGGGACTACAGGCGCCCGCCACCGCGCCCGGCTAATTTTTTTTGTATTTTTAGTAGAGACGGGGTTTCACCTTGTTAGCCAGGATGGTCTCGATCTCCTGACCTCATGATCCACCCGCCTCGGCCTCCCAAAGTGCTGGGATTACAGGCGTGAGCCACCGCGCCCGGCCATTCAAAGTTGAATTTGCTATACACATCTATAGTTCAAATAAAGACAAAGAAAGAGAATTTGATACTGGAACAAAACATCTTTGTCATCCCATGATATTTTTTTTCAATGAAAAGAAATTTACAAAGAAAATTTGTTTAATTTTAGTATGAAATATCAAAAATGCACATGATAGCTAGCACCTCAGTTACTTTGGCATTCAAACTTTTGGCAGTTTAACCTATTCCAAGCAGACATAGACTTAAAAATAAATGGAAGATTTGAAATAATATAGGAAAAAAGTCACAAATATATATGCTTTATTTATTTATCATTGTGTTATCAATTAAATTGGTTGCCAGTGATGTGGCAGGTATTGGACACATAGTAATGGACAGATAGAAACTATAGAGGACTCACAGAACCTCCCACAGGCTCTCAGAAAAGAGCCTATTGACTGTGAATTTTTCTTAAAAGTTGTCATGTAATTGATTTAACAACATGATTTTCCTTTGCACTATTTAGTTCTTAGTAGGCTACAGTGAATGGCAAATTAACCATTAAATACTATGAGTGGACAAAAATGCTGGAAATTGACATATAAAAGGCCCAGCAGTCTGAGCCCACTTAACTTATGACAATAAGTTATGACATAACTATGACAATATTCATACTTTTTGCCATTAATTTATTATAACTGTATATTTTAGAAAAACGTATTTGTCATGATGTTACTTAAGAACAAAGATCTAATATAAATAAGGCATTATAAAGTATTTTGAAAATGTTATCATTGAATAGTCCATTTTTATTACCCAAATTTCAAATTTGATGAAATTTATCATTTTAGATATAGAGAAAACATTTTCAGAGAATTTTCTGCTCTATGCTTTAAATGAACCTTTAGATTTTTCTTTTGACCTTTTTTCAGTACTGATTGCATTCCTGTTCTCATATTAAAGCCCATACGATGAAATTTTCATGATGTTCTAGTTTGCTTAATTTAAAATATATGTTGTTTTATAGATCATCATTTCTGTTTTTTTCTCTCTGCAATATGTTTGTTTTTCTAAAATGGATTTATAAACTACAATGTCAAGGTTGGTATATTTGTTGCTATTTCAGGATTTTAAGTTGACTTCTCTGTATACAATTTTTTTTACCTTCTCTTTTCCAAATCCCTTAATACTGTGCTCAGAACCCAAATGACTCTCAATACATGTTTGTTAACCAAGTACAAGTTAATCAAGACTAGACCTTTTGAAAATGGAATACATGTTCCACAGAAAGAAACCATCACATAAATGCTGAGTGCAGAAGAACCCTCTGAATTGTGAAAATGTGGCACAGCAGGTGAGTTTTACCTCTTGACCTTCAATGATTCCAGTCACTGGAATTTAACAGGTTGAGTTTTTGCTGAGCACAAAGCAATTTCTGTGGCAACATTTTACATAGGGCCAAAGAGCAAACTAAAAAGCAGAAAGTGACTTTGTGTGATTTTCTGAGAGGCACAAAGACATCACTGAATTATTTCCGCTTGCACGACATAGAAAATGGTTAGCTCCGTTGTGCCTCTTAGAATAGGCTTTTTAATTGTTCCTTTAGCAATGGAAGGTGTTTGCCACACTTTTCCAGGGCTTCTTGATTTATTTCCATAGATAATACTTGAATATCTAGAAAGACTTTCAGCTTCAAGTTTCAAAAGAGCTTATTTAAATTTTTGAATATTCAGTGCCAATAGGCTTCCCTGTATCCTTTGGGTATTAACATTTCTAGTGGTCTAGTAAAAGAGATGCATTTATTAAGATTTTTTACCTCTAGCTGTAAGTTTGTGTTTTATACCAGTTCATATTTAATTCAGTGCTAGCTTTTGTAAGATAGAATAAAAACTAGTGAGGGTGGAGGGATTGATAGGGAAAAGAATTACTGTAGCAAAAAGAGGATGCAATGACACACGTGATTATGTGGAAGAGAAGTGAATGTATCGGGAGCCCAAGGAGGATCTTGCACATAACAGGGAGTAGTCATGCAGTTTTTCAAGGAGTGGAGAGATTTGAAATAGATCTTAATACACAGCCATAACTGGACAGGCAAAGGGGAGAGAGAGGAACATAATTTGTGCAGACACAAGGAGTGGAACTTTGTTTGTTTGAGGCCTTAGTGGTCAGCTGGTCCAACTCTCTGAGTTGTACATGAATTGCCTTTATTTCTGGGCTCATTTTTGTAGTTGTTTTGGTTTAAATCACCTTTAGAACCTCTCTTCAAGTCCAATTGGTCAAAAAGTGCCACTGATTTTCTTTTCCTTTTTTTTTTTTTTTTTTTTTTTTGAGTGGCGTGATCTTGGCTCACTGCAACCTCCACATTCTGGGTTCAAGCGGTCCACCTGACTCAGCCTCCCAAAGTGTTGGGATTATAGGCATGAGCCACGGTGCATGGCCTGATCTCTCTTTTAAACTGTCACTCTTCCATCCTTTTTCTTTTTTTTCTTTTTTTAAACGGAGTCTTGCTCTGTCACCAGGCTGGAGTACACTGGTGCGATCTCAGCTCACTCTAACCTCCGCCTCCTGGGTTCAAGTGATTCCCCTGCGTCAGCCTCCCAAGTAGCTGGGATTACAGGCACATGCCACCACGTCAGGCTAATTTTTTGTATATTAATAGAGATGGGGTTTCACCATGTTGGCCAAGATGGTCTCGATCTCCTGACTTTGTGAACAGCTAGCCTTGGCCTCCCAAAGTGCTGGGATTACAGACATGAGCCACCACACACAGCCTGATCTCTCTTTTTGAACTGTCACTCTTCCATTCTTTCTTTTCCAGTCCTGTTGCTGTCACTGGAGCTGTGGCTGTTAGGGTCCTGTGCTTGGCTCTTAGCTTCTCAGCTGGTTTCCTGCCTCTAGTACATCCCACCTTAAACGTATCTTGCACACTAGTATACGCATTAGATAAATGGTCTTAAAATGACTCCTTTTATCATATCACCAATCACAGCTTACGGAATTGTCTTAAAAGCCTAGGCTGTCATTTAAGGCTCTCTACATGCTGAATGAAACTGTAATTTCCCTATCAACTTCCCCACTCCCATAAGAACAGCCGCCCTTATCAAAGGGAGTCTGCATTTTGCTCTAAACATGTCGTGGCTGTTGGTAATTCTCTTCATGCTATGAATGAATTCCTGAAACACACTCGAATTTCTTCTTCAACATTCTAAATCACACCCTTCTTCGAAGGCACAATTGTTTTTTCTCCATGAAGTCATCCAAGAATATTTCACTAGTAGTGATTCTTACTTTCCTTAAGTCCTACAATGCTATTTAATTGACTTATATGGTACTTACTATATGTGTGTTACACTGTCTAGTTAATTAACTCTTTAATATTTTCTTGTCCTGTCCTGTCTCTGAATTATCTCCCCCAAGATAAGTCCCAAAAATCAATAACATCTATTGGATTACTGAACAATAGCTAACTGAACTCCATACATATTAAGTGCTTAATGAAATACTGGGTTATTCAAGTGTAAAATGAGGTTAGCTCTTCTAAGGTGATACCAAATTTGGAAAACTTTGGAAAGTTCTTTTTGTTACCAATACATGAATAAGTAGAGGTCAGTGCTTCTAAATTTTGACATCAGAATTCACAGCCTAAAATTTAACCCACAATCATAAATACACACAACATGTCTAGTTATTCATCATCTAAAGGTGTACAATGCAAATGCAGTCAGCCTCAAATAGGAGAAAGGTCTTTGATCCTTAGCATTAAAGATGAAGAGAAATCCCTTGTTATTACTATCGTTCTCCCTTCTTCTCCCAACCTTCTCATATGACCTCCTATAATGAAGGAATATCTTAATAGAAGCAGTATTTATTTTCTTTCCACACAGTCATTTTGGGCAAAGAGCATGCAGTAGTTTGAATTTCCTTATTATCTGAAGCCATATCTACAATTCATTCATTTATGTATTCATTCAGCACTGAGGGAGTGCCTGGAATGGCACCTATTACAGGCCAGGGTCTGCGGAAGAGGAGAGAGGCGCAGGAGGTAATTACCCTTGTTAATGGCTCTTGCCCTTCTGAACCCGGTCAAATAGCCATGAGTGGTAAAATCAGCTAAGCAGCTGGTCATCATGACATCTAATTCATTATTTATATTTTAAAATATAAAATCCACTGCAGTTTTGTATTTGTGATGTTACCATACCTTACGTAGAATGGACAAAAGATCCTAATTACAACTTGGAAAACAGTTACTCCCAAAGAGCAACGTGTAGGTGTTGTTGTCAGCAGGAATCGATTTGCACTGTTTTTCTTTCCCTTTCTTTTTAAACTCCATCGGTGGGAAATACAATATATTGAAACACTTCAAAGAGTCTACTCGTTGAAAGACCAAACCATAGGAATACTGGTATCTACTCTTGGCAAAGCCTGGTCTTTAACCTGTTGAATCAATTTTAAATATTTAAGTATGTGTGTATTATAAATAGATTGTGCTTTCCTATATTACAAACCATGTTCTTTCATACCTTAGACTTGGTGCCAAGCCAGCTCCTCCTTCCTCTGTCTACTTATCCATCTTTCTTTTTGTTTTGTTTTGAGACGGAGTCTGGCTCTGTCGCCCAGGCTGGAGTGCAGTGGCGCGATCTCGGCTCACTGCAGGCTCCGCCTCCCGGGTTCCCGCCATTCTCCTGCCTCAGCCTCCCGAGTAGCTGGGACCACAGGCGCCCGCCACCACGCCCGGATAATTTTTTTTGTATTTTTAGTAGAGACGGGGTTTCACTGTGTTAGCCGGGATGGTCTCGATCTCCTGACCTCGTGATCCGCCCGCCGTGGCCTCCCAAAGTGCTGGGATTCCAGGCGTGAGGCACTGCGCCTGGCCTACTTATCCATCTTTTATGAAACTTCCTGACTCACCTCAAGTTCCAATCTTTCTGCGAAGCCTCTCTGATGCTTTCAGTAGAAATGACTCTGCACTAGAGCACACTTCTGTTCATTAATTCTTTCATGGCTATGGCTTTCTTACCCAACCTAATCACTGGACTCTTTGTGGGAAGAGATCATTTCCCCATTGGGTAAAAGAAAAACATTATTTACCTAACACAGTGCTATTCACATAATAAGCGGTCAGTACATATTTTTATTCACAACTAGTCCATAATTACATTAAGCCAGTTTGATATCATCAGCCATGTGATTCTGCTTCCTCAGGTATGGTGTATTCAAAGAAGAAAGAAGCAAACCAAACAAGCAAACAAGCAAAGATGGAGGTGAATTTATAATAATAATCATAGTAATATTCCCATAACAATATTAATCTTAATAGAAGACATTATTTTCTTCCCTGGTGCAGAGATAACCAAGGGTTTCAGTGAAAAGGGATAAAAATTTATTGCTTTGCTCTACTAAAGTGAAGTGATCAGCCAAAGGCAGAATTTCTATGAAACCAATTTGGTTTAGAAATTAAGAATTATTTTCTTGCCCTTCTATACAATCTCAAGTGGTATTTCTTTAATGATCTGGCTTTAATATGGGAAGATACTAGGCTTTTCCAGATCTTTGTTAGACAGTAGATTAATAGGAGCATGTACATGTGATGAAGGTGCCAAACAAGGCCAGCTGACGTTGAGACTGGACGGCACTGCCCCACCTCAGCTGCCAGGAACATACATTTTAAATAGTGCCTGCTGTGCCAGGCGTATAACAAATCTGAAATCAATTTGGCAAGCTTAATAGAAGCTTAAAGTAGAGCTGGTGAAAAAGGATCCCCAAACACCAACAACGTTGATAGGCCAGAGCTTAGAGTTTTTGTATAGCTTATCTGTGAATCTTGGGAGGCAGTTTAAAGATAGTTATTTCTCCTCTTCTCTTTATTTCTTTTCCATCATACTTTCCTGAACATGGCAGTAAATAAATAACTTCAGCATGAAAAAACATGTTTAAATATCTTATTGGGTTTTGGGAAGTATAAACCACCCATTCCCATCAAGATAACTAAAAGATATATATTATATATATCCTCGAATATAAAATATGTCATATTTTATGTATAAAATATGTGATCATAGCTCACTGAAGCATTGAACTTCTGGGCTCAAGTGATCCTCCTGCATCAGTTTCCTGAATAGCTGTGATTACAGGCACGTACCATCATGCCTGGATAATTTTCTTATTTTTTTTGTAGAGACGGGGTCTTGCTATGTTGCCTAGACTGCTCTCCAACTCCTGGCCTCAAGGGATCCTCCCACCTTGGCCTCTCACAGAGCTGGGATTACAGGCATGAGCCACCACGCTTGGCCACTTAAGAAGATATTTTTTAGCCACTTCAGGCACTAAAAAGATAGGATCTCTATTAGTTCTAAATCCATGATGAATATGCCAAATAGAATATACATTGTCCTAGGGCCCACATATGCCCTACCTGTAAACTATTCAGCAGTCTTTTGGTTTGCGATTATTTTACAGCATCCTAATTAGTATGGTTTGTTGGAAGACTCGTCTTGGCGAATATTTATACAAATGTCTATGCTTAGCCACTATCCAGTTGTGAACAAAAGTAAATCGACACTTTTTAAGACGTATGCAACACGGTCATTCATTCTGCATGCACCCAAACCATTCTGCAGCATCACTGCATGCATTATTTATAACTCTCGCCTATGTGTTGCTGATTTGAAATGAGCTCAGAGTCAACTGTTTACAGGCTAAGTCTCTTACTATAGGCTCTTGTGATAGAAAGGATGAATTAAGGCTGACAAAGTATTACTGGCAATAATCACAGATATGCTTCTGTGATGACTTGTTTAGAGACAGCTTTCCTTTAGTGCTGGGCCTCCATTCTTAATGTGGGCATCGATTATGTCATCAGTGTAGTTCTGAGGTTTGCTTCCAGGATGAACTTGCATTTGAAATTGGTGGATTGTGTTTCTTTGCGGACCAGTGGAAGCGCGTCTGTACCCACAAGGATGTTTCTGCTCAGCAGTCTACACCTGAGCCTCTGTCATAGCTGAACCACTTCAGTGACATTACCTGTAGCCACCAGCTGCTCTGGTCCTGGGTCTAGGATTTTTTTTTTTTTTTTTTTTGTCACTAGAGCTTAATCTTGGTTCCACATTTAATAGAGAATAATTGTAAAATATATGATACCTTTTTGGTTATTATTGCATTCTGATGCTCTGCTGAAATAAATCATGTCGTGTGTGTGTGTGTGTGTGTGTGTGTGTGTGTATGTCTATGTGCCCGTGTGCACATGGGTCCATTCGTTTTGAAATCTGAAACTGTTGGTGTTCACTTCAGTATGCAAAGCTTCGCATGTGTGTGTGTGTGTGTGTGTGTGTGTGTGTGACTTTTTTTTTTTTTTTAAAGAAATAATCTCCTCTGGATCAGGTGATTGCATCCCTTTGTCTTCCGGAGGTGTGGTGTTTTTCTCTCTCTCAGTGTACTCTTTCACCCCGTCACAGAAATTTGGGAAACTGGAGCTGAAGCAAAGGGGTAGAGAAGAAGAGGGCAAAATCAGCAGAGGCTATTAGCAATGAAGAGCTCAAGAACAGTTCTGTTAAGTATTTGCATTTAATTGTGACTTAAAGTAGAAATTTTAAAATCCAATAGAAAAATAGACTCTAACAGGAGGTAGCTTCTGATTGTGTGTGTGTGTGTGTGTGTGTGTGTGTCTGTGTGTGTTAACTTGTCCCCTAGGAGTCATTCATTGACACCTGAATTGGTATTTTACATTTTCCTTTAAAATCATTTCCAATTAATGGAAATTTGAATAGTCTTTTTTTTTCTCCTTTTATAGCTCCTGTATCTACTCTGAGTTTCATGGTGGCATTTGAATATAAACAACTATGTCAAAGATGTACCATCCTTACAAAGTATCTGAGATATCTCAATTCTTGTAATTATGTAATAATATACAAGTTCTGGAGGGAATAATATAATACTTACACTTAATTGCTATATGTATGGTAGGAACAAAAATAGACTATTGCATACATTATTTCCTTTCTGCCCCCAAGATAAGTTTTAAAATGACCTTTTAAAACACTCTTGAAATTATTTTACACTGTCTATCAACTTTTGAAAACCAGATCAGTGACTTACATCTGTACCCATTGTCTTTAGCACAAAGCACAGTGCCTTGCTCAAAAATTGTCAATGGTGGTAGTGTGAATGAATAAATGAGTGGATGGATGAATAAATCCATGTCTCTTGATCCAAAAAAAGGAGTGGCGAAAAGCCTATGAACAAATGAGATGGTAGTAGTTTTTCTAGGGTCAACTACTTCAATAAGCATGATATGAGCAGCTGGTCATTGATTTTTATCACTGCATGTCCTAGATTAATATTTCCTAATTACAGATCCGTGGTTTCCACTCAGTGAATTTCTGTTTTAACTTTCCTTGCCCTCATTGTGCAGGAAAAGTCTCCAATGACATCCAGCTGCTCTTTGCCTAGAATTTTAGTGCAGAAACAAATTAGATGCTTAAAATGGATTAGAATGTTTCACCATACATTGGCCTGGGATGAATATCCTGCTAGGAGCAGATGGCTCTAATTAGAACGTGCTCCTGTGGCAGGGAATTTGATTAGAGCTGAGAAAGTTATAAATTCTTCATGGGAAGAAACTGTCTCATAAAATTAAAGATTACCTGTATTTCATGGATATTTTCTCTGCCTCTTCTCCCACAGTGTTGCTAATGCTAAACACTATGATACAAAGGTGCATTAGTAAGCATGTAAAAATTAAGTTGGTTAACAGAAAATAAATTATAGCTATTGTAAAATCTTAAATTCAAAAATTAAGACAAAGGTTAAAGACAGTGCTGAAATGCAGCATTTGTATTTTGCAGTTGGTTTGCATATAATCCTTTTGTGACACACACATATATAAAAGCACCTCCTTTTTCTATTTATTCTTAAAAAATATGTGGATGGAAATGCAAATCAAAGCCACAAGACATCATCTCATATCTGTCAGGATGGCTATTCACAAAAAAACAAAAAACAACAAGTGTTGGTGGGGATACGGAGAAAGGGGCACTCTTGTACACTGGTGGAAATGTAAATTAGTACATTAACTATTGAAAACAATATGGAGGTTCCTAAAAAATTTAATATAGAACTACCATATGATCCAGCCATCCCACTTTTGAGTATAAACCTCCCAAAATTGAAATCAGGATCTTGAAGATATATCTGCACTCTCACGTTGATTGTAGCATTATTTACAGTAGCAAAGACATAGAAACAATCTAAATGTCCATGAAAAGATGAAATAAAGAAAATGTAGTATATATAAAAAACAGGAGTATTTGTATACACCAATAAGATTCAAGCTGAGAGTCAAATCAAGAATGCAGTCCCATTTACAATAGCTACAAAAAAAAACTTGGGAATACCTCTAACTAAGGAAGTGAAAGATTTCTACAAGGAGAACTACAAAACACTACTAAAGAAATCATAGATGACACAAACAAATGCAAAAACATTCCATGCTCATGGATTGGCAGAATTAATATCATTAAAATGGCCTACTGCCTAAAGCAGTCTACAGATTCAGCACTACTCCTATCAAACTACCAATGCCATCCTTCACAGAATTAGAAAAAAACTATTCTAAAACTCATATGGAACCAAAAAATAGCCAAAATAGCCAAAATAACCCTAAGCAAAAAGAGTAAAGCTGGAGGCATCACATTATCTGATTTCAAACTATACTATAAGGCTACAGTAATCAAAACAGGATAGTACTGATACAAAAAACAGATACATAGACCAATTGTAATAGTATAGAGGGCCCAGAAATAAAGCTGCACAACGACAACCATCTGACCATTGACAAAGTTGACTAAAATAAGCAATGGGGAAAGGACTTCCTATTCAGTAAATGGTGCTGGGATAACTGGCTAACCAAATGCAGAAGATTAAACCCGGACTCCTACTTTTCAGCGTATGCAAAAATTAACTCAAGATGGAGCAAGAATTTAAATGTAAGACCTCAAGCTTTTAAAAAATCTAGAAGAAAACCTAGGAAACACCATTTTGGACACCAGCCTTGGCAAGGAATTTATGGCTAAGATCCCAAAAACAACTACAACAAAAACAAAAATTGGTAAGTGGGACCTAACTAAAGAGCTTCTGCACAGCAAAAGAAATTATCAACAGAGCTAACATACACCCTACAAAATGGGGGAAAATATTCACAAACTGTATCCAATAAAGATCTAATATCCAGAATCCATAAGGAACTTAAACAAGTGAACAAGCAAAAAACAACCCCATTAAAAAGTGGGCAAAGAACATGAACAGACACTTCCCAAAAGAAGACATACAAATGGCCAACAAACATGAAAAACTGCTCAACATTACTTATCGTCAGAGAAATACAAACCAAAACCACAATGAGACACCATCTCACACCAGTCAGAATGGCTATTACTAAAAAGTCAAAAAATAGCAGATGCTGGTGAGGCTGTGGAGAAAAGGGAACATTTATATGCTCTTGGTGGGAATGTAAATTAGTTCAGCCACTGTGGAAAGCAGTTTGGATGTTTCTCAAATAACATAAAACATGGCTACCATTCAACCTAGCAATCCCATTACTGGGTGTACAGCGAAAGGAAAATACATCATTCTACTATAAAGACACATGCCAGGTATGTTCTTTGCAGCACTATTCACAATAGCAAAGACATGGAATCAACGTAGGTGCCCATGCACAGTGGATTGGACAAAGAAAATGTGGTGCCTACACACCATAGAGCACTACACAGCCATAAAAAAGAATGAAATCATGTCTTTTGCAGCAACATGGATGCATCTGGGTGCCATTATCCTAAGTGAACAAATGCAGGAACAGAAAACCAAATACCACATGTTCTCTCTTATAAGTAGGCGCTAAACACTGGACACTTGTGAACATAAAGATGACAAACACAGACACTGGGGACTCCAGAAAAAGAAAGGGAGGAAGGGGAGTGAGGGCTGAAAAACTAGCAGTTACTATGCTCATGGATCATTAATACCGCAGACCTCAGCATCAGGCAATATACCAGTGTAACAAACCTGAACATTTACCCCCTGAGTCTAAAATAAAAGTTGAAATTAAAAAGAAAAAAAAGGCTGGGTGTGGTGGCTCATGCCTGTAATCCCAGCACTTTGGGAGGCCGAGGCGGGTGGATCACCTGAGGTCGGGAGTTTGAGACCAGCCTGACCAACATGGAGAAATCACATCTCTACTAAAAATACAAAAATTAGCCG
This sequence comes from Homo sapiens, assembly GCF_000001405.40. Classification (NCBI taxonomy): domain Eukaryota; kingdom Metazoa; phylum Chordata; class Mammalia; order Primates; family Hominidae; genus Homo; species Homo sapiens. The sequence continues at coordinate 187,885,331 of NC_000004.12, read as the reverse complement.
GGCGTGGTGGTGCAGACCTGTAAAAAAAAATCCCAGCTACTCAGGAGGCTGAGGCAGGAGAATCGCTTGAACCAGGAGGTGGAGATTGCGGTGAGCCAAGATCGCACCATTGCACTCCAGCCTGGGCAACAAGAGTGAAAGTCTGTCTCAAAAAAAAAAAAAAAAAAAAAGAGAGATCCTGCCATTTGTTGTAACATAGATGAACTTGGAGGACACTAAAGGAAATAAGCTAGGCACAAAATGACAAATAGTACATGATCCCATTTATGTCACGAGTCTAAAATAGTCAAATTCATAGAAACAGAGAGTCGAATGGTGGGTACCATGGCTGGGGGGAGTGGGCAGCAGATAGATGTCAATCTAAGCGTCCCTAGGGTGACTGACGCAGGATGAATAAGTGTGGAGATCGGCACAGCATAGAGCATATAGTTAACAAAACCATATTATATATGTAAACATTTATGAAGAGGGTAGACTTTATGTTAGATGTTCTTATTATATACACAAAAAGAGAGGGAGGCAGGAACCTGGGCCAGTGACGGGTAACGTTACGGCAGTGCTTCTGTTGATGATTTCAGATATGTACTTATCTCCAAACTCATCAGGATGTATACATTAAATATATACTGCTTTTTCATATATCAATCATACTTCCATTAAAAAACAGAAAAAAGAAGGAAAAAAAGTATGTGGATGGAAATGTGACAATAATAGTAGTAGTGGTAATTGGAGCACTTAGTGATAGTATTTTGAATATGTCCCAACTTACAGATATTCTGTTTATGCTGGTTCCTGTATAGCTCTGATACTTCCTTCTGCCTCAATTGTACATCTCATTTCCCCCAACTCCAGCTTTTTCTATGTAAATCGAGGAATTCAAGAGTGAAGGAAATTCTCTAGAATCCCAATACCCTAGCTTCCCCTGCAATTGAAGAGATTATATGTGAAGGAAGTGTCTCTCTTACTTAAATGCATACCCAGGACATTTAAAGCAGATCAGGAAAGCCTTTAAGAACACTGGCACTTCAAGAATTTGAAGAGGAAAAAAAAACAACTAAAACCTACAGCTTCTCTGTGGAATTGGAGAATCCTGCTTTTCATCAAAGACTGAAGAGAATGTGACACCTTTCAGAAGCCTATAAATAGTGAATATGCATTGAGCAGGATGAAAGACGTTCCATACATGACAGTGCACCCCCCAAAATGATCGACTGACCTCTAGTTCCAAATTATGGAGTCTCAGCTCTTCACAGCTAACCCAGTGGTGAGGTGTGGGGGTGCAGTCAAGGGCTGGGTGGCGGAGGAAGGTGTTCCTGACTGCCTGTGCCGGGCCTCCGCTTACCTGTGTCCTGTCAACTGCTACCCCTGGCATCTGGGAGGCACCAGCTTCTTTCATTGCTTGTTGTTCTCCTATCGCCAGAATTAGTCCTAGGGCAGACATTCTCAATGGAGGATTTTGCCCTTCGGGGGACATTTGGCAATATCTGCAGACATTTTTGTCACATGGGTTGTGTGTGTGTGCGTGCACGCTTGTGTGCACACATATGCACGTGTGCTACTAGCATCTAGTGGTAGAGGCCAGGGATGCTACTCAATATCCTACAATGCACAGGGTAGCCCTTAACAGCAAATAATTATCCAGCTCATAACATCAATAGTACCAAAGGTTGGAAAAAACCTTCTCTAGGTAGAAACAGCAAAGAATAATCATTTTATCTCTTTGTGGAAATCCTCTCTTCTCCCAAGAGCAACCCTAGTGTTTGCTGCAAGTTAAGTTCTTTGGGGAACAGACTCTGAGATGAAAATTTTTAAGCAGGGTGTTTATTAGGAAATAATTTTAGGATTAACACCTGTAGGAGGGAGGAGATGAAAGCAAGACTGGCCCACAGTTGAGCTGAAATGAAGATCCAGTGAAGGACTTAGCCTAATCTACAGAGAGCTCTGGAGCCAGAATGACCTTTCAGAGTTGCCCCACAGAGTAAGTATGTTGGTTAGTCAGTAGCTGTGGGCTTGGGTGAAGCAGTATTCTTTAGCTGAAGCAATCCTCAAAGAGGACTGACAGCTGAGAGCCCTGTTCTATCAGTACTCCCAGCTACCAGAGAGATAGTGCCTCCTGGCAAGTAGGATCCAGCTGGGGCACCCCACTGCCCTCCGCATTTCCTGCAGACCCCCTTGGTGAGGCTTTTGCAGCTGATGCTGCAGCCATAGAGAGGTCATCTTTATTCAGATCAGATACTGATTCTAACGTTCAGCTTTGTGATGCTTTAAGACCTTCAAGGTATTTCAAGTGCTACTATACTTTGAATTAATGTATCCACATACAAAAATGCAACATTTTTTATTTTAGGGGTACAGATATGCCCAAATTAAACTGGTAGATTACTAAGAAATAGGAAGATACAAGGCAAAGAAAATGAAAATGTATTTATTATCTATGATATATTTAACTGTGGTAAATATTTCAAAAAATGAGTTTTGCAGTTTATTTCTAATATCATTTAATAAATACTAACATCACATAAGATATTAGACATTTAGATCTTTAATGAAATTACATATGATATTAAAGATTTCAACTCTGTCTCCTAAAGCGGGTATTGTCTATTCATAATAAAACTTTGAGTATTACTATGTTACTCATATAAATTTACTAAAAATATGTTGACACTGAATCTATCTCAATGAGTAGAAAAGTAAGAAATACGTTGTTTTGTTCCCTGCCCTGTGTCCAAGTGTTTTCATTGTTCAGTTCCCACCTATGAGAACATGTGGTGTTTGGTTTTCTGTCCTTGCGATAGTCTGCTTAGAATGATGGTTTCCAGCTTCGTCCATGTCCCTACAAAGGACATGAACTCATCTTTTTTATGGCTGCACAGTATTCCATGGTGTATATGTGACATTTGGGTTGATTCCAAGTCTTTGCTATTGTGAATAGTGCCGCAATAAACATACGTGTGCACATTGGGGCCTGTTGTGGGGTGGCGGGAGTGGGGAGGGATGGATGGCATTAAGAGAAATACCTATTGCAAATGACAAGTTAATGGGTGTAGCAAACCAACATGGCACATGTATACATATGTAACAAACCTGCACGTTGTGCACCTGTACCCTAGAACTTAAAGTATTAAAAAAAAAAAAAAGAAATACATTGTTTTTGGTATACAGACATTTACAACCCATCAGGATCATGAAAGGAGAATATAAAAAGTAGTATGTATGACATACCCCACGACCAGTATGAGTATTGTTTGGGGGTTTAGAGAGGGGACTCACTGTGTTGGGTTAGGGTGATCAGAGAAAACTCCAAGGAGGAAGTATCCAGTGAAATGGACCTCAAGTGTAGATGGGCTTTTGACATGTAAAAATGGATGACACAGGAGGTTATCTGAGGCACAGGAAAGAGCAAAAACATGATTTAAACAGAGATGTACTTTTTGGAATAATGTTCTTTAGAGAATCGCCTTTTCTTCTACTTGACCTGTCTGTTAAAAAATAGAAACCTCCAGAATAAGTAGTTTGACAGTTTTAAATATTTAGTATAAAAACATACTTTCTTTGAAAGCCTATTTTCTCCATCATTATAGATTTGTGCTTCAATAAGTAGTTGTATTTTCTTAAATCCTTGTGAATGTTGTGATTAGATATGGAACTCGAACTGGAGAGGGATTTATAAGAGATAAAGGGTTTTGCTGGCAATTAAACATGTATCAGAGCCCCAGCTCAGGCACTGTCAGGGTGGGTCAGAAAGAACAAGTTAAGGTCAGGAAACCAGGCCGACCTAAAAGTCAGGAGAATGGCAAGTGTCACAATATGTGAATAAGACTTGTTTATTTAGGAAATCTGTGCAAAGAAATACGTATCAGGATTGAAAAGCAGCTGTTAGTCTGTGGGGTCCATAGAGATGTGCTACAAGCACTATTAGCCAAAGATACTAGCGTATTTTCAGAGTATTCAACTAACCAGTTGTCGAAAAACCTCGCGGGAGATTCAGCAGTGGGCAGTCTGCAAATGTGCATGAGAGGCAGTGTATTCATGCCGGGGCCCAAAACAGAACATACGGCGAGGAGAAATGAAGGAGTGATACATTCAGAAAATAGGGGGAAACATTTGCAGGCAAGTATTCCGCTATCAAGAGCAAGGCTGGGACACGGTGCTCTTGGAACCAGGTATCAAGCCAAAAAAAAACAAAAAACAACAACGAAAAAACAAAAACAGTAAACTAGTTTATCACCAAAATGAAGTTCTAAGAATCTGATTTAAGGCTGAAATAATGGATTGCTGGTCTAGGGCCAATAGACCTGGGCCTGAGCTCAAGCCTCCTGGTAGATAGGCTCGAAGATGTCCCCAGTGATCTCTGCCTCCTGGTATTCACACCCTGGTCTGATCCCCTTCCCATAGCTGTGGGTGGCACCTGTGACTTGTTTCTAACCATAAGAGTACAGCAAAGGTGGTAGCATGTCACTTCCGTGATTATGTCACATAAGATTTTAACTCTTGCCTTACTGTGCCACTCTCCCTATTGCCGCTCTCCCATGCTGGCTCAGATAGAGTAATGCTGCCATAGCAAGAAGCCCACATAGCAAGAACCAATGGCAGCTGCTGGGCAGCAGCCAGCAAGGGCCTGAGGTCCTCAGTCTGATAGTCTGCGAGGAACTGAAGCCTGCCAAAACCCCCGTGAGCTTGGAGGTGACCCTCAGATGAGACAGCAGCACCGTCGACACTGTGATGGCAGCCTTGTAAGAGACGCTGAAGCCGAGGAGGCAGCTAAGTGGCGTCCAGATTTCCAACCATAGAAACCTGTGATAATGAATGTGTGCTGTCTGAAGCCACCAAGGCGTGGTAATGTGTGGCACAGCAATAGATAGCTGACATAGGCATTGAGTTGGTGGTGGTGAAGCTAAGTGAATAGAGGGAGTTTAATGGCCTTGAAGGCAAAGGTTGGTGAAAAGAGACAAATGGACAGAGAGTTGAGTCCTGTCTGTATGACAGTCACTGTCAGCAGCAAGGGGACAGGACACACCAGCTCCCCAACCCTTCTCCTCTCTCTCTCTCTGTTCTTGCTGGGATATCTCCATTTTGTGGTATACACTTTCTGAGTGCAAGGCTGTGAATCAATGAAAGGGTAATGTAAGGAGGCCAAGGCCTCCTTTTAAACAAATATCAGGTCCAGTTTCCGTGCTATTAAATGGAAATAGAGTTTTGGATTAAATCCAATTGTGTAAAATCCAGTTGGAATTGTTGGAACAAAAACAAAATTTAAAATTGAGAATCAGAAACACGTTTAGTGTTCTTAGTGAATTTAAAAATAAACCTTTTGTATGTTTGTAAGTCCTCATATTTGCTTGATTCCAGTTTTGTTTTTCCTCTCTACTCTTTAGTGGAATCAGTTATTTTTCATGTAGACACCTAGAAGAGCAATGCGGAGTCTTGATCTCCAAAGATATTACACTCTAACAGCTTACTGCAGAAAAAATGTGAAATGCTTTTGCTTTCTCTATAAAACAATACTATATTTTAGGAAATTAATGGAAATGAGGAGTCTATTAGATACTACCACAAAATCTGAGATTTAAATTATATTCCTCGTCCTTTCACTGATTCATTTTGTAACCTTGGTAAACTCAGCCTTTTTGGCATGTGTGTTTGCTTTCAGAAATAAAATGTTATGTAAATAGAAAAGGTTTTAGAAAAATTTTCAGTGTATTGTACTGTTTGAATATCTATTTGAAAAAGTTTTATCTTAAGATCTAACATAAGACCAATAACCATATATATCATATTGGTTCCGTGTTATAGAACTTTGTATTTTTCTATATTAATAACTATTTCTAGGTGCCCAAGATTAAAAGCTCATTTCTTTTGTTTAAAATTTAGTTACAGGAGTGAAACATCTCCTGTGCAATGTAGAATTGTGAGTACTTAGAAATGCTTGGCAATTCGATTTTTTAAAATTCTCTATTTTTATAAATATTTTTTCCAATTTTACAATAAGTATCTTAATTAGACATCTTAGTATGTTTGTAACTTTTTACTCTATTAGAGCCTGCTTTTGTTTATAGCAAGCAGGCACATTTTGCAGTAGTGGGATATTTTTTATAAGATTAGAGAAGAGGAAAAAGAAAATGAAACTAGAAAACCTAAATTAAAACTTTGACTAAATCAAATCAGAAGTCATTTTTCACCTAAAATAAAAGGCCTTTCCGTTGCAACAAACTAAATTTGGTAAGAAATCTATAGTGACAAATAACTTCTTTTCAAAGTATACTGCAATTGACATTCAGTGTTTCTGGAAGTTGGTTATAAACAACTGCAAACAAAATGCTCCAGAGACCTAGGCTCTGGTAGACTTTAAATGGTTTTGTTGCAAAGAGTTCTTGCAGACTGATGAATGGAGAATTCTGAGATCGTGTCTTGAGAAGTCAAGATAATGTGTATGCCTACAAGTTACCGGGGGGAGGAAAAGAGGAAGTGGAAATAGTTAAACTAATAAAAATTATTATTGAAAAGGAGGGACTCTTCCCTAACTCATTCTGAGGCCAGCATCATCCTGACACCAAAACCTGGCAGAGATACAACAAAAAAAGAAAATTTTAGACCAATAACCTGATGAACATCGACGCAAAAATTCTCAACAAAATATTGGCAAACAATCCAGCAGCACAGCAAAAAGCTTGTCTATCACAATCAGGTAGGCTTCATCCCTGGGATGCAAGGTTGGCTCAATATATGCAAATCAATAAATGTCATTCATCACATAAACAGAACTAAAGACATAAACCACATGATTATCTCAGTAGATGCAGAAAAAGCCTTTGATACAATTCAATATTTCTTCATGTTAAAAACTCTCAATAAACTAGATATTGAAGGAACATACCTCAAAATAATAAGAGCCATAAATGACAAACCCACAGCCAATATCATACTGGATGGGCAAAAGCTGAAAGCATCCCCCTTGAAAACCAGCAGAAGACAAGGATGCCCTCTCTCACCCCTCCTATTCAACATAGTATTGGAAGTTCTGGCCAGAACGATCAGGCACGAGAAAGAAATAAAGGGCATTCAGATAGGAAGGGAGGAAGTCAAATTATCTTTGTTTGCAGATGACATGATTCTGTATCCAGAAAACCCCATCGTCTCAGTCCCAAAGCTTCTTAAACTGATAAGCCACTTCAGCAAAGTCTCAGGATACAAAATCAATATGCAAAAATCACTGGCATTCCTATACACCAATAGAAGGCATGCAGAGAGCCAAATCAAGAATGAACTTCCATTTACAATTGCTACAAAGAGAATCAAATACCTAGGAATACAGCTAACAAGGGAAGTGAAGAACCTTTTCAAGGAGAACTATAAACCCCTGTTAAAGGAAATCAGAGAGGACACAAACAAACGGAAAAACATTTCATGCTTGGATAGGAAAAAATCAATATCGTGTAAACAGCCAAACTGCCCAAAGCAATTTATAGATTTCTATTTCTAATTCCAATGCTGTTTCTATTAAACTACCTTTGACATTCTTCACACAGTTAGAAAAATGTATTTTAATTTAATTAGCTCCCATTTGTCAATTTTGGCTTTTGTTGCCATTGCTTTTGGTGTTTTAGACATGAAGTCTTTGCCCATGCCTGTGTCCTGAATGGTAATGCCTAGGTTTTCTTCTAGGGTTTTTATGGTTTTAGGTCTAACATTTAAGTCTTCAATCCATCTTGAATTAATTTTTGTATAAGGTGTAAGGAAGGGATCCAGTTTCAGCTTTCTCCATATGGCTAGCCAGTTTTCCCAGCACCATTTATTAAATAGGGAATCGTTTCCCCATTTCTTGTTTTTGTCAGGTTTGTCAAAGAGCTTCTGCACAGCAAAAGAAACTACCATCAGAGTGAACAGGCAACCTACAGAATGGGAGAAAATTTTTGCAATCTTCTCATCTGACAAAGGGCTAATATCCAGAATCTACAATGAACTCAAACAAATTTACAAGAAAAAAACAACCACATCAAAAAGTGGGCAAAGGATATGAACAGACACTTCTTAAAAGAAGACATTTATGCAGCCAAAAGACACATGAAAAAATGCTCATCATCACTGGCCATCAGAGAGATGCACATCAAAACCACAATGAGATGCCATCTCACACCAGTTAGAATGGCAATCATTAAAAAGTCAGGAAACAACAGGTGCTGGAGAGGATGTGGAGAAATAGGAACACTTTTACACTGTTGGTGGGACTGTAAACTAGTTCAACCATTGTGGAAGTCAGTGTGGCGATTCCTCAGGGATCTAGAACTAGAAATACCATTTGACCCAGCCATCCCATTACTGGGTATATACCCAAAGGATTATAAATCATGCTGCTATAAAGACACATGCACACGTGTGTTTATTGTGGCACTATTCACAATAGCAAAGACTTGGAACCAACCCAAATGTCCAACAATGATAGACTGGATTAAGAAAATGTGGCACATATACACCATGGAATACTATGCAGCCATAAAAAATGATGAGTTCATGTCCTTTGTAGGGACATGGATGAAGCTGGAAACCATCATTGTCAGCAAACTATCGCAAGGACAAAAAACCAGACACCGCATGTTCTCACTCACAGGTGGGAATTGAACAATGAGAACACATGGACACAGGAAGGGGAACATCACACAACGGGGCTTGTTGTGGGGTGCGGGGAGAGGGGAGGGATAGCATTAGGAGATATACCTAATGCTAAATGATGAGTTAATGGGTGCAGCACACCAACATGGAACATGTATACATATATAACAAACCTGCACATTGTGCACGTGTACCCTAAAACTTAAAGTATAATAAAAAAAAGAAAAATGTATTTTAAAATTCATATAGAACCAAAGAAGAGCCTGAATAACCAAGGCAATCCTAAGCAAAAAGAATAAAGCTGGAGGCATCATGCTACCTGACTATATTACAGTGCTACAGTAACCCAAATGGCATGGCACTGGTGCAAAAACAGACACACAGACCAATGGAACAGCATAGAGTGCCCAGATATAAGACTGCACACCTGTAACCATCTGGTCTTTGACAAACCTGACAAAAACAAGCAATGGGGAAAGGATTCCCTATTTAATAAATGGTGCTGGGAGAACTGGCTAGCTATATGCAGAAAATTGAAACTGGGTACCATATACAAAAGTCAACTCAAGATGCATTAAAGACTTAAATGTAAAACTCAAGACAATAAAAACCCTAGAAGAAAATCTAGGCAATACTATACCGGACATAGGCACAGGAAAAGATTTTATGTTGAAGACACCAAAAGCAATTACAACAAAAGCAAAAATTGACAAATGGAATCTAATTAAACTAAAGAGCTTCTGCACAGCAAAAGAAACTATCAACAGAGTAAACAGACAACCTACAAAATGGGAGAAATTTTTCACAATCTATGCATCTGACAAAGGTCTAATATCTAGCATCTATAAGGAACTTAAACAAATTTATAAGGAAAAAAACTCCATTAATAAGTAGGCAAAGGACATGAAGAGACAATTCTCAAAAGAAGACATACATGTGGCAAACAGACACATGAAAAAAAGCTCAACATTCACTGATCATTAGAGAAATGCACATCAAAACCACAATGAGATACCATCTCTTGACAGTCAGAATGGCGTTTATTAAAAAGTCAAAAAACAACAGATGTTGGCAAGGTTGTGGAGAAAAAGGAATGCTTTTACATTGTTGGTGGGAGTGTAAATTAGTTCAACCGTTGTTGAAGACAGTGTGGCAATTCCTCAAAGACCTAGAGAGAAAAATACTATTTGACCAAGCAATCCCATTACTGGGTACATACCCAAAGGAATATAAACCATTCTATTGTAAAGACATATGCATGTGTATGTTCAATGCAGCACTATTCACAACAGCAAAGACATGGAATCAACCTAAATGCCCATCAATGATATACTGAATAAAGAAAATGTACATATATACCATGGAATATTATGCAGCCATAAAAAAGAAGGGGATCATGTCCTTTGCAGGGACATGGATGGAACTAGAGGCCATTATCCTTAGCAAGTTAATACAGGAACAGAAAACCAAACACTGCATGTTCTCACTTGTAAGTGGGAGCTGAATGATTAGAACACATGGATACATAGGAGGAACCAACACACACTGGGGCCCATGGGAGGGCGGACAGTGGGAGGAGGGAGATGATCAGGGAAAATAACTAATGGGTACTAGGCTTAATACCTGGGTGAGGAAATAATCTGTACAACAAACCACCATGACACATGTTTACCTATGTAACAAACCTGCCCATCCTGCACATGTACCTCTGAACTTAAAAGTTAGAAATTAAAAAAAATTATTATTAGCAAAAAACAAAAACCACAAAAATTCATTGACTTTTAATGTGAAAGAACATTATTTTAAAAATACTTAGCATTACTCTGGGAAATAATTTTAGATAGAATAAAGTTACATATATTTTATCCAATTTGTACTTATACATACAGTCATGTGCCGGTAATGTGTTTTGATCATCAACGGACCACATATATGATGGTGTTTCCGTAATATTATAATGGTGCAGAAAAATTTCTGTTGCCTAGTGACATCGTAGCCATCATAGTGTCTTAGCACAATGCATTAGTCCTGTGTTTGTGGTGATGTGGTGTAAAGAAACCTACTGTGCTCCCAGTCATTTAAAGACTAGCACGTACAAACATGTACAAATGACTAAATTACTGGTTTATGTATTTTACTATGCTAAATTTTTATTGTCATTTCAGAATGTACTCTTTCTACTTATGTTAAAAAGAGTGAACTGTAAAACAGCCTCAGGCAGGTCCTTCAGGAGGTATGCAGCAGAAGGCATTGTTACCATAGGAGATGACAGCTTCATGCATGTTACTTCCCCTGAAGACCTTCCAGTGAGACATGATGTGGAGGTGGAAGACAGTGATGTTGATGATCCTGACCTCCTGTAGGCCTAGGCTAATGTGTGTGCATATGTCTTAGCTTTTTTTTTAATTTTAAAAGTAGAAAAAAAGGTTGAACACAGACAAAAGCCTATAGAATAAGGATACAAAGATAGAAAATATTTTTGTACAGCCGAACAATATGTTTCTGTTTTAAGCTAAGTGTTTTTACAGAAGAGTCAAAGCTTAAAACAATTAAGAAGTTTATAAGTAAAAAAGATACAGTAAACTAAGGTTAATCTATTTTTGAGGTAAGAAATTTAAAAAATAAATTTAGTATAGTCTAAGTGTACAGTGCTTATAAAGTCTACAGTAGTGCACAGTAACATCTTACGCCTTCACATTCATTCACTGGTCATCAACTCACCAAGAGCAACTTTCAATCTTGCAACCTTCATTCACGGTAAGTGCCCTATGCAGGTGTACCATTTTTTATCTTTTATACCATATTTTTACTGTACCTTTTCTATGTTTACATATGCTTAGATACACAAATACCACTATGTTACAATTGCCTATAGTGTTCAGTACAGTCACATGCTGTACAGGTTTGTGGCCTAGAAGCAATAGATTTTACTAGATAGCCCAGGTGTGTATTATGCTATACCATCTAGGTTTGCGTAGTACGCTCTATGATGTTTGCACAATAATGAAGTTGCCTAACGATGCAATAATCCCATCAAAAAGTGGGCTAAGGACATGAATAGACAATTCTCAAAAGAAGATACACAAATGGCCAACAAACATATGAAAAAATGTTCAACATCACTAATTATCAGGGAAATACAAATCAAAACCACAATACAAATCAAAATCACTCCTGCAAGAATGGCCACAATCAAAAAATTAAAAAAAAATAGATGTTGGTATGGATGTGGTGAAAATGGAACACTTACACTGCTGGTGGGAATGTAAACTAGCAGAACCACTATGGAAAACAGTGTGGAGATTCCTTAAAGAACTGAGTTCTAAAAGTAGAAATACCATTTGATCCAGCAATCCCACTACTGGCTATCTACCTAGAGGAAAGTAAGTCATCACAGGAAAAAAGATACTTGCACATGCATGTTTATAGAAGCACAATTCACAATCACAAAAATATGGAACCAGCCCAAATGCCCATCAATTAACAAGTGGATAAAGAAATTGTGGTATACATTTGACCCAGCCATCCCATTACTGGGTATATACCCAAAGGACTATAAATCATGCTGCTATAAAGACACATGCACACGTATGTTTATTGCGGCACTATTCACAATAGCAAAGACTTGGAACCAACCCAAATGTCCAACAATGATAGACTGGATTAAGAAAATGTGGCACATATACACCATGGAATACTATGCAGCCATAAAAAATGATGAGTTCATGTCCTTTGTAGGGACATGGGTGAAATGGGAAATCATCATTCTCAGTAAACTATCTCAAGGACAAAAAACCAAACAACGCATGTTCTCACTCATAGATGGGAATTGAACAATGAGAACACATGGACACAGGAAGGGGAACATCACACTCTGGGGACTGTTGTGGGGTTGGGGGAAGGGGGAGGGATAGCATTAGGAGATATACCTAATGCTAAATGACGAGCTAATGGGTGCAGCACACCAGCATGGCACATGTATACCTATGTAACTAACCAGCATATTGTGCACATGTACCCTAAAACTTAAAGTATAATAATAATAATAATAAAAAAGAAATTGTGGTATAAATATATACCATGGAATACTATTCAGCCATAAAAACGAACAAAATAAACCTGGATGGAATTGGAGACCATTATTCTAAGTGAATAACTCAGGAATGGAAAACCAAACATTGTATGTTCTCATTCATAAGTGGCAGCTAAACTATGAGGATGCAAAAACATAAGAATGATACAATGGACTTTGGGGACTTGGGGAAAGGGTGGGAGAGGAGTGAGGGATAAAATATTACACGTTGGGTACAGTGTACACTGCTCGCGTGATGGGTACACCAAAATCTCAGAAATCATCACTAAAGAACTTATGCGTGTAACCAAACACCACCTGTTCCCCCAAAACCTATTGAAATAAATAAATAAATAAATAATTTCCCCTCTCTGTGCATGTCCATAAATGACCAGGAAAGCACTTGGGAGTATTGATTTGAGGGTTACAAATCCATTTTAGTGAGCAGGCAAATTCATAAATCTGGAATCTGCAAATAATGAGGATGGGCTGTAGTTAACCCAGGGAGATGTAAACTACACTAATCAGCTCAGCTCAGGCTAATAATGGGCTAATCAGAATGAATGTCAGCAATAAGTAACTGGCAAGGCTGTATTGGCACGTGCTGGCTAACATTCTGTTACTCCAAATTGGAAATGTCTCAAAGCTTTAAAAATCATATTATCTGCTTTTCCATATATGATTGCCTTTGTCCTAACTGCTGCTGCAGATCAGTTCTGCATCTCTGTTAGACATCTACGAGGTAACTTCCTTTTCCTTGTTTTTCAGCCTTGTGCAAGTGCTTAAAGACCTCTCCCACTTAATGTTTGATGTATAAACCCACTAAAATTATATTAAGATAACATTTTTTTCTCTTTTACTATCCAGCTCCATATTTCTTAAATTATTTTCATTTAAAATATGTTAAAAATTGTATTTGGATGAAGGATGATAATACTTACAAATATCTGAAAATAACTAGTGTGTTAGTCCATTTGCATTCCTACACAGTAATACCTGAGGCTGGGTAATTTTTAAAGAAAAGAAGTTTATTTGGCTCACAGTTCTGCAGGCTGTACAAGCATGGCTCCAGCATCTGCTCAGCTTCTGGTGAGGCTTCCGGAAGCTTCCGCTTATGGTGGAAGGCGAAGGAGGAGCAGATGTGTCACACGGTGAGGGAGGAAGCAAGAGAGATGTCAGGATGTTTTGAGCAACCAGCTCTTGTGTAAACTCATTACTATAGGGAGGGCATCAAGCCATTCTGAGGAATCCACTCCCATGAACCAAATACCTCCCACTAGACTGCACTTCCAACATTGGGGATCACATTTCAACGTGGGATTTTGAGGGAACAAATATCAAACTGTATCAACTAGGCTTTAGCATAAATATCTGTGAATCAGCTAGGGTGTTGCTAGGGTTTAAATGCGTCACCCAAGGTTCACGGGTTAGAAACATAATCCTCAATCCAGCAGTGTGGAAAAGTGGGACCATCACAGATGGTTAGGTCATGAGGGCTTCCCTCTCATGAATGGATTGATGCCACTGTTTCAGGAGTTAGTTCCTTGTAAAAGGATGAGTTTGGCCTCCTCCTCTCTCTCCCCACGTGATGCTTTCTGCCATGTTATGACACAACAGAAGTCCCTCACCAGATGCAGATGCATTTTCTCAATTGTGGACTTCCCAGACTCCAAAACTTTGAGCCAAATAAATTTCTGCTCATTATAAATTACCTAGTCTGTGGAATTTCGTTGTAGCAGCGTGAGATGAACTAAAATAGGTCTAAACCTTCGGATGCAGGGAACTGAGGTTGGTTGTTCCACTTTATATTCCTGGCTACTTTAAGCGGCCTGTGATTACTCAGATTAATCTAGAAAGTGCTTTTGATTTTTTAAAGTCAGAGGAACAGCAATAGCATTTATTTAATCCATATTATTCTACAGGTTAATTTCAATGACATTTTTCAATTTTCCATGTTTACAAAAAGTTGTACTTCATAAATATTGAAGTGTGAAGAACTAATTTTCTCTAAACATTATACTTTGGGTTTACTTACATAATTTTGTTATAGGATTTAAAGTACAAGTAAACATATATGAATGTAAATAGCACAGTAAAGATATTTCATGTCATCTCATTTGCATCTAATCATGGGTCCTGGTGCTGAATTAAGTATACATTATTTATTTTGAAATAATGTTTTGAAACAAAAATTTCACAAAGCATGTCTTTCAGGGCACCAGTGGAATCTCTAATATCGTGATTTCCCACTGATTAAAATAAAAGATGTAAAAATGAAAAGAAGCTCATGGAAACTCATGATGAAACTGTACAGTCCTAGACATCATTCCTACATAATGGGCTACATGAAATGATAATAGCTGCCATTTAAACTTCAGAATAAAAGCAGCCTTGGACTCGATTTTTCTCTTTTCCATTTTCATCTACTATATAAATCTGACAAGTTGATTGTTGCCAGTGATGCCTAAATTAGAAGAAAGATACTAGAGCACCTGTAACTGGAAAACTGAGCAGTAATACTCTCCCCACCTGGACAACGTGCTTAGCAAGGTTTTGGGGAATGATCTTTTCTGCTACCGCCCAAATGCGTTAAGAACAGTGAAGAGGTGCTCAAGATAAAAATGGTGGTGCTTCATTTTTTTCACTATTTTGGGGGGATGTAAACAAAACAATGTACTGGGTTCTGCCATGGTGTGCACAGATGAGCATGAGGCCATCCAGACATATGTTTTGGCCTTTAAGAATACAAAAACCTGGGGCAAGAGAATCGCTTGAATCCAGGAGGCGCAGGTTGCAGTGAGCCGAGACCACGCCACTGCACTCCAGCCTGGGCAACAAGAGTGAAACTCCGTCTCAAAAAAAAAAAAAAAAAAGAATACAAAAACCAAGAAGGATGAATTTCTCCACATCAATGCACTAAGCCCCCACAGAAAATAAGAAATTTTCCTTAAATCAAATAAAAGAGGTAAGCCTTAGGGAAAATGATATGTTACTTCAGCATTTTATAATGTATTGAGTTTACTTTGTTCACAAAACTGATGTCATAACCAAAGGTAGGAATAGAGGAAAATCTAAAATCTGATGGTAAACTTAAATTAATTTTTAAGGATTCAGGGAATAAACTACTAAAAGATATGCATAATCTCACAGTCTATAGAGCAAAAAAGACATTTCCTATGAGTTCTGTGATAATTATCATCCCATCTTCAAAGAGCAAGATCACAATTACTGTATTTCCTGTTGGCCACTGCAGGCTGGAGTCCTTGAATCCAAAACGCACAGGGATGAGCTGCAGGGCTGGAGGCCATGCTGAATTACTCTTTGAATATCGTAGGATGTAGGAAAGAAGTTCAGAAAACAATATCATATTCTCTATTATATACACTGCATTTCCGAAAAAGCATTTGATATCATAATTCTCTCTAGATTCTGACATATATTAAATAAATCTGTATATTTCAAGAGGCTTCTTAAAGACACGAAACCTCTCTCAATCCCCAAAGGGAAGAAGCAGATCTATTCATGCTTTCTCTCTAATAATCCAATTTGAAGATTTAAGAAGAAACTTGAAAATACATTTTAGAAGGTATTTCAGTTTCTCTGAGTAGCTCTTCCAGCTCCGTAATCTTCAGAAACTAAGTCCTTGAGACGTTTATTTATAAACTACCGTATGTTCACAATTTGAGAGCAACATAACACGACACATTAAAGCTTGATTAGCAGATTGAAGCGGCGCCTGTGCACTTTGTAACCAAAATCAGACCGAAATGATGTCCTAGCTTATGTCCAGAAAATGTATGCAAGGACAGAATTTTTAAATAAAAATCCTTTTTGAAGATAATTAGCTGAAATTAATTCTTTTATCCTCAATAAAGCATTATATCAAATTCATTAGACTTCGGATAAAGGTTAAGATTTGTAATTCTTTGGGCCAGGCACGACGGTTCACATCTGTAGTCCCAGCACTTTGAGGGGCCAAGGAGGGAGACTGCTTGAACCCAGGTGTGTGAGACCAGCCTGAGCAACATAGTGAGACTCTTATCTCTACAAAAAAATTTAAAAATTACCTGGGCGTGGTGGTGTACATCTGTAGTCCCAGTTACTCAGGAGGCTGAGGTGGGAGGATCACTTGAGCCCTGGAGGTTGAGGCTGCACTGAGCTGGGATTGTGCCACTGCATTCTAGCTGGCGACAGAGTGAGACCCTGTCTCAAGAAAACCCAAAACAAAGAATTGTAGCTTTGGTAATCAAAAATTGGTGTTATGTCCAGCCATTCTTTTTTCTCTATCAAACAATAGAGAAGCTATTCAAATATCTGAGTAAGTTTATTAGGGTCACCCACAATGCAGTCCTGGAGACCAATGTGCTTGTCATGAAGCTGCGTGATATCCAGATGATCTAGTTCCTGAATCTACACTCTTGCCACATAGTGCATTGCCTGGCCAGGACGTGTCACTCAAATTACAAAGTGCTGGACAAAAATGAATAGAAGATACCTGTATGATATTTTGTTGAACCTCTTTATTTGCATGATAAATTTTCCCATACTTACTTTGTATGTAAAACCAAAGCAATGTATTGGATCTGCAACTTTGCAAAATAATCCTTTCCCTGTGAAACTTACAGTGTTTCTGAAGCAGTATGATCAAATCTAAAGAAAAGAAAGAGCTTTTCTAAAGGTAGGTCTCTAAAATGTGAGATTTGAGTTTGGAATTGTACTATGAAGTATGTAATTGTTTACATATGATACATTTGTTAATTACACCCGGGCACATGCAAGACTGAAATAGCAGTTGCATTGCATTGTTTTCTTATAGTTTCGTCAGTGATCTGTGCCCCTAGATAAAAAGCAATTGCTAAATAAAGGAACAATATTTCATTATACTCTATTGGGTAGCTAGTTTTATAAGCTAGATATGTGTTAATACATCCAGCTTTCATCGTAAGTATTTTTGAGAAAACATGGACTTTTTTGCTATTCTATTTTCATCCAAATAAAATATAAAAGCTAGACCAATGTATATATAGTGTTAAAATGATGATTGTAATTCTATTTTTAGACGTAAAAGGGAATGCCATGCTAATTACAAACAGCACTTTAGCTAAACGAGATTTTCCCCCAGGCATCACTATAAAGATATTTCAAGAGAATAGTTTTCCTGAGGACTTTTTGTGTATCATTTTATTTTTGGTAAATGCAGTGGATATAATAATTTGATCACAACTGTACTGCAGATGTGTTATGATCCATGAAAATTTGAAGACATAGCACCAGAAACTTTGACTACATTGCTGAAATTGCTACTAAACTGCTTTTAGTATATCTGTAAAAAAGTGGATCTATTGGTTGAGAGTTTTGGTTTTGCAGTTAATAGAGCTTAGTTAGAATATCTGCTCCTTCCCTCACTATACAACAAGGTTTTTTATGGGGTTGGAGAGAATGAACACAAGACACTCAGCGTGGCAGGTTTTTAGTAAATGGTAGCTGTTATTATCAATTTAGTTTATACATCAATCTCTTTGTATCCAGCAAATAAAATACTTCATGATAACTAAGAAATTGATGTATTAGAGTAGACCCTGTTTCATGCATTCTTACTGTCTGTCTCTAACAGAGGCCTCAAAGTATGTTTTATGAAA
The DNA here is from genome assembly GCF_000001405.40 of Homo sapiens. NCBI lineage: Eukaryota > Metazoa > Chordata > Mammalia > Primates > Hominidae > Homo > Homo sapiens. Next base: position 187,867,010 of record NC_000004.12, on the reverse strand, counting down.
GAACATTTTTGGCTTCTATGGCACAGATAAAAATAGGAAAAAAGGTGTCCCTTATGTTTCCAATCATAAATCACTACAGATCATTTATCCATCAATTAAATGTAATCTTCTCAAATATAATTGTAGTTGAACCCAATGTCATTCATAATTTGTGTAATTATTTATTTTTTAAATAAAAAGGACTTTTATTTCTTTAAAAATTACTTATTTTCAATTTATAAAAAGTAACTGGCCGGGTGTGGTGGCTCACGCCTGTAATCCCAGCACTTTGGGGGGGCCGAGGTGGGTGGATCACCTGAGTCCGGGAGTTTGAGACCAGCCTGACTAACATGGAGAAACCCCGTCTCTACTAAAAATACAACGTTAGCTGAGCGTGGTGGCGCATGACTTTAATCCCAGCTACTCGGGAGGCTGAGGCAGGAGAATTGCTCGAACCTGGGAGGCAGAGGTTGCAGTGAGCCATGATGGCACCATTGCACTCCAGCCTGGGCGACAGAGCAAAACTCCATCTAAAAAACAAAAACAAAACAAAACAAAAAACCGTAACCATGAATTAGTCCAAGTTAAACCTATGAAGTCCTTGCAATATTTAGTCAACAAATAAGTAATTTACATCAGTATATGCAGGGTATTTTGTTAATTGTTTCTGGGAGATATAAAAAGAATAGTGCATTTGTCTTATTCTCTGGGGCTTTATAGTCTACCAGGAAGATGACATGTGAATAAGCAACTTTAATACACAGTATGATTCAGGAGTCATCATACGAGAGAGAGAGAGAGAGAGAGAGAGAGAGAGTGTGTGTGTGTGTGTGTGTGTGTGTGTGTGTGATGTAGGGATATTGACTCACGGAGACTCATTGGTTTAGAGACCAAGAAACATCACGTGGGAGGTTCATCCAATGGGAACATGCGCATGAAGGACTCCAGGGGGAGCTGAGCTAGTTGGCAAAATAGAGAGAGTGGTGGTACATACTACTCACTTTTTCCTTATTTGCAACATTCTTATAGTTAAGCCCATCCTAGGAGAGGGCACAAAATTTTCTCCTAGGGTGGGAGATAATACATTAAAAATAATACTTTAAAAATAATACTTGTCAATAAAATATTTTGTAAAAACCCCAAGTGCATGTCTGCTTTGCTTATTTTTTTGAAAATGATTTATCCTAATATATGAGTAATACTGCAAAATTAAGAAAGCACAGCAAAATATAAACAAGAAAACAGAACTCCGTAACTTCAGCATGGAGAAATACTCACTTCTGCATGTTACTTCTAGAAAATTTTAAGTCATTCAAATACATACTTTTTTTGTTTTATGAAAAATACATCATACTATATGGAACTTCTATGAACTAGTTTTTTTGGTTATCAAAGAATTTTCCATTTCTTCACTTAAATGGGCTACATATGACCCTTTATACTTTTTCTGCTTTCTTTAGGATAACTTTTTGAATTTTTTGGTCAAAGAAGGTATACTTAAATTTCCGTAAGTATATCTCAATCCAAAAAGGTTTTGCCAATTTATACTTCTGCCAAGTTTGGAAAATATGTTTGGCTGTAAAGTTGCCCTTACTGTATGGAGAAATAAGTTCTTGAACACAGATTATGGATTTTTTAAAAATCAGTCTTTTACTTTTTTTTCATTTTGATAGGGAAATAAAAGTATTTTGTTAATTTAAAATTAGTTTTAAACATTCTTAATGGATTTGAGTACTTTAAAATACATTTTGATTTTTTAAATGAAAATAGGCTCTTCATCATCCTCAGCAAACTAACACAGGAACAGAAAACCGAACACCGCATGTTCTCACTCCTAAGTGGGAGTTGAACAACAAGAACCCATGGACACAGAGAGGGGAACCACACACACCAGGGCCTGCTGGAGGGTGGGGGTGAGGGGAGAGAGCTTAGAGGATGGGTCAGCAGGTGCAGCAAACCACCATGGCACACGCAACCTATGTAACAAACCTGCACGTTCTATACATGTATCCCGTTTTTTTTTAAGAAGGAATTAAAAAAAAAAAAAGAAAATAGGCTCTTTATTTTTCTAACTTTAACTATTGTTTTTCGTGGATTTATCCCCTCTATTTGGTTTAATATATTTATTCATTTTAAGAGCTCCCTATAAACTTGAGATAATTACCCTTTGTTATATTTTGCAATTTGTTCAGTTTGTTCTTGGTGGATTATTTTTTTCTTGTCTTAGAGAAATTTGAATTTTGTTTATTTTCCCATATGGAAATTCAATAGCCTCAGAACCATCGATTGAGAGGCCACTCTTTCCACACTAATTAGTAATACCACATCTGGTATATATCAGGTTTCTAAAAATAACTGTTTATGGGCTCTCTATTCGGTTACATTGTTTTATTTGTTCATCCTAACATCAATATCAAGTATTTAGGGATTTATTTTTTAGTAGTGCAAGTCACCCTACCTTGTTGTTCTTAAAAACTGTCTCAATTATTTTTGACCACTTCCTCTTTCAAATGAATTTGAAGATTCTCTGTTGAGATTTGATTATAACTGTGCTGAAATTATAATTATTTGGGGTGAATTGGCATCAACAATATCAATTCTTCCCTGCCATTAGTATTACTTTTTCTGAAGTATTCCGTTCTTAATTTAAAACATTTTTTAAAAAAGATCTCTGCATGTTATTGCCATTTGGTTAGTTTTTTAAAATAGATCTTGTAGTTTTGATAACATCTATGAATGTGATGTTTTCTTTATTCAACATTTTAGTTGATTTGCAGTGGTGTGCTGGCGCTGACACCAGTTTGCAAGGGCCAGTTACGTGCAACTATTGGCAGTTCTGCTTCAGTGACATTACACTGGTAGCTTCAAATGGGCTGTGGGAGGAGAAGTTGCACCTTGGAAATCAGCAATCACCGCATATCAGGTGTCTCTCTTTCCTTTCCTGTCTTCAAGTAACCAGCACGTAACTGCTTATAGGAAGTTAATGGAAAAAGTATGTTTTTATTTAGTATGGTAGAATAGTTTGATTCAAGCATGCTAATCTTGAATCTAATACATTTTAAAATCTCTTATCAGTTTCTAAGTGTTTATCTGTAGATTATCTTGGATTTTGTATACAGACATCATATAAACAGCAGAGAAGAGTTTTTACCTCTTTCCATCCACTTCTTGTACTTCATTTGTTTTTCCTGTTTTGTTGTTGTTGTCGTTAAGCTCTGGTACACTTGTGACTAGAAGAGATGAAAGAGGGCATGTTTGTCTTTCCCTGAAAATTCAGTGAAGCTGCTTCCAAAGTGTCATCATGAAGTGTGCTGTCCGTCGTGCGCCTATACCGGCTGCCCATTTTTGCCTCTGCCCTCCGTGTGACTGAAACCGCTGGGTCATGCTGAGTCCCCATTTTACGTGGCTAATCAGGTATATGGGGCCCACATACTCTTCATGAAGAGCTTTCTTGGACTTTAGAGCACTGTATTCTCTTGCTTTTCTTTCTGCGTCTCCAGCTGTTCTTACTCTCTTTGCTAGTTCTTCCTCATCTCCTTTACTTTGATGTGTTGGAGTTCCAGGAATGAGTTCCCGGGTTTCTTTCTTCTATGTATGCTCACTCTTGGCTTTGAATACTACCTATTTTTGATTATGTTAAATTTATATCTCTAGTTTGTTAAGTTTTTCAGAAGTTTAAATTTGTATGTCCAACTGCCTACTTTTCACTTCTACTTGAATGACAAATTGTGCATTTCAAACTGAATGCCTGGTATTTTCCATCCTTCCCCAACCAAACTCACTCTACTTCATCTTGACTAAAGGCAAATCCATTCTGTCAGTTACCCAGGCCAAAACCCTTTTACACGCCACATTAGCTTGTCAGTAAATCATGGCAGTTCTACTTTATATAAATATTTACAAAATTACTTTTTGCCGTCTTCACGACTGCCACCCTGGTCTAAGGCACCATCATTTTGGGCTAATGTTTTTTCATTAACCTCCTAATTGGCCTTCCTGGTATCACTCTTCTCCTCTTTCAGACGATTTCCTAAACAGCACTAGAACAATGTTTGTAACACAGGAGTTGAATTTTATCTTTTATCCCTCCTCTGTTCAAGACCTTACAAGGGGGGGAGGAGCCAAGATGGCCGAATAGGAACAGCTCTGGTCTACAGCTCCCAGCGTGAGTGACACAGAAGACGGGTGATTTCTGCATTTCCACCTGAGGTACCAGGTTCATCTCACTAGGGAGTGCCAGACACTGGGCGCAGGACAGTGGGTGCAGCACACCGTGCACCAGCCGAAGCAGGGCGAGGCATTGCCTCACTCGGGAAGCGCAAGGGATCAGGGAGTTCCCTTTCCTGGTCAAGGAAAGGAGTGACAGACGGCACCTGGAAAATCGGGTCACTCCCACCCGAATATTGCACTTTTCCAACGGGCTCAGGAAATGACGCACCAGGAGATTACATCCCGCAACTGGCTCGGAGGGTCCTATGCCTATGGAGTCTCGCTGATTGCTGGCACAGCAGTCTGAGATCAAACTGCAAGGCGGCAGTGAGGCTGGGGGAGGGACGCCTGCCATTGCCCAGGCTTGCTTAGGTAAACAAAGCAGCCAGGAAGCTCGAACTGGGTGGAGCCCACCACAGCTCAAAGAGGCCTGCCTGCCTCTGTAGGCTCCACCTCTGCGGGCAGGCCACAGACAAACAAAAAGACAGCAGTAACCTCTGCAGACTTAAATGTCCCCGTCTGACAGCTTTGAAGAGAGCAGTGGTTCTCCCAGCATGCAGCTGGAGATCTGAGAACGGGCAGACTGCCTCCTAAAGTGGGTCCCTGACCCCTGACCCCCGAGCAGCCTAACTGGAAGGCACCCCCCAGTAGGGGCAGACTGACACCTCACATGGCCGGGTACTCCTCTGAGACAAAACTTCCAGAGGAACGATCAGACAGCAGCATTTGCGGTTCATGAAAATCCGCTGTTCTGCAGACACCGCTGCTGATACCTAGGCAAACAGGGTCTGGAGTGAACCTCTAGCAAACTCCAACAGACCTGCAGCTGAGGGTCCTGTCTGTTAGAAGGAAAACTAACAAGCAGAAAGGACATCCACACCAAAAACCCATCTGTACATCACCATCATCAAGAACCAAAAGTAGATAAAACCACAAAGATGGGGAAAAAACAGAGCAGAAAAACTGGGAACTCTAAAAAGCAGAACACCTCTCCTACTCCAAAGGAACGCAGTTCCTCACCAGCAACGGAACAAAGCTGGATGGAGAATGACTTTGACAAGTTGAGAGAAGAAGGCTTCAGACGATCGAACTACTCTGAGCTACAGGAGGAAATTCAAACCAAAGGCAAAGAAGTTGAAAACTTTGAAAAAAATTTAGACAAATGTATAACTAGAATAACCAATACAGAGAAGTGCTTAAAGGAGCTGATGGAGCTGAAAGCCAAGGCTCGAGAACTACGTGAAGAATGCAGAAGCCTCAGGAGCCGATGCGATCAACTGGAAGAAAGGGTAACAGTGATGGAAGATGAAATGAATGAAATGAAGAGAGAAGGGAAGTTTAGAGAAAAAAGAATAAAAAGAAACGAACAAAGCCTCCAAGAAATATGGGACTATGTGAAAAGACCAAATCTACGTCTGATTGGTGTACCTGAAAGTGATGGGGAAAATGAAACCAAGTTGCAAAACACTCTGCAGGATATTATCCAGGAGAACTTCCCCAATCTAGCAAGGCAGGCCAACATTCAGATTCAGGAAATACAGAAAACGCCACAAAGATACTCTTCGAGAAGAGCAATTCCAAAACACATAATTGTCAGATTCACCAAAGTTGAAATGAGGAAAAAATGTTAAGGGCAGCCAGAGAGAAAGGTCACGTTACCCACAAAGGGAAGCCCATCAGACTAACAGCGGATCTCTTGGCAGAAACTCTACAAGCCCAAAGAGAGTGGGGGCCAATATTCAACATTCTTAAAGAAAAGAATTTTCAACCCAGAATTTCATATCCAGCCAAACTAAGCTTCATAAGTGAAGGAGAAATAAAATCCTTTACAGACAAGCAAATGCTGAGAGATTCTGTCACCACCGAGCATGCCCTAAAAGAGCTCCTGAAGGAAGCACTAAACATGGAAAGGAACAACCGGTACCAGCCGCCACAAAATCATGCCAAAATGTAAAGACCATCGAGACTAGGAAGAAACTGCATCAACTAACGAGCAAAATAACCAGCTAACATCATAACGACAGGATCAAATTCACACATAACAATATTAACTTTAAATGTAAATGGACTAAATGTCCCAATTAAAAGACACAGACTGGCGAATTGGATAAGGAGTCAAGACCCATCAGTGTGCTGTATTCAGGAAACCCATCTCTTGTGCAGAGACACATATAGGCTCAAAATAAAAGGATGGAGGACGATCTACCAAGCAAATGGAAAACAAAAAAAGGCAGGGGTTGCAATCCTAGTCTCTGATAAAACAGACTTTAAACCAACAGAGATCAAAAGAGACAAAGAAGGCCATTACATAATGGTAAAGGGATCAATTCAACAAGAAGAGCTAACTCTCCTAAATATATATGCACCCAATACAGGAGCACCCAGATTCATAAAGCAAGTCCTGAGTGACCTACAAAGAGACTTAGACTCCCACACAATAATAATGGGAGACTTTAACACCCCACTGTCAACATTAGGCAGATCAACGAGACAGAAAGTTAAGAAGGATACCTAGGAATTGAACTCAGCTCTGCACCAAGTGGACCTAATAAACATCTACAGAACTCTCCACCCCAAATCAACAGAATATACATTTTTTTCAGCACCACACCACACCTATTCCAAAATTGACCACATAGTTGAAAGTAAAGCTCTCCTCAGCAAATGTAAAAGAATGGAAATTATAACAAACTGTCTGTCAGACCACAGTGCAATCGAACTAGAACTCGGGATTAAGAAACTCACTCAAAACCGCTCAACTATATGGAAACTGAACAGCCTGCTCCTGAATGACTACTGGGTACATAACGAAATGAAGGCAGAAATAAAGATGTTCTTTGAAACCAACGAGAACAAAGACACAACATACCAGAATCTCTGGGACACATTCAAAGCAGTGTGTAGAGGGAAATTTATAGCACTAAATGCCCACAAGAGAAAGCAGGAAAGATCCAAAATTGACACCCTAACATCACAATTAAAAGAACTAGAAAAGCAAGAGCAAACACATTCAAAAGCTAGCAGAAGGCAAGAAATAACTAAAATCAGAGCAGAACTGAAGGAAATAGAGACACAAAAAACCCTTCAAAAAATTAATGAATCCAGGAGCTAGTTTTTTTAAAGGATCAACAAAACTGATAGATCGCTAGCAAGACTAATAAAGAGAAAAGAGAGAAGAATCAAATAGATGCAATAAAAAATGATAAAGGGGATATCACCACCGATCCCACAGAAATACAAACTACCATCAGAGATTACTACAAACACCTCTACGGAGATAAACTAGAAAATCTAGAAATTGATAAATTCCTCGACACATACACTCTCCCAAGACTAAACCAGGAAGAAGTTGAATCTCTGAATAGACCAATAACAGGAGCTGAAATTGTGGCAATAATCAATAGCTTACCAACCAAAAAGAGTCCAGGACCAGATGGATTCACAGCCAAATTCTACCAGAGGTACAAGGAGGAACTGGTACCATTCCTTCTGAAACTATTCCAATCAATAGAAAAAGAGGGAATCCTCTCTAACTCATTTTATGAGGCCAGCATCATCCTGGTACCAAAGCCGGGCAGAGACACAACCAACAAAGAGAATTTTAGACCAATATCCTTGATGAACATTGATGCAAAAATCCTCAATAAAATACTGGCAAACCGAATCCAGCAGCACATCAAAAAGCTTATCCACCATGATCAAGTGGGCTTCATCCCTGGGATGCAAGGCTGGTTCAATATACGCAAATCAATAAATGTAATCCAGCATATAAACAGAACCAAAGACAAAAACCACATGATTATCTCAATAGATGCAGAAAAGACCTTTGACAAAATTCAACAACCCTTCATGCTAAAAACTCTCAATAAATTAGGTATTGATGGGACATATCTCAAAATAATAAGAGCTATCTATGACAAACCCACAGCCAATATCATACTGAATGGGCAAAAACTGGAAGCATTCCCTTTGAAAACTGGCACAACACAGGGATGTCCTCTCTCACCACTCCTATTCAACATAGTGTTGGAAGTTCTGGCCAGGGCAATTAGGCAGGAGAAGGAAATAAAGGGTATTCAATTAGGAAAAGAGGAAGTCAAATTGTCCCTGTTTGCAGACAACATGATTGTATATCTAGAAAACCCCACTGTCTGAGCCCAAAATCTCCTTAAGCTGATAAGCAACTTCAGCAAAGTCTCAGGATACAAAATCAATGTACAAAAATCACAAGCATTCTTATACGCCAATAACAGACAAACAGAGAGCCAAATCATGAGTGAACTCCCATTCACAATTGCTTCAAAGAGAATAAAATACTTAGGAATCCAACTTACAAGGGACGTGAAGGACCTCTTCAAGGAGAAATACAAACCACTGCTCAATAAAATAGAAGAGGATACAAACAAATGGAAGAACATTCCATGCTCATGGGTAGGAAGAATCAATATCGTGAAAATGGCCATACTGCCCAAGGTAATTTATAGATTCAATGCCATCCCCATCAAGCCACCAACGACTTTCTTCACAGAATTGGAAAAAACTACTTTAAAGTTCATATGGAACCAAAAAAGAGCCCGCATCACCAAGTCAATCCAAAGCTGGAGGCATCACACTACCTGACTTCAAACTATACTACAAGTCTACAGTAACCAAAACAGCATGGTAGTGGTACCAAAACAGAGATATAGATCAATGGAACAGAACAGAGCCATCAGAAATAACACCGCATATCTACAACTATCTGATCTTTGACAAACCTGAGAAAAACAAGCAATGGGGAAAGAATTCCCTATTTAATAAATGGTGCTGGGAAAACTGGCTAGCCATATGTAGAAAGCTGAAACTGGATCCCTTCCTTACACCTTATACAAAAATTAATTCAAGATGGATTAAAGACTTAAACGTTAGACCTAAAACTATAAAAACCCTAGAAGAAAACATAGGCATTACCATTCAGGACATAGGCATGGGCAAGGACTTCATGTCTAAAACACCAAAAGAAATGGCAACAAAAGCCAAAATTGACAAATGGGATCTAATTAAAGTAAAGAGCTTCTGCACAGCAAAAGAAACTACCATCAGAGTGAATGGGCAACCTACAAAATGGGAGAAAATTTTCACAACCTAGTCATCTGACAAAGGCTAATATCCAGAATCTACAATGAACTTAAACAAATTTACAAGAAAAAAACAAACAACCCCATCAAAAAGTGGGCAAAGGACATGAACAGACACTTCTCAAAAGAAGACATTTATGCAGCCAAAAGACACATGAAAAAATGCTCATCATCACTGGCTATCAGAGACATGCAAATCAAAACCACAATGAGATGCCATCTCACACCAGTTAGAATGGCAATCATTAAAAAGTCAGGAAACAACAGGTGCTGGAGAGGATGTGGAGAAATAGGAACACTTTTACACTGTTGGTGGGACTGTAAACTAGTTCAACCATTGTGGAAGACAGTGTGGCGATTCCTCAGGGATCTAGAACTAGAAATACCATTTGACCCAGCCATCCCATTACTGGGTATATACCCAAAGGACTATAAATCATGCTGCTATAAAGACACATGCACACGTATGTTCATTGCAGCACTATTCACAATAGCAAAGACTTGGAACCAACCCAAATGTCCAACAATGATAGACTGGATTAAGAAATGTGGCACATATACACCATGGAATACTATGCAGCCATAAAAAATGATAAGTTCATGTCCTTTGAGGGACATGGATGAAATTGGAAATCATCATTCTCAGTAAACTATCGCAAGGACAAAAAACCAAACACCGCATGTTCTCACTCATAGATGGGAATTGAACAATGAGAACACATGGACACAGGAAGGGGAACATCACACTCTGGGGACTGTTGTGGGGTGGGGGGAGGGGTGAGGGATAGCATTAGGAGATATACCTAATGGTAAATGACGAGTTAATGGGTGCAGCACACCAGCATGGCACATGTATACATATGTAACTAACTGGCACATTGTGCACATGTACCCTAAAACTTAAAGTATAATAATAATAATTTTTTAAAAAAAGACCTTACAAAGGGTCCCCAGTGTGCCCTCAGCCCTCATTGCAATCTGTGGGGCCTGGCATGGTCTACAGCCATCCTTGCTTCTCTGACCTCATCTCCTGGGACTCTCCTCTGGCTCCCTTGACTCCAGCACTGGTCTTCTCTCACCTGACAGGCCCACGCCCCTGCCTCTAAACTTCACACTCGCTACTTTTTTCTGACTGTAGTGCTCTTATCCCAGACACATACAAGGCCCTGCTCCTTACTTCCTCCGATGTTACTCCAATGACACTTTTTAATTGACTCCTATCCTACCCTCCCAATCCAGAAATGCATCTCACTGAAAGTGACCCAATAGTCCCACAGATAGTTTATTTTATTTTTTGATAAACATAGAAGTTGACCCTCTGGTCTTAAAGCTTGAAACTTATATTTATTTTATCTGAGTTCCTCCGGAAACAACCTTCATGCCTCTCAAGAAAAGGATCAAGGAACTGGAACTCACCAGATCATCACATCCAGATAATGGGATGCCACCTCTCATTCATTATGATTGTTTTTTTGCTCCTCCGGAGTTCCTGTCTTCTTACACGTTGTTACATTTCTTTCCTGATATATAAACCCTTAGTTTTGGTCAGTCAGGGAGATGGATTTTGAGACTGAGCTCCCATCTTCTCAGCTGCAGCACCCAATTAAAGCCTTCTTCCTTGGCAACACTCATCATCTCAGTGATTGGCTTTCTGTGCGGTGAGCAGCAGAGCCTAGACCGAGCACCTGGTGTTTCAGTAACAATACCTCCTCTACCATGATGTGTACGTCCTCTCCTCCCTGCATTATTTTTCTCCTTGGAGATGATCATTGTCTAACTTTATTTTTTTTTACTAATTTGTGATTATTTACCCTCAACTTCCTCATTAGAATACAAGTGCAACAGGGTAGAATTTGTTGTTACTGTTTTGTTTGAAGCTTTTTTTGTTGTTTATTTTGATATCTCCAGAGTCTGGAAAAGCGCTTAATACATGACAGGTCTGTACTAAATATTTGTTGAATAAATGAATCAATGATATTGAGTGTATTAGTTTCCCTTTGCTGCTGTAACAACTTACAAAAAACAGTGACTTAAAAACAGCACACAGTTATTTTCTTATAGTCATGGAGGCCAGATTGCAAAATCAGCTTTACTAAGGTAAAGTCAAGGTGTCTGTTGGGCTGGTTTTTTCTGGAAGCTCTGAGGAAAGTATCTGTTTGGTTGCCTTTTTCAGCTTCTAGTGCCTGCCTGAATCCCTTGGCAGCCAAGGAATTCCATCCTCAAAGCACGTCACTCCAAACGCTGCCACCATCACGTCTCTTTCTGATCTTTGACTCCTCATGCCACCCTCTTCTAAGGATCCTTGTAATCACACTGGGCCCCATAGCTAATCCAGGATACTCTTCCTTTCTTGAGATTCTTAATCACATTTGCAAGGTCCCTTTTGCCCTACAAGTTGACATTCACAGGTTCCAGGGATTAGGATGTGGACATAAGGGGATCGTTATCGAGCCAACCACAGTGGGGAAACTCCTTTATAGTTCAGATGTGCTAATTTTAAAAAAATTATAAATGACCACTGATTTTATTGAACACTTCTGTATCTATTGAGATAAAATTTATATATTTGTTCTGCAATGTCTTAAAAAGCTTTATTAGAAAAAACAAAGCTTACTATTTTAACTGTTTCTAAATATATAGTTCAGTAGTGTTAAGTATGTTCACCTTGTTGTACAACCAATCTTCAGAACTGTTTCATCTTCCAAAATTGAAACTCTATGTCCTTAAAAGAAGAACTGCCCATTTCCCCTCCCCTTACACCCGGCAACCACCAGTGTAATTTCTTATGTGGTAAACGACATTAGAGGATTCTTCTCTTGAACCAGATTTTCATTTATAGGGATAAAATGCTACTTAAGTATTATCATTTTTAATATACTATTGAATTCAATTTGAAAATATTTTAATTAGGATTTTTTTCTTTTTATTATACTTTAAGTTTTAGGGTACATGTGCACAATGTGCAGGTTAGTTACATATGTATACATGTGCCATGTTGGTGTGCTGCACCCATTAACTCATCATTTAACATTAGGTATATCTCCTAATGCTATTCCCCCGATTTTTTTCATTTATATTCTAGTAGGTCATATGGTCTTTTCGTTTACTGTCCTTGTCAGTGTTATTCTATCCTTACAAAGCAAGATTTATCCTCACTCAATGAGATAGGTAATTTTTTCATCTTCTTTGAAAAAGTTTATATAAAATAGAAATTATTTACATCTTGATGAGATAAAATGTCTTTATTATTATGTTATCCAGATTCTTTGTTTCTTCTTGTCAAATTTTTGCCATTTTTATTAAAGTATCCATTTAATCTAATTTTAAAATATTGTCATAAAGTTTTTAACGTATCCCGTTATACGTTTTGAAATCTTAAAGTATCTCTGCTCTTAAAATTTCTAATGTTGTATTTTTTCTTATTTTGTTTTTCTCAGTCTTCTTAGAATGTTGCCTATTTTATTAATTTTCCTTCAATAATCAGTTTTGATTTTGTTAATCTCTATTTTTTCTTCTTTTTAGTAATTTCTGCTCTTAAAATTTTAGAATTAAGTTTATTTTCTACTTTTTAAAGTTTATGTTGGCCAGGCATAGTGGCTCACACTCGTAATAATCCCAGCACTTTGGAAGGCTAAGGTGGGTGGATTGCTTGAGTCCAAGAGCTCAAGACCAGCCTGGGCAACACAGCAAAACTGCATCTCTACAAAACTAAAAAAATTTAACTGGGCATGGTGGTGTGCGCCTGTAGTCCTAGCTACTCAGGAGGTTGAGGTGGGAGAAGCCTGGGGAGGTTGAGGCTGCAGGGAACCAAACTTACGCCACTGCACTCCAACCTGGGCAATCAGAGTGAGACCCTGTCTCCAAAAAAAAAAAAAAACCACAAAACTTAAGTTTATGCTGTTGTTCTTTTTCTAGTGCCTTTAGCTGAATGGTTTTCTTCATTTTAAAAACTATTTAAATACATTTATTTAAGGCTACATATAATGTTTTTGAGATATTTATTTAAGGCTACAAATTAACCTCTAAATACCACCTTATCTGCCGTGTACAGGTTTTGATATATGGTATATTTCCATTTTTTTCTATTGTTTTAAATGTATATCATAATTTCTTTCTTGAGCAGGAATTAGTATTACTTATGAGTGTATTTTTAATCATAAGACTTTTCTTATGCCTTAAAAAACCTTATTTTTACTTTTAATTTTATTGTGGTCAGAAGTTATGATGTCTTTTTTTTTTTAATTTCTGTGACAACAAGCATACTAAATTTTTAAGATAACGGAGTTGTGCTAACAGAACTTCCAAGGCTGGCTGCAGAATTCTGTGAAAGTTCAATCCTCAAAGCAATTCCCAGTTCCCCACAATTCCACCAATAGGAAGAGGGCTGCGCAATCTCTACAGCCCCTAGGAAGACCTTACTCTCCAATGTGCATTCCAAAATTGCCATGTGGTAAAATGGACAAGAAAATCTACTGAAAGAAAGAATCAGGGCTCTCAGAGCAGCTAAGAGGAGCTTACTCCATTTCCAGAATATATGGTCCTCACTATTCCTGCTGAGCAGTATCTGATATGTGCTGTAAACAAGTGGTTACTATTTCCTGTTCTCCCCTCTGCCAAATACAAGGCTTTATTAGGGTTAACTTGTTCCTTCTCCATTTCTATGTCTTAGGTATGTAGTGGACAGATGGCTTATGCTTTACTATAGGAGACATTTGTGAGGAGCAACATTTGGACTTGACAGAGAGTCCAGGTGGTCACCTGAGATCATGGCGTTGGAGCTGAAGGAAGCTGTGGGCCTCATTTGTGCAGTGAGGGCTGATGTGTTGTGTATGTGTGGAAGGAGGGTGAGTGTGAATGCCAAGCGGCCAAAGGGGTGGCATCTGGTAGATATTGCTGCAGCTATTCAACGGCATCCACACCCACTTTCTTGCTTGCTAACCCAACCTTATTGTATTCATTTGACAGGAGAGATCCCCTTATGTCAGGGGAGAAAGGCCCGGTCATTGGCTAGGGAAGAACATGTGATCAATTTGGCCTATGAGGTGGAAGCAGAAACCTGTGCCGAGGATTCTGGGAAACATTTTTCGTTTTTGTTGTTGTTTTGTTTGTTTTTTTAAGAGAGTCTCGCTCCGTTGCCAGGCTGGCGTGCAGTGGCACGATCTCAGCTCACTGCAACCTCCGCCTCCGGGAAACTTTTTCTACCTGAAATGTGGGAAATGTATGAGAAGAAGGTTTTGTTCCCTCCCACCCGTTTCCTGCTTTCAAGCACCATGGTGTTGTAAGGAGACACCTAGAGCTACAGCAGCTCTCATGCGACTGTGAAGGGAGGCCACAGACCCAGAGAGATGTGGACTCGGCTCCTGACATCACTGACCACTTTACTAACCTGGAACCACCTACCTTCAGATTATTTTTATGTGGACAAAAATATCTATTTAAGCACTGTTTTGAGGTATTATGTAATTAACAGCTGAAAATATTCCAACACACCATTCCAGTTGGTGAGGAAGGTGGTGAGGGAGACCGCAGTTATTACCAGGCTTGAAATGGCTGGACCCGGAGCCCAAACAAAAATAGTGTTTTCCAAACCTACAGGCTGCTAAAGGCAGCCTATTGTTGGAGGATGTAAATATGTTCATACAGTACACTGCATATAAGGGGAATCTGACTTCCACTACTTCTAGGCCCTTGGGGAATCCTTGCCAGTTACCATGACATTTCATGTAAAAAGCAGCAATGCTTGAACTTGCAGGTAGCTTTGTGTCTGGGAGTTACAGTCCTTCTTGTAGAGCATCACAAAATATTAAAACTTTAGAATAACGAATCTCAAGTTTTGTGCTAAATTAAATGCCAATATACCGTATTTCTGTATAAACATGAAAATATAAGAAAATTCAAAGAAAAATGAGTTAGAAATATACATTCGGAAACAAAAATGTTTTTCATTAAATGTGATCCTTTCCCTCTCCCTACAAATGGGGAAACACCACTGTAATGGTTAATTTTGTGTGTTGACTTGGCGAGGACTAGAATGCCCAGCTGTTTGGCCAAACACCAGTCAAGGTATTATTATTTATTCATTTAAAATCTTTATATCATTCCTTCAATATTTCTTTTTAATAATTTCAACTTTTATTTTAGATTCAGGGGTACATGAGCAGGTTTGTTACGTGGGTACATTGCTTGATGTTGAGGTTTGGGCCATGAATTATCCTGTCACCCGGAGAGTGAGCATAGTACCCAACAGTTAGTTTTTCAACCCTTGCCCCTGTCTAGTCGTTCCCAGTGTGTGTTGTTGCCACGAAGTAAAGGTATATTTTAGGTGTGATTAATTCTTATAATCAGTAGACTTTAAGTAAAGCAGATTACCCTCCATCATACAGGTGTGCCTCTTTCAATTAGTTGAAAGCCTTAAGAGCAAAGATTGCAAACAAAGCCTGTTTCTCAAAGAAGAAAGAATTCTCCTCAAGACTTCCACACAGAAACCCAGTTGAGTTTCCAAACTACTGCCCTGCAGAATTTATATGCAAGACTGCAACTTTAACTCTGTCCTGAGTCTCCAGCCTGCTGGCCTGCCCTAGAGATTTTGGACTTGTCAGCCCCCACAATCATGTAAGCCAATTCCTTAAAATCAATCAAGCAATCTCTCAGAGTTTTAAGAAAGAATTGATGTCACAGCTTTCAGTCCAAATTCTGCAGGGCAATAGACTAACTGAGTCTACTGAGCAGCTTTGCCATGTTGCAGTCTTGAGGAAACTTCCTTCTTTTTTGAGAAATCTCTCTTTGCTCTTAGGCCTGCCACTGATTGAATGAGGCCCACCCATTGCTCTCCACTGCTTTACTTAGAGTCAACTGATTGTAAACACACACACACACACATGCATACACCCTATTCATTCTCATTCTCTGGAGAACAGTAACTAATACAACCTTTTATTCCACAATTTTATTTGCAAAACAACTAAATCCAATTTAATGGAAGCTACAGATTACAGATTTTTAGTGCCTAAAGAAATGTATAGCTGTGTGAAAGGGAAAGCGCTGTTCATGTAATTTAAGATATAATTGGCCACACTTCTCCTCTGACACAGTGTTACCTCAGGTAATTATTATACTAAAATCATTATATCAAATGCATATTACATGTTGACAAAACTTTCAACTGACTTTAATGAGGGAAATGGATGAAAGCTAAATAAAATGATCTGAAAGATTATTAAAACAACAACAACAGCAGAAAGCTTTCTAAAGAAGGAAGTATAGGAGAGAGAGAGAGTGTGTGTGTGGTGTGTGTGTGTGCTCAATTATAAATAAAAAAAGACATGAAAGTGAAGAAACATGGTGAAAGCCACAGCGCTGGAGTTGGAGTCATTCTAACAGACAGATCCAGAACCAAGAAAGAACGGAGGTGGGAACCTTCAAACAGCCTGGAGAAACAGCTAAGATGAAAGAGGAGAGACCCAAGAAAGCAAACCTGAGCAGAGAGGAGGAAGCAAGGAGATTAGAGGGCACAGAGATCAGAGGGGAGGGCCTCCAAGAGGATCACGATTTGGTGCACTAAGGTGAGAGAATATAAGATGTTACATGCAATAGACATTGTCTGTGCCTTAAGACGTGAGAAAAACATTAGAAGAGCTGAGAGACAGCGGGGAGTCTTGTCTGTTTTCGCCCGAGTCCCCTGGGAGTGCCAGCCTTCTGTTTCTGCTCCAAGGGTATTTTCATATATTTACACTCAGTGCACCATCTGTTATTTTCCTGCCTGGCTCATTATAAAATCCCACTACATGCTAGAGCAACTGAAATTTCTGTACCTTTCCCAGGAAAGACTCTTCCTGGGAATGAAAATTGTGGATGTCCTGGAAGTTAGCAGTGCGGGCCATGGTTCTCTCTGGCCCACTCTTTCTGACCCTGGGTCACGCCGCGTGGCTGCGACCCCACATCTCCAGCTGCTGGCCGCTGGCATGGGGCCGCTGGCTTCTGCCTGGCCTGATTAAGGAGGGGCAGTTTGGGAGTGATTTATAAACCAATGGTACAGGGAAAACTAGAGGAGTGTGAGAAGGGAAAAGCGGATGTGGACATAGCATAAACATCTAATTATATCAAAACAGCTGGAATATGCAGTGAAGATTCCCACCTCACTATACTATGTAACTGTAGGGAAATTAAACCTGAACTTTGCTTTCTAAATAAATGCTTAAAGAGTCTCCGAACCAATTATCCAGTCAGTTCAAAGGCAAATGTTTACATTCAAATGATAAACTCACATAGAAGGAAGAGAGAGGGAGGGAGGAAAGGGATTAATACACTGATGTTGACAAATCTCCAAATTAGAGTGTAAGTGAAGCTTCTCTACAGATCTCCTTTACATTAAGAGTCTTATGTTTGTTAGGGCTGTAAAAAGGAAGCACACAAGTCATAATAAACTAAGGGCTTGTAACCTGAAGGCATTTGTTACAATTCAAAGGACCTGAAGCAGTGAATTCAAGAACCTGCCATACAGTCAGAATATATGGCACGTGGGGCAGCAGCCCTGGAGCCTCCTTTTGGTTCTCGTCTGTCAGCATGGTGCTCCATTGTCAAAGGTTTCCATCGAATGGCAACATGGTGCTTTCTGATGAGGATGGAGGCAGCATGGCGCTCCAAATCTTTAGTCAAAAATACTTAGTTCTACTTATAAGAGGGAGTAAGCTAAGGGGATGCAGGCACACAGAGTGGTATAAAGGACGCTGGAGGCTCAGAGAGGGGCAGGGGTCAGGGATGAAACATTACCTATTGGGTACAATGTACATTTTTCAGGTGATAGGCACACTAAAAGCCCAGACTTTGGCCGGGTGCGGTGGCTCACGCCTGTAATCCCAGCACTTTGGGAGGTTGAGGTGGGCGGATCACGAGGTCAAGAGATGGAGACCAACCTGGCCAACGTGGTGAAACCCCGTCTCTACTAAAAACACAAAAATTAGGTGGGCATGGGCACGCCTGTACTCCCAGCTACTCGGGAGGCTGAGACAGAAGAATCGCTTAAACCCAGGAGGCGGAGGTTGCAGTGAGCCGAGATTGCGCCATTGCACTCCAGCCTGGCGACAGAGGGAGAATCTGTCTGAAAAACAACAACAACAAAAAACAAAGCCCAGACTTCGCCACTACACAATTCATCCATTTAACCAAAACCCACTTGTACCCCCTAAATCTACTGAAATAAATAAACAAAATGAAAAGGAAAACAAGCGTTGGCAAGGATGGGGAGAAACCGAAATTCTCATACATTGATGGTAGGAGTGTAATGTGGTGCAGCAGTTTTTCAAAACAGGAAACAATCTTTTTTTTTGTTTTTTGAAACAGGTATTCAAACATATACTTATATTCCAAAATTCATCACAGCATTATTCATAATAGCGAAAAGGTGTAAACAACCTAGTGGCCATCAAAAGATGACTCTATAAACACAATGTATATGCTTACTACGGATTATTATTCAGCCATAAAAAAGAATAAAGTTCTGACATGTGCTACAACATGGATGAACCCTGAAATCATTATGCTGAGTGCAATGAGTGAGACACAAAAGGACAAATACTTTATTATTTATATGAAATAACTAGTATAGGCAAATTCATAGTGATAAAAAGTAGATTAGAAGTTACCAGTATTGGCAGAGGGGAGAATGGAGAGTTATTGCTTAATAGTTACTGAGTTTGTATTTGGCATGATGAAAAGGTTTTGGAAATAGATAGTAGTGATAGTTGTACAACATTATGAATATAATTAATGCCACTGAATTATACACTTAAAGTCATTTTAAAAGGTAAATTTAATGATATATATATATATATATATATATAATATATGCAGAATAAAAACAAGCACCACCAACAAAAATATTTAGTCCTGATCCAGAGGAATTGCTGTTAAAATCTGCCTCAATTGCTCAATTCATATCACCTCACTTCACTCCTGGGAAGATAACTAAGAAGGGAATATGATAGCTCCTTAGATATCACTAAGGAGAATACATTATCTAAATTGCCAAATTTATATAATACATAATGCACAGATTTATATACAAATATATCATATAAATATATAAATGTAAATCTCAAATATAAATGCAAAAAAATCTCAAAGGATTCTTTTGAGATTTTTGTCCTGTGTCTAATCAAGTAAGAAACATAGATCTCAGAGAACCACAACTGGGGGTAAACATTTCATCCTTGAAAGATTAGACAAACTCTGGAGCATAGTACAAAGAGATGCCATTCTCACAAAGTTTGTACAGATTGTCATATTTTGCAATAAATTGTCTTCAGTTCATTTAATTTTCTGGTTTTGATTTGGGGTTATTTTCTCTTAAATAGTAGAAGGAAATGTTAGTCTTTGCAGACAGTCATATCCCTTAAGAGTTATGGCTGTTATTTGATTAGTTTTATCTCTTGTATAGACTTTGGCCTCTATCTTTTTACCACTTTAATATGTAAATGCTTTCCTCTTCCAGTATTCTTTAGTATTTTTTGATGATGAAGACTTCCTAAAGCACTATAAAGGTAGCACATTTTCTTGACTTGAACAGAAAATTAGCTCTTATTACTTTTCCTGCTGCTTAATGACTTAGTTTCGGGTCAACAGAGAGCAATAAGAAATAACTAGCAAACAAAGCTATATATATATATATATCAGTGTCTAATGAATTAGACTGTACTTTTTTTATTATTATACTTTAAGTTCTGGGATACATGTGCAGAATGTGAAGGTTTGTTACACAGGTATATACATGCCATGGTGGTTTGCTGCACCCATCAACCCATCATTTACATTAGGTATTTCTCTTAATGCTATCCCTCCCCAGCCCCCCACCCCCTGACAGGCCCTGGTGTGTGATGTTCCCCTCCCTGTGTCTGTGTGTTCTCATTGTTCAACTCCCACATACTAGTGAGAACATGCGGTATTTGGTTTACTGTTCCTGTATTAGTTTGCTGAGAATGATGGTTTCCAGCTTTATCCATGTCCCTGCAAAGGACATGAACTCATCCTTTTTTATGGCTGCATAGTATTCCATGGTGTATATGTACCACATTTTCTTTATCCAGTCTATCATTGATGGACATTTGGATTAGTTCCAAGTCTTTGCTATTGTGAACAGTGCCACAATAAACATACACGTGCATGTGTCTTTATAGTAGAATGATTTATAATCTTTTAGGTATATACCCAGTAATGGGATTGCTGGATCAAATGGCATTTCTGGTTCTAGATCCTTGAGGAATTGACACACTGTCTTCCACAATGGTTGAACTAATTTACACTCCCACCAACAGTGTAAAAGCATTCCTCTTTCTCCACATCCTCTCCAGCATCTATTGTTTCCTGACCTTTTAATGATCACCATTCTAACTGGCATGAAATGGTATCACATTGTGGTTTTGATTTGCATTTTTCTAATGACCAGTGATCGTGAGCTTTTTTTCACGTTTGTTGGCCGCAAAAATGTCTTCTTTTGAGAAGTGTCTGTTCATATCCTTTGCCCACTTTTTGATGGGGTTGTTTGTTTTTTTCTTGTAAATTTGTTTCTTTGTAGATTCTGGATATTAGCCCTTTGTCAGATGGATAGATTGCAAACACTTTCTCCCATTCTGTAGGTTGCCTGTTCACTTTGATGATGGTTTCTTTTGCTGTGCAGAAGCTCTTAGGTTTAGTTAGATCCCATTTGTCAATTTTGGCTTTTGTTGCCATTGCTTTTGGTGTTTTAGTCATGAAGTCTTTGCCCGTGCCTAAGTCCTGAATGGTATTGTCTAGGTTTTCTTCTAGGGTTTTTATGGTTTTAGGTCTTACATTTAAGTCTTTAATCCATCTTGAGTTAATTTTTGTATAAGGTGTAAGGAAGGGGTCTAGTTTCAGTTTTCTGCATATGGCTAGCCAGTTTTCCTAACACCATTTATTAAATACGGAATCCTTTCCCCATTGTTGTTTTTGTCAGGTTTGTCAAAGATCAGATGGTTGTAGATGTGTGGTGTTGTTTCTGAGGGCTCTGTTCTGTTCCATTGGTCTATACATCTGTTTTGGTACCAGTACCGTGCTGTTTTGGTTACTGTAGCCTTGTGGTATAGTTTGAAGTCAGGTAGTATGATGCCTCCAGCTTTGTTCTTTTTGCTTAGGATTGTCATGGCTATACAGGTTCTTTTTCGGTTCCATATGAAATTTAAAGTAGTTTTTTCTAACTCTGTGAAAAAAGTCAATGTTAACTTGATGGGGATAGCATTGAATCTATAAATTACTTTGGGCAATATGGCCATTTTTACAATATTGATTCTTCCTAACCATGAGCATGTAATGTTTTTCCATTTGTTTGTGTCCTCTCTTATTTCCTTGAGGAGTGGTTTGTAGTTCTCCTTGAAGAGGTCCTTCACATCCCTTGTAAGTTGTATTCCTAGGTGTTTTATTCTCTTTGTAGCAGTTGTGAAAGGGAATTCACTCATGATTTGGTTCTGTGTTTGTCCATTATAGGTGTATAGGAATGCTTCTGATTTTTGCACATTCATTTTGTATCCTGAGATTTTGCTGAAGTTGCTTATCAGCTTAAGGAGATTTTAGGCTGAGACAATGGGGTTTTGTAAATATACAATCATGTCATCTGCAAACAGAGACAATTTGACTTCCTGTCTTCCTATTTGAATACCCTTAATTTCTTGATCTTGCCTGACTGTCCTGGCCAGAACTTCCAATACTATGTTCAATAGGAGGGGTGAGAGAGGGCATCCTTGTTTTCTGCTGGTTTTCAAAGGGAATGCTTCCAGCTTTTGCCTATTCAGTATGATATTGGCTGTGGGTTTGTCATAAATAGCTCTTATTATTTTGAGATACATTCCATCAATACCTATTTTATTGATAGTTTTTAGCATGAAGGGGTGTTAAATTTTATTGAAGGCCTTTTCTGCATCTATTGAGATAATGATGTGGTTTTTGTTTTTGGTTCTGTTTATATGATGGATTACATTGATTCATTTGCATATGTTGAACCAGCCTTGCATCCCAGGGATGAAGCCAGCTTGATCGTGGTAGATAAGCTTTTTGATGTGCTGCTGGATTCGGTTTGCCAGTACTTTAGTGAGGATTTTCGTATCGAGGTTCATCAGGGATACTGGCCTAAAATTCTCTTGCCTAAAATTCTCTTTTTTTCTGTGTGTCTCTGCCAGGCTTTGGTATCAGGATGATGCTGGCCTCATAAAATGAGTTGGGGAGAATTCCCTCTTTCTATTGTTTGGAATAGTTTTAGAAGGAATGGTACCAGCTCCTCTTTGTACCTCTGGTAGAATTCGGCTGTGAATTTGTCTGGTCCTGGGGTTTTTTTGTTGGTAGGCTATGAATTATTGCCTCAATTTCAGAACCCATTATTGGTCTATTCAGGGATTCGACTTCTCCCTGGTTTAGTCTCGGGAGGGTGTATGTGTCCAGGAATTTATATATTTCTTCTAGATTTTCTAATTTATTTGCGTAGAGGTGTTTATAGTATTCTCTGATGGTAGTCTGTGGGATCAGTGGTGATAACCCCTTTACCATTTTTTATTGTGTCTATTTGATTCTTCTCTCTTTTCTTCATTAGTCTGGCTAGCAGTCTATTTTGTTAATCTTTTCAGAAAACCAGCTCCTGGATTCATTGATTTTTTTGAAGGGTTTTTCGTGTCTCTATCTCCTTCAGTTCTGCTCTGATCTTAGTTATTTCTTGTCTTCTACTAGCTTTTGTTTCCTCTTGCTTCTCTAGTTCTTTTAATTGTGATGTTAGGGTGTCAATTTTAAATCTTTCTCACTTTCTCCTGTGGGCATTTAGTGCTATAAATTTCCCTTTAAACAGTGCTTTAGCTGTGTCCCAGAGATCCTGGTACATTGTGTCTTTGTTCTCATTGGTTTCAAAGAACTTATTTATATCTGCCTTAATTTTGTTATTTACCCAGTAGTCATTCAGGAGCAGGTTGTTCAGTTTCCACGTAGTTGTGGGGTTTTGAGTGAGTTTCTTAATCCTGAGTACTAATTGGATTGCACTGTGGTCTGAAAGACTGTTTGTTATGATTTCCATTCTTTTGCATTTGCTGAGGAGTGTTTTACTTCCAATTATGTGGTCAATTTTAGAATAAGTGCAATTTGGTGTTGAGAAGAATGTATATTCTGTTGATTTGGGGTGAAGAGTTCTGTAGATGTCTATTAGGTCTGCTTGGTCCAGAGCTGAGTTCAAGTCCTGAATATCCTTTTTAATTTTCTGTCTCGTTGATCTAATATTGACAGTGGGGTGTTAAAATCTCCCACTATTATTGTGTGGGAGTATAAGTCTGTTTGTAGGTCTCTAATAACTTGCTTTATGAATCTGGGCACTCCTATATTGGGTGCATATATATTTAGGATAGTTAGCTCTTCCTGTTGCATTGATCCCTTTACTATTATGTAATGCCCTTCTTTGGAATTAGACTATATTTTTAACAGACAGATGGCATTGTGAATCCTAATGCTTGTTAGGTTGCCTTCTGTGAGCTATTCTAAAGGATAAAGAACTAAAGGAAGCACTCCAAGATCATTTCTACACTTTCCAGCAGCATCAGCAGGAGTGTGAAATAATTCTTCCTTTCAGTCTGCTTAACTTGTACTTGGTTGGTCTATTATGCTATATAAAGATGACCAAAAAAAGCATACTTTGAGTGTGGTGCCTGTCACATCCCAGACTGGGAAAGGGTACTAGACTGTTTGCTAAAGGATATGATTTTGCTGTTTGTCTTAATTAACAGTTGGAAGATTGCAAGGCATGAAATGGGATGACAGGGAATTAATGCATGTTCACCTACAGCCAACAGTATTCTACATTTAGTTATTTTCTCTTCCTTTGAACCTGCCACAGTCATGTTAGAAAAACAACGATCTGATTTCAGAATATGAGGGAAAATGTATGAACCAGAAATGTAGTGCCTTATGTAAGCACAAAGATCTTTCTATGAACCACCATTTTTCACTCTCTCCATTTTCTTTTCATCTACAGCCACAGTTTAACTGTGTAATTACTCAGAGTTTATTTTTAAAATAAGCAAGTACTCCCTCTTTGAAAAACCATAAGCTGCTGCAGAAATATAGATAATACTGTTATTTTGGCTATAATTATTACAGGGGTTGAGATTTCTGTGTAGAATCACACTAGAGTCTGTGACATCGAAAAGGTTAGTGGAACCATGATAACAAGACAAGAAATTAGGTGGAATTGCAAAAAGTTTGAATCAATATTCAAATAGCATTTATTGAGCACCTCTTTTTTTTTTTATTTTTGAGATAGAGTCTTGCTCTTGCTTTGTTTCCCAGGCTAGTGTGCAGTGGTGCGATTTCGGCTCACTGCAACCTCCACCTGCTGGACTCAAGTGATCCTCCCATCTCAGCCTCCCTGGTAGGTGGTATTATAGGCACATGTCAACATGCCTGGCTAAATTTTTTGCATTTTTAGTAGAGACGGGGTTTCACCATGTTGGCTAGGCTGGTCTGGAACTCCTGGGCTCAAGTGATCCACTCATCTCGGCCTCCCAAAATGCTGGGACTATAGGCATGAGCCACCACGCCCAGCCTTGAGCACCTCTTCTATGGCACAACTGTATTGACATTCATTTCTAAGGAGGGTTACCAGATTAGCCAAAAACAAAACAAATGAAGCAAAATAAGCAAACCGACTAAAAACACAAGAGGACACCCAGTTAAATAGTAATTTGAATTTCAGATTAACAGTGTATCATTTTTTGATATAAGTATGTCACAAATATTGCATAGACATACTGAAAAATGATTTGCTGTTTACCTGAGATTCATATTAAATTGGGCATCGTGTATGCTGTCTGGCAATTCTATTTAAAAGATAAAAAGCCTGAATCCCTGAGCTTGAGATGCTCCCTGTAGCAAGGAGGTCATTATGTCAATGCTGCTGGTCAGAGCTGCATGGAGTAGAGCAACACACTTTGTGAGCACAGTGGAAGGTGTCAGCTACCACACTTAGCCAATCCTCTTTCTTTCTCTCACTGGAAACGTGTCCATAGGCTGCTCAAAAATATTTAGCTGGTGCTGAGATTCTTCAATTCTACCTAAGACTGATTCCCTCTCACCCAAATCTACTCTTACCAAGATAAGGTTCTCAAAAAATGGCACATAATTGGAAGTGAATAAATCAGTTTAATCTGAATAAGATTATGGGATTATGGGAATTCTCCTTCCCTGGGTATGTGTAACTAGGAAGCTTCTGAAGTCATATAATGCTAGATTCTGATTTTAACCAACACATAGCACAAAAGAAAAACTCCTAACTTGACTTGGAAGTTGTGTCTAGTCATGTGTTTTGCTTCTTACCTTTCAGAAACGGATGGTATCATTGTAACTGCATGTCTATATTTCCTCCTGCAAACACCCCCAAGCAGTAGCAGATTCCTTATCCAAATGCTGAATTTCTGCCTTGTACTCAGGATTGCCAGATGGTTGCCCCTCAGACAGAGAGGTGGAAGTAGCACATTACTGGAGTTAGAATCTCTAAACTCCAGCCCTTATCTCTGCCTAATTTAGTACCTGGCTTGGTTCTTAGTGTGCATTGGCAATCTGGTTGTTTCTTCTGCTGGTGTCACTTAGGATCATTCATGTGGTGATGTCACTGGATGACTCAATTGAAGCTGGAGGTTCCAGGATGGACTTGCTCACGTCTGGCTTTTGGCTGCCAGCTAAGCTACCACATGTTTTCTCCACATGACCTCTCATTCTCCAATAGGGTAGATGGGCCATCTTCATAGCAGAGTGGTTTGATTTCAGACAAAAGCTACAAAAGCTCTTCAATGCCTAGGCTTAGAACTGGCAAGATGTCACATCTGTTACATTCTGTCGGCCTAAGGCCAGCCAGGATTCAATGCGGGATGCATTTAGGGAGATGTCTTCCACTCAAGGCCATTTTGTAACAATCTACAGATACCTAAATTGAGAGACAGAGTGCTTAAATAACTTGCCTTAGATCATACTATTTTTAAGTGGTAGAAAGATGTTTTAAATCCATATAGGTCTTTCACTGTTACTTCAGGCCACAGGTTATTTCAATAAGGTTGCTATTTATCCAATATAACTTCCTAGAAGGATAACAATTATTTAGGAGCATAAGTTCTTGTATTTTTGTTTTTAAAATCACCTTATAATTATTCTTGGAATTCCCATTTATTTAAAAAGCTACTATGAAGAATTTTAAGCAATTATAATTAATACCTAATCTTCTACACTTCGGTTTAAATGCCAAAAAAATAGGAAAACATGGATTCACACTTATATCTTTATTTTTGCCTTTATAGAAATAAAGGATGAGTTAAATGATACAGAATAAATTGCATCAATTCATTCCATCTAGAACAAGGTGAACGGGAGGGGAGGAAGAATGGTAGACAATCTATCTTTGATTCATAAAAAAAGACTAAGAAAAACTAGTCCATAACTGTAGCTAATTCTAAGAAATGCATTATAAAAATGTTCTTAGCTAGTCTTAAATGGGTTTAGGTGTGCATTTTGAGACTGAAATGCATAATTGGAAATTATTTCTCCAAGCTAACAAAGATTTCATATCCTAGTAAATTAAGTTTTGGACCAGTATGTCTGATCAGACAGATGCAATATCATCTTTTAACATATTAGGAAAAATATTAGGATATTTAATGCAAATGAAAAAAACTGTTCAGATATGTAATGCAAACCAAAAGGAGTATTCATTGATAAGGCTGACTAGGCATTTCTACTTTGAGATACAAATCCAACCTAAAAAATTTAATTTAAAACACTTTATTAAGTGCTTCAAAGTTGACCTAACTTTTCTTTATCAAGTGTTAAAAAAGGAAAACTAGTTTCATTTTTATTAGTCATTGATTATTTATAAATTGCTTCCTTTTTCCAAATGGTATTGCATATTTTTTTTTGTGGTTCTATTTAGATTTGTATACAAGAGAGCAAATCAAAGAAAAAGTTACATTGAAATGGGTTTCAAAGAAACAAGAAAAAGCAGAAAACTTCTAGGGCTATGTGGAATTTTCAAAATTTGTGAGATGTCAAAGTTTGCAGTTTGAGGCAAAGACACAATACCATATTTACCCATTTCTTGGAGATAAGATTCTGATCTTTGGAATTGAAGGAGACAGAGACACAAAAAAAAAAACCCTTCAAAAAATCAGCAAATCCAGGAACTGTTTTGTTTCTGAAAAAAATAATAAAATAGATAGACTGCTAGATAGACTAAAGAAGAAAAGAGAGAAGAATCAATATTCACAATCAGAAATGATAAGGGGTATATCACCACTGGCCCCACAGAAATACAAACAACCATCAGAGACTACTATATACAGCTCTATGCACATAAACTAGAAAACCTGGAAGAAATGGATAAATTCCTGGACACATATACCCTCCCATGACTGAACCAGGAAGAAATTGAATCCCTAAGTAGATCAATAATGAGTTCTGAAATTGAGGAAGTAAGAAATAGCCCATCAACCAAAAAAAGAGCTGAGGACCAAAGGATTTAAAGCGGAATTCTAACAGAGGTACAAACAGGAACTGGTACAATTTCTATTGAAACTATTCCAAACAACTGAAAGGAGGGACTCCTCCCTAACTCATTTATGAGGCCAGACTCATCCTGATATCAAAACCTGGCAGAGATACAACAAAAAAGAAAACTTCACACCAATATCCCTGATAAACATCGATGCAAAAATCCTCAATAAAATACTGGCAAACCAAATCCAGCAGCACATCAAAAAGCTTATCCACCACGATCAAGCTGGCTTCATCCCCAAGATGCAAGGCTGGTTCAACACATGCTAATCAATAAATGTAATTCATCACATAAACAGATCTAAAGACAAAAACTACATGATTATCTCAATAGATGCAGAAAAGATCTTTGATAAAATTCAACATCCCTTCATGTTAAAAACTCTCAATAAACTAGGTATTGAAAGAACATACCTCAAAATAGTAAGAGCCATATATGACAAACCTACAGCCAATATCATACTGAATGGGCAAAAGCTGGAAGCATTCCCTTTGAAAACCAGCACAAGACAAGGATCCCCTCTCTCACCCTTCCTATTCAACAATAGTATTGGAAGTTCTGGCCAGGACAATCAGGCAAGAGAAAGAAATAAAGGGTGGGTATTCAAATAGGAAGAAAGGAAGTCAAATTATCTTTGTTTGCAGATGACATGACCCTATATCTAGAAAACCCCATTGTCTCAGCCCCAAAGCTTCTTTTTTTTTTTTTTTGAGACAGAGTCTTACTCTGTCGCCCAGGCTGGAGTCCAGTGGTGCAATCTTGGCTCACTGCAAGCTCTGCTTCCCAGGTTCACACCATTCTCCTGCCTCAGTCTCCCGAGCAGCTGGGACTACAGGCACCCACCACCATGCCCAGCTAATTTTTTTTTTTTGTATTTTTAGTAGAGACGGGGTTTCACTGTGTTAGCCAGGATGGTCTCGATCTCCTGACCTCGTGATCCACCTGTCTCAGCCTCCCAAAGTGCTGGGATTACAGGCATGAGGGACTGCGCCCGGCCCTCAGCCCCAAAGCTTCTTAAGCTGATAAGCAACTTCAGCAAAGTCTCAGGATACAAAATTAATGTGCAAAAATCACTAGCATTCTTATACACAAACAGCAGGCATGCAGAAAATACAAATCATGAATAAACTCTCATTCACAATTGCTACAAAGAGAGTAAAATACCTAGGAATACAGCTAACAAGGGAAGTGAAGGACCTCTTCAAAGAGAACCACAAACCACCGTTCAAAGAAATCAGAGAGGACACAAACAAATGAAAAAAACATTCCATGCTCATGGATAGGAGGAATCAATATCGCCAAAATGGCCATACTGCCCAAAGCAATTTGTAGATTCAATGCTATTCCTGTAAAACTACCATTGACACTCTTCACAGAAGTAAAAAAAAAAAAAACTATTTTAAAATTCATATAGGACCAAAAAAGAGCCTAAATAGCCAAGGCAATCCTAAGCAAAAAGAATAAAGCTGGAGGCATCACCCTACCTGACTTCAAACTATACTACAGTGCTATAGTAACTTAAACAGCATGGTACTGGTATAAAAATAGACACATAGACCAATGGAAAAGAATAGAGAACCCAGAAATAAGACTACACACCTACAACCATCTGATGTTTGATAAACCTGACAAAAACAAGCAATGAAGAAATAATTCCTATTTAATAAATGGTGCCAGGAGAACTGGCTAGCCACATACAGAAAACTGAAACTGGGCACCATATACAAAAGTCAACTCAAGATGGATTAAAGACTTAAATATAAAGCCCAAAACAATAAAAACCCTAGAAGAAAATGTAGGCAATACTGTTCAGGATATAGGCATGGGCAAAGATTTCATGATGGAAACACCAAAAGCAATGACAACAAAAGCAAAAATTGACAAATTGGGATCTAATTAAAATAAAGAGCTTCTGCACAGCAAAGGAAACTATTATCAGAGAGAACAGACAACCTACAACATGGGAGAAAATTTTCACAATCTATCCATCTGACAAAGGTCTAAATATCTAGCATCTCTAAGGTACTTAAACAAATTTACAAAAAAAAAAAAAAACCCAACCCCATTAAAAGGGGCGCAAAGGACATGAACAGATACTCCTCAAAAGAAGACATACATGCAGCCAACAAACATATGAAAGAAGGCTCAACATCACTGATCATTAGAGAAATGCAAATCAAAACCACAATGAGATACCATCTCTTGCCAGTTAGATGGCAGTTATTAAAAAGTCAAAAAACAACAGTTGCTGGCAAGGTTGTGGAGAAAAAGGAATGCTTTTACACTGTTGGTGGGAGTGTAAATTAGTTCAACCATTGTGGAAGACAGTGTGGCAGTTTCTCAAAGATCTAGAAGCAGAAATACCATTTGACCCAGCAATCCCATTACTGGGTATATACCAAAAGGAATATAAACCATTCTATGGTAAAGATACATGCACGTGTATGTTCATTGCAGCACTATTCACAATAGTAAAGACATGAAATCAATCCAAACGCCTATCAGTGATAGACTGGATAAAGAAAATGTGGTACATATACACCTGGAATTCTATGCAGCCATAAAAAGGAACAAGATCATGTCCTTTGCAGGGATGTGGATGGAGCTGGAAGCTGTTATCCTCAGCAAACTAACGCAGGAACAGAAAACCAAGCACCGCACATTCTCTTGTAAGTGGGAGCTGAACAATGAGGACACATGGACACCTGGGAGGGAATGACCTACACTGTGGCCTGTTGTGGGGGACAGTGGAAGGGAGCCTATCAGGAAGAATAGCTAATGGATGCTGGGCTTAATACTTAGGTGACAGGTTGATCTGTGCAGCAAATCACCATGGCACATGTTTACCTATTAACAAGCCTGCACATCCTGCACATGTACCCTGAAACTTAAAATAAAAATTGATGAAAAATAAAATAAAATAAAACCTTTCAGTTGAAAGACAAAAAAAGGATTGTTCCTGCTCTTAGGATAAATATAGGAAAATTCAAGGGCTATGTGTTCCCATTACAGAATTATTATTTGACAGCTTTGAACTTGTCATTAACTTTCCATTAACTCAGTTTCTATTCTGTATAATGGGTATAATTACATGAGGTTGGCTTAAGGATAATTTTTTTTTGATCTTCCGTAGATTTAAAATAGCCATAAGTGACTGGGGATAAAAAATACACACCTCCTCATGGCACTACTCTGGCCTTAGCGTGCATCAGGCTGTACTAGGCAGTCATGAGTGGAGGTCAGATGGGAGAGAGGCAGTGGTGCTGGCTCTCCTTAGACTAGGAAGGAGGCACCATGAACAGAGCAGGGCGACTGGGGCCATATGTCCCCTCTACTGTCTGTGATTCTGCTCCTTTATGGAAAATCCCAGAAACTTCCAGTCTATGACACATCTTATGACTGGGACAGAGATGCTTTCTCATAATAGTGACAAGATAAGCTGAACCTCATTTTTTTTTTTCTAGAAAGCATTGATTCTGCCTTTCTGTACTATTACAGAAAACTTGGTCAAATTTGCAAATACCTACACTCAGTGAAAGAACTATGCTCACAGATTTTGAAGGGAACTGGTATGGGTGCTTCAACACATAAAGAATATCATGAAAACACTAGATATATTTAAACTAGACATTATTCATTCATTTAATAAATGTTTATCAAAAAATAATTGTGTTTTGAGTACTGTACTTGACATTGGAGATTTAGTCATGAGCAAGATAAGACATGGTCTCTATGCTCAGGGAACTTGTATATGAGATGCCGCTAGCTTCAAAACAAGAAATTTAATCATTGCCAAAATCAGCTGAATGAAAACCATCACCAGGATCCAGAGAACAATAGTCTTCACATGATATGATTCTGAAGTAATGAATAATAATAATAATAAATGCAGCAGTCTACATACAGAGAATGCCTTGTTTGATGTAACAGGGACATGTACTATCGTTTATTACAGCCTCCATGCAAATAGTTTTTGCTAAAATATTTCAAGGGGCCAGGTTTACGATTAAAATAGAAAAGCAGCTGTATTTATTTGCATATATTTGCATGAACACTATACATTTTTCACTGGAAATTAGAATTTTAAAAAGTTATCTCAAAAATGCAAGTTTTGAAGTTTTCTTCTCTCAATGCCTTCTTACAATCCTATTCATGGTTTCCCAAGTACTCAAACCAGAGGTTTAGAATACTTATTTAAAAGCTTTTCTTCACTAACCACATTAAAAAAATACAACATTTGCCTTTTTAATTGTGATAGATATGCAATCCTGCTGAAATCTGAGCCCAGAAACAGTGATAACCAGAGTAATTATAGTGTCTAGTGCTGGGGAATGATAAAAGATGAAATAGTGAGTTCCACATGCCACCCTTCTAAATCGGAGTCAAAGATGTGGTTCCACTTGTAAGCCTCTTCATGTCTAGACAGAATAACAAGGCTTTGGTGCATTTTTAACTAGTTCAGTCTTTCACTGGAGTTTCAGCTCTGTTGTCATCTTCCAATCATGGTTTTTATAATAGTTAATAATAGCAATAATAATAACAGATATCATACGTTATTTTCTTGATATATAATAGTCACTTTCTTAACTGCCTTTCTCATTTTACTTAATTAACAGGAAAAAACAATCCTATGAGGTAAGCCCTGTAATTGTATTCATTTTCAGATGAGAAACTGGAATTTACAGAAGTGATCCAAACAAACATACGGAATTAATAAACAGACTAGCTAGTATTCAAATTATACCAGTCTGATTCCAAATCTCAAAATGTTCATTTCTACCCTATTAAGAAAAACAGTAAGACAGAAATTAAAATAGAACAAACCATTTGTCTTGAGAAAAACAAACCCACGTCACTTAGATAGGAATAGAAATGGGATTTCATATAGATGTGAAGTGCTTATGTAAAAATGATTATACATTCTTTATACAAACTGTATGCATGAAGAAACATAAACATTATGATAGATTGTTTTATTCTCACTCTTTATTGAAAGTAGTGGTTTAGGTCGGGCATGATAACTCACGCCTGTAATCCCAGAACTTTGGGAGGTTGTGACAGGAGGATTAACTGGGAAGGGCATGAGGAGAGTTGGAGGGGGATGGAAGATGGACCTGCTCTACACTGTGACTCTGATTGTTAAACATGCTTAAAAAGAAAGAAAGCAGTGGTTTAGAATAAAAAACAAAATCAAAGTTATCAGCCAATTTGTGAGTCTAGCACTACCTAATACCAAAACCAGACAAAGATACTACAAGAAAATTATAGGCCAATAACCCTGTGAACACAGATAAAAAAATCTTCAACAAAATATGAGCAAACCAAGTTCAAAAGCATATTGATAGGATCTTACACCATGATCAAGTGGGATTTAACCCTAAGATGCAAGGATGGTTCAACATATGCAAATCAATATATGTGATACACTATATTAACAGAATGAAAGGTAAAATCCATATGATCATCTCAATAGATGAAGGAAAACCTTTTGACATAATTCAACATCCTTTCAGAATAAACTCTCAACATTTTAGTTATAGAAGGAATGTATCTCAACATAATAAAGGTCATATGTGACAAATTCACAGCTAACATTATACTTAAGGTGAAAAACTGAAAGTTTTTCCTCTAAGATCAGGAACAAGACAAGGATGCCCCTTCTATGCAATACAGCACTAAAAGTCCTAGTTAGAGGAATTAGGCAAATAAAAGGAATAAAAGGTATCCAGACTGGAAAGGAAGAAGTAAAATGGTCTCTGTAGATGTCATAATCATATATAAATCATATAAAAAGCCCTAAAGACCTATCAAAAATATTTGAGAAATAATAAATTCAATAAAGTTGTAGGCTACAAAATCAATGTACAAAAGTTAGTAGTGTTTATGTATACTATCTGAAGAAGTAAGCTAGTTCATTGTTAGTATTTATAGAGTATTTATATATGTTTATAAATGTTGTTAGTATATATAGTGTTTGTGTATGTTTATAAATGTTGAAATATATACAAAGTGTTTATACAGACTAACAATGAACTATCTGAATTCTTCTTCAATGAAGAAGTTTATATATACTAAAAATGGTAGTTCATTGTTAGTCTATATAAACACTGACTATATATATATATAGTAAACAATCAAAACAATGCAATTTTACAACAGCATTTTAAAAATACCTAGCAACAAAGTTAACTAAAGAGGTAAAAAATCTGTACCCTGAAAACTATAAAAGACTGATAAAAGAAATAGAAAAATATGCAAATAAATGGAGAGATATCTCATGTTCATGGATTGAAAGAATTAATACAGTTAAAATATTCATACTACCCAAAGTGAGCTATAGATTCAATGCAATCCCTACAAAAATTTCAATGACAGTTTTCACAGAAGTAGAAGAAAAAGATTCTAAAAATCATGTGGAATTATAAAAGACCCCAAGTAGCCAAAGAAATCTTGAGCAATACAAACAAAGCTGAAGACACCACACTACCTAATGTCAAAACATATTACAAAGCTACAGAAATTGAAACAGCATGCTACTGTCATAAAAACAGATACATAAACCAATGGAACAGAATAGAGTGCCCAGAAATAAATGCACACATTTACAGTCCACTACTGTTTGACAAAAATGCCAAGAATACACAATGGAGAAATTATAGTGTCTTTAGTAAGCGGTATTGGGAAAACTAGATGTCTACATTCAGAAGAATGAAATTGGATCTTTTCTCACATCATAGGGAAAATCAACTTAAAATGGATTAAACATAAAACCTGAAACTGTAAAACTGCTAGAAGAAAACAGGGAAAAAAGCTTTTTGACACTGATCTAGGCAATGATTTTTTGGATATTACTCCAAAAGCACAGGTGACAAAAGCAAAGATATACCATTTGGATTGCATCAAACTGAAAACCTACAGGAGAAAAGGAAATCCTTTCACACTGTCAGTGGGAATGTAAATTAGTATAATCATTATAGAAAATAGTATGGATGTTTCACAAAAAATTACAAATAGAACTATCATAAGGCCCAGCAATCTTACTACTGGATATCTATCCAAAGAAAATGATATCAGTATGTCAAAGAGATATCTGCATTTTCATGTTTATTGTAGAATTATTCACAATAGCCTAGATATGGAAGCAACCTAAGTGTACATCACAGATGAACAGATAAAGAAAATGTGGTACATAAATGCAATGGACTATTATTTAGCTTTAAAAATAAGAAAATCATGTCATTTGCAATAACCTGGATGAATCTGGAGGAGGACATTATAGTAAGTAACATAAGCCAAGCACAAAAATATAAACGATTACACCTATATGTGGAATCTGAAAATATGGAACTCATAGAAGCAGAGAGTGGAATAGTGGTTACCAGGGGCTAAACATGGAGGTCTGGGGAGATGTTGGGCAAAGGATACAAAATTTCAGTAAGATAGGACAAATAAGTTGAAGAGCATTAATGTAAAACATGGTGACTATAGTTAGTAACAATGTACAGCTGACTCTAGAACAACACTGGTTTGAATTCTTTGAGTCCATTTCTATGCAGATCTTTTCAATAAATACAGCCAGCCGTTTGTATCCAAGGGTTCTGCATCTGCAGAATTCTGTATTGAAAATACAGAATTTTCAATCCAGAAATACAGTGTTCATGGGATGCAAAACCCAGATACACTGAGGGCTGACTTTTCCCATATGTGGGTTCCACAGGGCAGACTGTGGAACCTGAGTATCCCTAGATTTTGGTATAAGCAGGGCTTCTGGAACCAAATCTCCCAACTACACTGAGGGATGACTATATTGTATTCCTGAAAATTGTTAAGAGCAGATTTTGTGTTCTCATCACACACAGAAAAATAGGTATGTGAGGTAATGCATATCTTAGTTACCTTCATTTAGCTATTTCACAATGGATGCACATTTTAAAACATGATAAATACAATATTTCTCAATTAAAATAAATAAATAATGTTAAAAAATAAAAGCTTCTGATAGCAAAAGAAATGATCAAAAGTGAAAAACAACCTATGGAATTATTTGCAAAGCATACATTTCATAAGGAGTTACCATCCAAAATATATAAGGAACTCAGACAACCAAATAGCCAGAAAACAAGTAATCCAATTAAAAAATTGGCAAAGGACCTGCATATACAATACTCAAAAGAAGACATAAATGGCCAAAAGGTATATGAAAAAATTGCTTAACATCATTAATAATCAGGGAAACTCAAAGTAACCCCACAATGAGATATCACCTCATACCTGTTCAAATAGATATTATGAAAAGATAAAAGATAACAAATGTTGGGGAGGATGTAGAAAAGAGAACCTTTCTATACTGTTGGTGGGAATGTAAACTAGCACAGTCATTATAGAAAACAGTATGAAGGTTTCTCA
The DNA here is from genome assembly GCF_000001405.40 of Homo sapiens. Classification (NCBI taxonomy): domain Eukaryota; kingdom Metazoa; phylum Chordata; class Mammalia; order Primates; family Hominidae; genus Homo; species Homo sapiens. The sequence goes on along the minus strand of NC_000004.12, from coordinate 187,830,725 downwards.
ACAAGTTAAAAATAGAACTACCATATGATCCAGCAATTCCACTATTGGGTATAAATTCCAAGAGGAAAAAAATCAGTAAGTCAAAGAGATACCTGGACTCCCATGTCATTACAGCACTATTCACAATAGCCAAGATATGCTCATCAACAGATAAACTGATTTTTTAAAATGTGGTATATATACACAATGGAATACTATTTAGAGTAAAAAAAAGAAAGGAAATCCTGTCATTTGAGATAATATGGATAAGCATTATGCTAATGAAATAAGTCAAACACAGAAAGACAAATACTGCATGATCTCACGTCTACATGTAATCTAAAGAAGTTGAACTCATAGAAGCCAAGAGTAGAACGGTGGTCGCCAGGATGTGGGGGAGGAGAATGAGGAGATAGATGTTGGTCGAAGGGTACCAAGTTTCAGTTAGGATGAATGAGTTCTGGAGATCTATTGTACAGCATATCCACTATAGTTAATCCTGAAGTATTGTATACTTGGAAAAAAACACTTTGTACATGTCCAAAAAAAATTATATGCCAAGAAGTACTGGATAGGTAGATATGTCTAGCATATGAAATCAGCCTGCTAGCTCCACTCAAGTTGTTGTACAGTATCATAAAAAAGCAAACCTACTGCTTGAGCTAAGAGTATATTGATACCAATAGAACTAATTCTCAAAATAAAAGAACCATTAAAACTACACATTGCAGAAAACAGAATTACAGTAAACATTGCAAACCCTGGATTATTCAATACAACTTGATTTGTAGCCGTTTAAGTCATTTTGCTTTGAAAGAAAATGACAATTTTCATAATTTAGGAACTGGTTGGTTTGCAACTATGCTCAGACTTACCAAAAACATGTTGTTGCTTAGGCCCTTTAAAATGTAATGGAAATCATCAGTCTGAGAAGAGGAGGTATGATTGTCCTTACAAAAAATTGCATTTATATCTTCCAGGGTTTCAAAATCTGTAATTACCTTCTCCAACAACTCAGAAATTTGGCTCCAACTTCCTCTATAATCTGACTTCAGTTGATACACCTCGTCTTCTTCCCCTTCAACTAGTCTAGCATCTTAACTGTGACAGGGAGTCAATATACAAATCCAATTCCTGCTTCACATCACTGCTTATGTTATAACACACATGATTATGTCGATATACAATGTCTTTTTTAAACCTACTAAAGATTCAGTTTTTACCTGTGAAAGATTGTATCTGTTCCACAAGACATATTTTGAAGACTTATATTACACTTACAATCTATACATCATTATCACACCTCTTATATAGTGTGTGCGTGTGTCTGCTTTTTGATTGGAGGATTGTTTGGTAATACAAAAGTAAAAATGCACAATCCCTTAAATCTACAACAACACTATGTATTTTTTATACATGCATTTCATACACTTATAATACTTATACAATACTTATACTTATATAAACTTTGGAAACTTGGAAGCTTGGAAAACAACCTCAGTAGGAGACCAGATAAATTTATTTCCATACTTGATAGTAGATAGTTTGATGAAATTAGAAAATATGAATAACTGATATTTATCATTTATTAAGGACTTAATATATTAAATTTTTGTTTCCTTCTCTTCTTATTTAATCCTTACAAAAATTTTACTTCAGTTAATGATGTTATTATCCCCGTTTTCTGGGAAAATGTAAATGCATGCTTATAACTACATAAATGGATTATGGAAGGGTACAGGAGACGTGGACACTGGCTGCCCACAGAGAGCACACTCGAATGAGAGAGACATGGTTTTCATTATGTGCTCTTCTGGACTGTTTTAAAAATATTATTTATGTAATTAAATACATGATAATAATAAGAAAACTGCTGGGTTTTTCCCTTTAGTTTGACGCTGAAGTCTCGTAGGAAGAAGCAGTGATCTATCAAGTTGTACCGATATATTCAGTGGATCTGCTGCTGAGACGCTGATTTTCACTGGGGACAAAATAAAAACACAAGTGTAGTTTTCATGAATATTAATTCTTAGAAAAAGTAAGCTGTACTCTTTTATTTGGGGACAAAATATTTTACTTATTTCATTTTGCAGTATTGTAGAACAATGCAATGGCTTTAACTAGCCATAAGTGAACTCCTGAGAATTTCATTCCAAGTAGACACTTTAGGAGAATATAAGATCTCTCTCTCACTCTCTCTCTGTTTTTTTTTTTTTTGGTTTTTTTTTTTTGGTTTTTTTTTTTTTTTTTTTTGAGACAGAGTCTTGCTCCATCGCACAGGCTGGAGTGCAACGGCACAATGTCGGCTCACTGCAACCTCTGCCTCCCGGGTTCAAGCGATTCTCCCCGCTTAGTCTCACGAGTAGCTGGGATTACAGACATGCGCCACTATGCCCAGCTAATTTTTGTATTTTTAGTAGAGATGGGGTTTCACCATGTTGGCCAGGCTGGTCTTGAACTCCTGACCTCAGATGATCCTGCTGCCTCGGCCTCCCAAAGTGCTGGGATTACAGGCGCGAGCCACCACGCCTTTTCTTTTGAAGTGATTCTGCCATTGTTCTGATTTTTTTCCTTAAGAATTCACAAAGCACTATGAAATATATATTTGACCTTTTAGAAACTTATACTGTTTAAGAAAAAAGTATTAATGAAACTTGTTAAAAACAGTAAGGGAGACTTTGTTCAAGAGGGTACTTTTGTCATAGATCCAGGACTACTGCAATGGCGCCTTGCAGTGGGGGAGAGAGATTGGGCTCAGTTCTGAAAAAAATAAGAAAAAGTGAGAATTTATAAACAAGGAGCAGGGGAGGGAGCTCGGTGGACGGAAAATTACTAAGAGGAAACATTAGTAGTAAGGGAGATTCTGTGGCCAAACTGACCTGCCAGGATGCTGGCTGGAGGCAGGCCAGGGCAATCACACATCATCTGGAGGATGGTGGAGGATGAGGAACCCGATCAGATATCCAGGGTGAGCAGACAAGGAGAATGACTAAATTGACTTAGCAAGCTTCTTGCTAAATTTGGACAATGTAGAGATAAGTAAAAAAAGTCTAAAAGTTGAGAAATCGTTGAAGAGAGTAAAGTTTGGTCGAGAGGCTCTGTCAATACTTTCTGACACTTGTATATTAAAATACTACACAGTTACTTGTATCACTCAGGGCCATTTGAAAAATCAAAGCTGATGTAAAGTATTGAATTGGAATTAATATTAGTATAAAATATGAGGAATTTATTTAATATAGGACACTTTTTCTTTTTCTTTTTTTTTAGACGGAGTCTCGCTCTGTCGCCCAGGCTGGAGTGCAGTGGCAGGATCTCGGCTCACTGCAAGCTCCGCCTCTCGGGTTCAAACGATTCTCTTGCCTCAGCCTCCCAAGTAGCTAGGATTATAGGTGCCCGCCACCACGCCCAGCTAATTTTTGTATTTTTAGTAGAGATGGGGTTTCACCATCCTGGCCAGGGTGGTCTCGAACTCCTGACCTCGTGATCCGTCCACCTCGGCCTCCCAAAGTGCTGGGATTACAGGCATGAGCCACCGTGCCCGGCCTAGGACGCTATTTTTAAAGGTGTTATAAGACCTTAAGGAGCCACCAGCGGAAGATGAGATTCCTTGCTGCTGGAAGTTGCCCTTGTCCCTAGGTTGGAGGTTCAAAGAGAGTAGCTTAAGAGTTGGAGCCGCCAAGCCTGAAGTAGAACTTTGGAGGCCTCACTAGGCAGGGGGACCTTGTGCCTTGTGAGGAGAATATCAGTGGCCAGAGGTGGCACCACAGAAGAGAGAGAAGCGGAGATATGCCAGCATATACCAGGACAACTGACTTTCTGCCAGTGCCTCTCATTGGCTGAAACGAGCCAGCAGTCAATGCACAAGGAATCCTGGGAAGTGTAGTTTGCAGAGATCAGGTCCTCGCAGTCCGCCCACGCAGGGCAGAGCCACGGAGGGGGGGGGACGATTTTTAGATCAAACATATAAATAAACAGCCCCATACTGAAAACTTACCACAGTACACAATAGCACCTTGCAGTTCTTTTTTCTTGTAGTACCACCCTACAGAGGCAGACACTTCACTCTTTCAGCTTTTTCTTCTGTAGTTTTATCCCTATTTCTAAACATGAAATCTATATTGCTATTTATTGATTTTGCATGTTGAAATATTACATATTGATTTTCTATGATGATGGATATAGACTTAGTTCTCTTATTTGCCCCTCCCTCGTTCTTGCAATAGAATTATCACAATAGAATCATATTATTTTTAATGTAGATTAGCAAGCTGTATTTACACCACTACGTGATGAAAATATTGTTCACTGCTGGGCCAGCTAGCATGCTATGTTTACTCCTTTTATACTGTGTAGATATTTGTTTTGAAGGAGATGCACCTGTTCTTTCACTTGTATAATTCATTCTCACATCCTTAATTCTTTTCTTACTTACTCTTCTTAATTCTTCTTGGCTATGATTCTAAATATCAACTACTTTTCTACTGAGTCTTTCTCTTAACTAGAAAAAACTTTTTGGAGTCTCTTTTCACTTGCTGTGATCTGGACTGGCTGCTCTCGGCTTTAGCTGTGTGCTGTTATCTGTGGCTGTGTTCCTAATTTCCTAACTTGGATATACCATATTCTAGAACTGACTCCCGTTTTCTTAGTTACTTTCTGTTTTCCTTGCCGTAGCAAGGAAATTTTTAAAGGAAGTGTGTATTAAAAGCAGTACACCTGTAGAATAAAGTATTAACAAAATTTCAAGGTTGAACATTATTTTTTCTTTAAAATTTATCAGGCCTTGTTGTTCCATTGACTTTTAGCAAAAAAAAAAAAAAAAAAAAAAAAAAAAAAAAAGGCTTCTGTTGATCCTTCAGCACTATTCAGATTCTCATTCTTTTGTATGTGATTTACGGTTTTTATGGAAAATTTTAGATGCTTCTCTTTAGTGCTGATGCTTTTTAATTTTATATGCCTTAAATAAGACATTTTCATTTTTCATCCTGGCCATTAAAAAGGATTTTGAGGACTCAAGTCTTTTAGTTTGGGGAAATTTTCCTGTATTAGTGCTTTTATAACTTTTTCTCCAGCGTTTTTTTCTGTCTCCCCACTCTCATGCCATTTTTTCTAGAAAGTGAGTTTCTTGCAATGATTCTCCATGTCTTGTATTTTTCCTTGTTATTTTTTGATAGATTTCTGAAACTTTTCCTCTTGTATTAGAAGTTTTATTTTGACCATCATTTTTTTTTTAATTTTCAAAGACTTTTTTATTGTTCTAGTTGTCACTGTTTTCTAATTGTTCATTTTTCATGGCATTCCTGTTGTTATCAATAGTTTGTTTTTATTTTTCTGATAATTTATACTCATTTTTTCAGTTTTCTACTTCCTGAATTATCTTTCTGTCCCCACATTTTGCTTTATTACTGACTTACTCTTTCATCATGGGATATTTTCTCACATTATCGGCTGGTCCTTGGACACTAAGACGCTGATTGGAAACTCTGGGTTGTTTTCTGGAACTCACTCCAGGGAACTCAGGAAGGAGCTGGCCCTTTTCTTTATGTAACCCCTAACGCCAGTATCAGCAGGTCTTTTCTCTGAAGACATCTTTTGATGTCTCCTGAGGAAAATAATTTGAAACTTTGCCTGGAAAATAGATGTAGTCTGAAATTGGGATATCCTCCATGGTGGCAAATCCTTATCTTTGGGAAGTGGATTTATCTTTTGACAATACTCAGAGGTTATTTAATCAAATCTGATAAATTGAGTATATAGTAATTAAACAAAAAGTATGGCTTAATTATAAAATAATGGAACTGACTGACTTGCATAGCTCAAATCTACCTTTATATATCTGCTCAGTGGTGCTGGGTTGGAAACTGTAGGACTGTTTGCCGTCTGCTTCTGCAGCTACAAGTCACTAGTGGGAGACAGGAAGACAGCAGGCGGAGAGAAGGGAAGCACTCAAGTCAATACAGCCACGGCAGCATTCGGTTTAGTAGTTGACATACCTTTTCTTCCACACTCCCAGAACCATTCCTATCATCTCCAGCTTGGAGATAACAAGCAGCAATGAGGTAGCACCGCCCCTCAGAAATCTGAATCCCAGCTCTGTGGGGTCTCTCCCTGACTCCTCCAAAGAAAAGCCCACTTCTCAGGTGTCTGGGTCACAGCTCTGCTGGGCCTAGTTTCTGAGGTTGTAGGTGGTGATAAGCCCATTCTTTTTCCTTTGTTCCAGTCCTGGAGATGTAAGCTAACCATCCTCTGTCTCCCTTTTTGCCTTTTCGGGTCTACAATAACCTTGGAAACAATTCTCTCTACTAAAATGCTGGTGTGGCTTCTCTTTTCATGGTGGGACTTGAACTGAAATACTCCTGAACTGATCTTAAAACAAGTGCAAAAGACATTAAATGAATAGTGAATAATGACAGCATCACTTCAATAGTACAGAAGAGAAAAGTGAGTGTAGTGTTTTAAACTGTAGGGACCACGTGTGCATCTTGGCTCAGCTACTTGCTATGATGGGAGACTAATAGCTTTGAACATCTGTTTCCACAAAGCTAAAGTAGGGATATTACCTATTTTCTTAGGCAGTTAGCAGCAATAAATGAGACCACAGATATTAAACACTTAAAACAGTGCCTAGCATATAATAAGTTTAATACATTGTATTTAACATGTTAAACATAAGCGATTACTAAGTTAGAGTGGACATATGTGTTTATCTTGATTAAAAACTAATCAGTTTATGTTCCCTCTATTTCCTGTGAAAATTTCAACAGGACCTGTGTCACTGCTAGTACTCAAAAGTTTTACTTTGTGAACTTTTGGAAAGTTTAGCATTGTGATTGAATTCTGAAAGGGTCTGTCTAGTGAAGTGTCATTCTCATGTGCAATAGGTTCCTGTCTGTCACTTCTGTGCTTCTCCTGTTTTCTCCTATCTTTCATTTCAATAAATTTCCTTTCTTCTCATTCACTTCCCTTTTCTCTGTGAGGCATTTGTATTTTGAAACACTTTATCTGTGTCCAGCATTGAACTAGCAAGTATAAATTATGCTACTTATTGACAACTTCATTGCATGTTATATTTATTTCAAATAATTCTTTTGTGCAATTCACTGCAATAAGCAAATGCCCCGAATCTCTTGCACATTTGATACAGTCACCCTTGACAGTCCCTATCAGGTGTCTTCTCATAAGGATGAATAAACTGCATCATATGATAATATTTTGATTTGAGGCATTTCAACATAAAGTTTTAAAAGGGTACATATTATGAGCTTCAATCCTCACAACAAACATATTCTAGAATTATGCATATTTTACAAAAATAGATGCGATGCGGCCGGGCGCTGTGGCTCACGCCTGTAATCCCAGCACTTTGGGAGGCCAAGGCGGGTGGATTACCTGTCAGGAGATTGAGACTAGCCTGACCAACATGGTGAAACCCTGTCTCCACTAAATACAAAAAATTAACCAGGTGTGGTGGCGCATGCCTGTAATCCCAGCTACTTCGGAGGCTGAGGCGGGAGAATTGCTTGAACCCGGAAGGTGGAGGTTGCAGCGAGCCTAGATCGTGCCATTGCACTCCAGCCTGCGCAACAAGAGCAAAACTCCATCTAAAAAAAAAAAAAATGTCGATGCAGTGGCATTTTCAGTGCCCTCCTCAAGGTCAGATGTTTTCACTGGTAAAGTCAGGAAACGCGCTGAAGTCTTCTTTATTGCCACATAATGTCATTTGACTCGCTGCTCCATGAACACGCTTAAGATTATGTGACTATGAGGTGTCTTTCCATGGCTATAAAAATTATCGAAGAGATGGTTGAACCATTTTATTTGTGTCCAGTTTCTTTCAGTTTATAAAGTGCTTCAAACGGATATACTACATTTACTATTACATCTTGTTGTCAGACTGAGGGTTGAAGTTGGTGAAACAGCATTCTTGAATTATGTGAGAGACTTTTCTCATGTTGATTTGGAGGACTTGTATGTGCATGTGTGTGTGTGTGTGTGTGTGTGCTCATGCATGTTGTGGTTTAGCTGGGGGTTCATGGATAGTGAGGGTTGAGAAGCCCTGTGTTAGAGCATATTGCCAAACGGGGGCTTGCAATTTCCTTGCCTAAAAATATTTTCAAACTAGGGTATTACTCTGCCTAAAATTAGTTAAAATAATCTTGAGTAAAGTTAGAGAAACCAGTTTATGTAAAAATAATTTCAGACGCACACACGTATCTTAGTATTTAATCTGCTTTAATATTGCTGCCATATGAGGGCTTCAGAGCAAATTTCCAAGATCACATGTTCATTAAAATGATTTTTCCTACTAATTTTATCTTTTTTTTTTTTTTGAGACTCTGTCGCTGAGGCTGGAGTGCAGTGGTGCGATCTCGGCTCACTGCAACCTCCACCTCCCAGGTTCAAGCGATTCTCCTGCCTCAGCTTCCTGAGTAGCTGGGACTACAAGCGTGTGCCACCACGCCCAGCTAATTTTTTATATTTTTAGTAGAGATGGAGTTTCACCGTGTTAGCTAGGATGGTCTCAATCTCCTGACTTCATGATCCACCCGCCTTGGCCTTCCAAAGTGCTGGGATTACAGGCGTGAGCCACTGAGCCTGGCCCCAATTTTATCATTTCTTTAAAGAGCAAAATTAACAACAAAATTAATAGGATAATATAATGCCATTTATGAAGCAGTGCATTACAGTGTGTCTTAATCCATTTGTTCTACTATAATGAAATACCTGGACTGGATAACTTCTAAGCAACAGAAATTTATTTCTCACTGTTCTGGAGGCTGGGAAGTTCAAGTTCAAGGCACCAGCAGGTTTGGTGTTTGGTTTGGTCCTGGTTTCTGTTTCGAGGATGGCACCTCCAGTGCTGTGTACTCACAAGGCAAAAGGCAAAAGGCAAAAAGGCAAAAATAGGCCTAGCTAGTTATCTTCAGCTTTTGTATGAGGTCACTAATTCATGAGAGTGGAGCCCTCTTAGGTTAATCACCTCCTAAAGGACCTAATTCTTAATATAGTTGCTTTGGGGATTAAGTTTTGATATGAATTTTAGAGGAGACACAAACATTTAACCTGTTGCATTCTGCTCTTGACCCTCCCCTCAAATTTGTGTCCTTCTTATGTAAAAAACACATGAATTTCATCCCAATAACCCCAAAGTCTTAACTCATGCCAGATTCAACCTTAAAGTCTAAATTCAAATCTCAACTAGATCAGATATGGGTGAGACTCAATTTGCTCTTCAACTGTGAGCCTGTAACATTAAACAGTTGTATGCTCCCAAAACACAATCCTAAGCAAGTCCAAAATGCAACAAGTCAAACAATATTCAATCTTTGACTCTATGCCCTGCCCGCTGGACACATTAGAACAGAGTTTGGACCTCCAAGTCACTGGGGGACCCCACCTCCACTGATTTGCTTGGTGTAGCCCACACAGCAGCTTTCAGGGGATGGAGTCAGGTGCCTGCAGCTCTCGCAGGCTGGCGTTGCTTTACTGGTGCCTCTACAGTTATGGTGTCTTGGAGATGACCCCATCCCCACAGCTCCACCAGACATTGCCCTAATGGGAGCTCTCTATGGTGGCCTTGACTCTATGGCTGTGCTGGGCATTGCCCTCATGGGGGGCTGTCTGCAGTGGGCCTGCCTGTGAGTGTAGTGTTTTAAACTGTAGCCTTTGAAGTTTAAAACACTGGGCCCCACAGCTGTCTGAGCCATTCTTTGAAATCTAGGTAGAGGTATCCATGCCTCCATGGCTCTTGCAATCTGTGTGCTTGTAGACTTAGCACCATGGAGATGTCACCATTCACTGCTTGTGCCCTCTGAGGCAACAGCCTGAGCCACACCTGGGCCCACTTGAGCCACGCTGGGGTGACCAAGGAGCACTGCACTGAAATGCAAGGAACATAGACTTGAGGCAATCCCAGTCAGTAAGGCCACACTGGGCCCTTCTTTCGAAACAGTTCAACCCTCAAGGCCCTGGCATGCTGGGCCTATGATGAGTAGGGCAGCCACAAAGAATTCAGAAATGCTTTGGGGTGATTATTTCATTGTTCTGATGAATAGTGCCTGGCCTTCTTCTACCCATACCAACCTCTTTACCAAATGCTCCCTTAGCCACACCCTTGGTGTTTTCTCCCAAACATGCTTTTTTATTTTTTACCATCTGGCTGTGCCCAAAATTTTCAAATCTTTAAGTTCTGTTTCCCTTTTGATTATAGATTTCAGCTCTGATCATATTTCAGGTTTCTCTTTTCTTGCACTTTACTATAAGCAGTCAAGAGAAGCTATACGACAACCTCAATGCTTTGTTAGATATTTCGTTCACGAAATGTCCCAGCTTATCACTTCTAAGTTGTGCCTTTCATAAAACACTAGGACACAGACACAATTCAGCCATGTTCTTTGCCATTTATAACTAGGATGCTTTTCTTCCAGTTTCCCATAAGACATTCCTCATCTCCAAATAAGAGAACTAAGAATAGCCTTACTGTCCATATTTCTACCAGCATTCTCACCATGACCATGTATGTAATATCTAAGAAGATTGAGGCTCTGTCTACAGCTCTTCTCTTCTGAACTCCCATCAGAATCACCCTTAATGCACTGTTCATGGCAATCTAATCTTTTTCTAGCATGCACCTCCAAATTCTTCCAGGCTCTACCCATTACTCAGTTTCAAAGGCACTTTCACATTTTGAGGTATTTTTATAGCAACACCCATTTCTGGTGGTACCAATTTGTCTTAGTTTTTTTGTGTTGTTATAAAAAAATACCACAGAGTGAGTAATTTATAAACAATGGAAATTGATTTCTCATAGTTCTGAAAACAGAGAAGTCCAAGATCAAGGGGCTGGCAGGTTCAGGGTCTAGTGAGGGCCCTGTCTTTGCTCCCAGGATGGCGCCTTATATGTTGCATTCTCCAGAGGAGCAAACACTGTATATTCACATGCCAGAAGGGAGGGAAAGGCAAAAAAGTACAAAAGAGGGCTAGTTAGTTCTCTCCAGCCCTTTCTTCATGAGGGCAGAGGCCTCATGGTCTGATTATTTCCTAAGGGCCAGCCTTTTGATACAGTTGTGCTGAGAATTAAGTTTCACCACAGACTTTGGAGGAGATACAATACTGCTTTATTCTAAGTGAGGTAGAGAAGTACCACTTTATTGTAAGTTAAACAAGTTAGGCTAAAGTCTTGTCTCTGTAATTTATTAGTTTTTGCCCCTTGGAAGCCACTTGCTTTCTAGTATCTTATCACATTCATAAAATGAGATGAATTAATGAAGTAGAGTTTAAATATCTACCCATATCAATTCTCTAATTTTTGAAGTTTTAAAAATATATGTCTTTCAACTACCAAATCAGTTCAAAGACATGCATAGTCATAACCACCAAAACTCCATTACAAGTTGCAGGATATAAAAATCAGCATTCCAAAATAAGTAGCATTTAGATGTGGCAACAGCAAACAATCTAGAAAAGAAATCAAGAAACTAATCCCATTTACAATAGCTAAGAAGAATATAAAATACCTAGGAATCAACTTAACCAAAGATATGAAAGATCTGTACAAGGAAAACTATCAAACGCTGATAAAAGACACTGCAGAGGACACAAAATAATGAAAGGATATGTCATGCTTTTGCACTGAAAGAATTAGTATTGATAAAATGACAACACTACCCTAAAATGTAGATTCAATGGAACCCCCATGAAAATACCAATGACACTCTTCAAAAAACTAGAAAAAACTATCCTAAAATTTATATGGAACTACAAAAGAACGAAACTGAAGGCATCACACAATTTGACTTCAAAATATACCACAAAGTTGTAGTAACCAAATCAGTGTAATACTGGCATAAAAGCAGACATATAGATCAACAGAACAGAATAGAGAACCCAAATATAAATCCACATATTTACAGCCAACCCATTTTTGACAATGGTGCCAAGAAGACACAATGGGGAAAGATGAGTCTTTTCAATAAACGGACCTGGGAAAACTGGATATCCATACGCAGAAGAACGAAACTAGACTCTTAGCCCTTGCCATATGCAAAAATCAAATTAAAATGGATTGAAGACTTAAATTTAATATCTGAAACCATATAACTACTGAGAAAAACATGGGGAAATGCTACAGAACATAGGTCTGGAAAAATACTTTGTGTGTAAGATTTCAAAAAACACAGGCAACCAAAGCAAAAATAGACAAATCAGATAACATTAAGCTAAAAACTTCTGCACGGCAAAGGAAACAATAAAAAAAGCGAAGAGACAACCCACAGAGTGGGAGAAAATATTTACAAACTATCAATCTGACAGGAATTAATAACCAGAATATAGGAGCTCAAACAACTCAATAGCAAGAAAATAAATAATCTGATTTTTAAAATGGGCAAAAGATCTGAATAGACATTTCTTAAAACAAGACATGCAAATGATCAACAGGTATATGAAAAAATACTCAACATCACTCACCGTCAGAGAATTGCAAATCAAAACTACAAGGAGTTACTCTAGCTAAAATAACTTTTATCAAAAAGACAGGTAATAATAAATGTTGGTGAGGATGTGGAGAAAGGGGAACCCCCATATGCTGTTCGTGGAAATGTAAATTAATAACACCACTATGGAGAACAGTATGGAGGTTCCTAAACAAACTAAAAATAGAACTACCATATGATCCAGCAATGCCACTACTGGGTATATACTCAAAAGAAAGGAAATTAGTATATCGAAGAGACATCTGCACTCCTGTATTTACTGCACCACTATTCACAATAGCCAAGATATGGAATCAACCTAAGTGTCCATCATTGGATGAATGGATAAAGAAAATGTGATACACACACACACACACACACACACACACACAATGGAGTATTATTCATCCATAAAACAGAATGAAGTTCTGTCATTTGCAGTAACATGAATAGAACTGGATGCCATTATGTTAAGTGAAATAAGCCAAGCACAGCAAGACAAATATTGAATGCTGTCACTCATATGTGGGAGCTAAAAAGATATCATGAAGATAAAAAGTAGATTGGTGATTACCAGAGGCTACCAAGGGTTGGGGGAAAGGGGAGCTAAAGAGAGGTTGATTAATGGGTACGAATATGCATTATAACAGAAGAAATAAGACCTAGTATTTGATGTATCAGTAGGATAGCTATAGTTAACATTAATCTATTGTACACTTCAAAACAGCTAGAAGATAATAACTTTAGTGTTTCTAACATAAAGATGAATATTTAAGATGATGGATATTCCAATTATCCTTATTTGATTATACGAATGTAACACATTATCGCATGTACCCCGAAAATATTTACATCTATTATATGTCAAGTTAAAAAACTACATTTCATACACATGCATACACAGATACACACAGACATGCAGACACATTTGAGTGATTATATGGTTTCAGGTAAGTTAAATGAATAGATTCTAATTTATCTATTATATGTATTTTATATTACATAAAATATATATTGTTTGTATATATATATATAGTTCTATCTATCCATATCTGTATTTACACACAAATTAGCCCAATCAGATTAGCTAAAGTGAGGCTCTTTGAATTCTAACAAATAAGCAAGGGGTTTAACCTGTTCCCTTGATCTGTTGGTCTAGAGTCTATTTACAGAGCTGTTATTACTGGTTTTTGCTTAGAGAGAATAAAGAAATAACTTTTTTATGTTTTGATGTTAAATGAATGTAGGATAAATGTATACATAGCATTCTATATATATGTATATATATATGTATATATTGCTATATGCCAGATGAACTGATGACTTTTCCACATATGGAAGAAATTCTTAAGATCATGTTTAACTAACAATTTCCCTCCGTTTCTTTCCCTAACTGCATGCCTGAATATAGGTAATATACATATAAAATATCTGTGATATATATACATTTTAATATTTAATATAAATTATTTAAATAAATTAAATCATTTATTTGTACTTTAAAAATTATTCTATTAAACATCAATAGAATATCATGCCTTTGTAAGAGGTAATATAATAGACTGTTACACTGTGACAAATATCATCTTTGTGGTAGGGCTAACAGAACAGAGCCACATCAAAAGGTAAAATAAACATGTTTAGTTAATATAATAACCTACATAATCAGAAAGCAAATTTTTTATCATGAATTATTCACACCTTTTATCTAAATATTATTTTGATACGGACATTTTGAATACTCTCTTTTGCAAGCAAGAATTGAAGACTCAGAAAGGGGTCAGAAAGGACTTAAATTAGGATCAGTGGCCCCAATTTGGTCTATTCCCAGTGGTCCGTGAAGAATAATCAGATGTGGTAAAAAGTAGAATTCAATAGAGAGCTCTGAACTCATATGTACAGAACAAGATAAGACTCCCTTTAGACCACCGTATTAGCTTATCTCTCAAGTTCTTAAATCACTTTGGTAGAACTGCTTGACGTCAATATCAAATCAAATGCATTTATGAACACTATGTTTGTTCAGCTGCTTCCAATCTATTTCTTATTATATCTTTACTAGCCCTAAGTATGCAAAATTAAAAGCTTTAAGTAATGACAGAATAAATTGTCATGCTTTTAAGATGCCTTATTTATTTGTATTTGGAAAACTTCAAACTAGATATGTTAAAATATGATTTGTTTCTTGACAAAATTCTGTATAACTAGAGGTATGGTTGAAGTAACTTGCTGTAAAATATCCCAAAACTGCATTTTAAATATATTTTCTTTAAAAATATTATTTCTGCATTATTTTTTATAATCATTCTTTTGCTTTTTAAAATATTTTGTCATGTTCTTGTCTCATATAATATGGATAGAAGACTGATTTCTTAAACACATGAAAGACAGTTAATTTAATTGCTAATACTTCTTGATAAAAATCAGTGCCCAGTTAAAGTCCATGTATACCCTGAAAATAACATCTTCATAATTTCTTTCTAGTCATAACATCTCAATTCTCTACAAGATTTTTTGGTTAATGTTTTGTACTTAACCCAACGTTAATGTTACTACCTTTGCCACTAAATGTGGGCTAAATGCTATGATCCTAAATGTACTAGAAAGCAGCTAATTGAGCCAAAATACAAATTTGAATTCCATCATAAGGACTTGAATTTTGTGTTGTTCTAATTTGTATTCAGGCTCAAAGTTTCCAAAGAGGGCAAGAAAAGTATTATATGAAAAAAGACGATTATTGAAAAGCAGACTTAAGAATGCTTCTAGACTTTTAAAGTAAGCTGATTTCCTTCCTACTCAATCGTATTAGAAATCATTTGTGTGAAATATTTCTGTATCCCAACAGTCAAGGGAAGAAGGAGGAGAAAAAAAATCATGGAAAACTAACTTAGAACATTTAGTAGGAGGAAGGTTCCTCAGAGAAAACTGTGTGTAAAGTGCGAGACAGCGCAGGAAGAAAAAAGTCACAGAGAGCTGCTCAGGGAAGACTGGAAACTTGGAGTCTGAGAAATTCTTAGCAGCGGCGAATCGGGGCAGGTCTGCGGCAACCTCAGCCCTAGCCTCCTCAGAAGAAAGAATACGACTGAGGCGCGTAAGACACAGAAACCGAGGCAAGTTTTGGAGCAGGAGTGAAAGTTCATTAAAAAGCTTCAGAGCAGGAACGAAAGGAAGCAAAGCTCACTCGCAAGAGGGCCACGCGGGTGACTTGAGGGATGAAGTGCGCGGTGTGACGTTGGCATGCTTCCGGGGTCCTGCGTCTCTTCTTCCCTGATTCTGCCCTTGGGGTGGGCTGTCTGCCTGTGCAGTTGCCTGCCCGCTCTTGGAGGTGCCACACGTGCAGTGTGTTTACCGGAGCTGTATGTATGCTCATTTGAAGCGTTCTTCCCGTACCAGTCAAATGTCCGTGCAAGGTCATCTACCAGTTAAACTCCGCCATTTTGCCTCTTAATGCGCATGCTTGAGCCCACTTGCGCAACTCCTGAGACCTTACTGGGAAGCTGATCACCAGTTTCAGGTGTTTCTATCTGCTGGGAGACTGCCTTTCCACGGCACTGGCTGTAACCAATTATTTTTTTAGAGAGACAGTTTAACAACTGCCTGACCATCATCTAATGGTAACCTGACATTTCTGTTGGGATGGAAGGGCTCTCTTGCCCTGCTCATGTAGGCCTGACTACCTACTGTAACAAAGTATTTAAAAGATATTTTGAGAAATGTATAAAGAAAAACAGCAAGAATTACTTTCTGTAGAGCAAGTTTCCTGTTTGTTTGGATGACGATGGAGGAGGACAAACATCACGCTGCAGACCTTGGCAGCATCCCAGGCCCAAGGGGGATGGTATGATGCTGCCCGCCATCACCACTCAAGACTCCCGTTATCACCAGTATTTCCTCCTTGCCTCCCAAGATATCACCATGGCAATTGTTGAATTTCTCATTACAGAAAGCCAGGCTTGCATAAATATTGTATGTGGCTATTATTGGCAGACACACTGTCAGTTTTTTGGGAAATATGGAAATTCTGTAATTTGAGGTGATTCATTATCTTTTTTCTAATTTTAATGAATATAAGTATCTCTTATTCATTAAAAATAAAACAACAAAAATATCCATCTAGCCATTATCCTTCTGATTGATCAGTCCCATTAGGCTAACGATCCAAGCAGGGCACCAGATAGCACCTTAATTCTTCTGAGAACATCATCACAGAAATTATTTGCTTCTGGAAATCATTAATTTCATTTTATGGATATGAGGATTTTTTTTTCTAGATTGAAGTAGATTAATATTCTTTTCATTCATCTCATTCAAGGAATTCTTAATAATAAAGCAGAACTAAATAGCACATATTAAACATCAATTATTGAATCTCGGAAGGAGATGGTACCAAGGCAAGTTTGCAGAGTAAGTGGAGAGTGGTTCTTTGATCTCACTGTAGGAGACACAGTCGGTATTTTGTTTTATTTGCCAGTAACTGCATAGCTGTATGTTCCATGTGGATGCTCATGACTTAGATGACCTCATGACTTAGATGACAGAATCTCTGGGGATTGACACCTGTGCCCAGGTCTCACTGTTTAGGGAGCCACCTGGTGCTCTATGATGCCACTACTTGGTGGACTTTACAGCACCCAGTCACTCACAACTAAATCCAAACTTCTTGTACTGACATTTTGATGATTAAGGAAGGAAAACTTCTAAAGATGGCTTGGTGATTGGAAAATATTTCATGTGGTTGTAAATAAAGTACACAATTTTTAAATAAGTGGTGTTCAGTTCTTCTTCAATTGTTCTTACTTACCATATGTACCATATATAAAGCAATGGCTTTTTTTCTCAAAAATTGCCTTCATAAAAGAGGGCTACCCTTGTCCTTAAGAGGCCTCTTGGGTAATACATCAGGTAAAATTACCATTTCTACACAAATTCTTTGGTTTCTGAGAACTTAGAAGAACAAAGTGCTAAACCCGAACATCTAAGTAGAATCTTCTTCAAAGAGAACAGGGCCCGGATCTCTTGATTTGTGCCTCCTCTCCTCAAACTCTTTTTACACAAGGGCTAATCTGGCCCCATGAGTATCAGGGCACATTTTTCTTATTCTATATTCCTTTTCACATAACATTTTTCTAATTTTTTTTGTATTTTCAATCAACTTAGAAGTAAAAATTATGTGCTGTGAAAAATTAAATAACATATCTAACATCATTGTTATGATGATGACAATAGTGTTGTCAATGAAGCGTGTGGAGTTTGAATGAGAGTAGAAAATAGCAACATTTCTAAAAAAATCTTTAGTTTTCTAGAGCTGTGTTATCTGGTTCAGTAGCCACTAGCCACACCAACCAATTTAAACTTAAATTAGTTAAGATTAAATTAATTTACAAATTCAGTTCCTCGGTTGTACTAGCCGTGTTTCAAGTGGGCACACATGCCCACTAGCCGTATGTGACCGGTGGCTCCCGTATTAGAGTAAATGTGGAACATTTCTGTCATCACAGAAAGTTCCCTAAACAGTGCTGTACCAGAATATGTAATTTTAAATGTCTGGGTAACTGAAATGATTAATATTGTAAATTGACATTTGACACTTTCATTTAAGGGCTTCTATTTCAAGTTGATCAAAACAGTTTGTGATAAAATGGGGAACTACCTTACATTTAAAGATCATTTTATATTTGGGTACAGATGGTAATATATTTAAAATACGTTGACTGTATTTCTCTTAAGTCAATGCCGTAAACGCTCAGTGCAGTTTCTTAATTTGGGGACACGGCTAATATTGACAATAAATTTTAAAAATAACGTATTAGAGTCACTGATTCTAAGGTACCGAATATAAGATTTTATATTTAATGAAAGCTTCACAACTTTCATAATCCCTGGTTTCATTTCATCATGACATTTACTAGCGTACGCTTCTATTTTACAGGAGATTCCAGGGGCACCAAATGACATGTTATACGACAATGTAATATAGAATAGTAAAATTTCTATTTAAGAAAGAGCAAGAATTGTATTCCCTTTAAAATATTTTTTCCCCAAACCTGATAAGCAACCTTTGTAGGATTAGAGGCTTACCAGCTGATACAGAGCACAGCTCTTAATGAAGTTTAGAGAAAAAAAATCTGTGACTGGTTTCTAAATTTAAAAATACAGACCTGCCTAGTATTCTACTTAGAAGTCCAGGAAGTTTTCTGCAAGTAAATGTCTTTGGTTATGTGGATTTTTTAAAGGAATGTTATCAACAGCCTTTCACTGCCATTAAATTTTGATTCACTATGTGTGTGAAAAGTACCATGATTCATTTTCAGGGTTCTCACTATCTCCCTCTGAATCTGAACCATTTAGCTGCATTTCTCTCCCCCACTTTCTAAATTTAGAAAGGATAAAATTTCCCCAGTGACATCTTCAGAGAGAACAGCCTTCACTACGGAAGTCATGAGCACTTCCTCCTCAGGGTGCCACTCAGAGGTGTGGAAGAAAGAAGGCTGAGGAAGCAGTAACGTTTCACGTTCTCACGCAGGCACAGTGGGGGCACCCTAAAGATGCATGTTGATTGATCTAATATTAAAGGAGCCCCAACCGTCGCGCCGTGCACTGTGTAGGCTCCACCTGCAACAGTCGACCAGCAGAAGGTTTCCATAAGCCTTTGGAATTACTGTCAAGTGAGGGAGACAATTTAATTGTCCCATGAACACAATTCAATGAAATTCATTAAATGACTTTTTAAAAATATTTATTGAAAATATTTTAAAGGACGTGCAATTCTTGCTCTTTTTTAAATAGAAACTTTACTATTCTATGCCCCATTCTTCTAGATTCTGAGATACAGCAATAAACAAGGCAGAAAGGATCCTTCCCTCACTGAACATATATGTTCTAGCAAGGACAAGCGAGCATATGCAAGAATCAAACAAATAAATAAACAAAAGGTAAAGTCTGGAGAAGGGTCATGAAAGAAATGATCTCTAGACGGATGAGAGGATGTTACAGAGGCTTCTGATTTAGTTGGAGGGTTAAGGGAAGTCTTTTGTAAGGAAGCAATCCTTGAGGTGCACTTTTTCCTTTTTTTTTTTTTTTTGAGAAGGAGTCTCACTCTTGTCACCCAGGCTGGAGTGCAATGGCGTGATCTTGGCTCACTGCAACCTCTACCTCCTGGGTTCAAGCGATTCTCCTGCCTCAGCCTCCTGAGTAGCTGAGATTACGTGCATCCACCACCATATCCAGCTTTTTTTTTTTTTTTTTGTATTTTTAGTAGAGACAGGGTTTCTCCATAGTGGCCAGGCTGGTCTTGAACTCCTGACCTCAGGTGATCCACCAGCCTAAGCTTCCCAAAGGGCTGGGATTACAGGCATGAGCGACCGTGCCTGGCCATTGAGCTGCACTTTGAATGTTACCTACGGTCAGGTAGGCTGAGGAAGCAGGAAGGGAGGAGGGAAGTTTGAGAGGAAAAACATCCTGGTAGAGTTTACATTGTATTGTATGAATTTTCCTAAAAAAGAAGATTAAAAAGGGCAAAAGGTAATTGGGAGGAGATGAGAGAAACTGTGAGGTAAGAGAAGATAAAGACAAAGGAAGAGTGGCTGAAGGGACAGTGGGGAGGTAAGCAGAGGACAGGACATGTGAAATCAGGAAGGTGAAGTTAGGGAGTTGGGATTTGGACCTTTCCATGCACAGTGACGGTCTCCAGCAGCACAGTGTGTAGGAGTGGGTTTGGATGTGCTGCAGCAGCGTGACATGTGGAGATGAGTCAGGAAGCTTTGGGACACCAGATGAGAAATGGTGGCAGCTTGAATTAGGGTGGGATTTTAAAGTTATTTTCAAGTTTGAGTAGTTTGCTGAATTATATCTCTGGACTGGGAAGTGTTAAGCCTCAGAGAAAGCCAACTTATTTTGGAGTAGGACTTGAGCACTGGCACGTGGGAGGACTGTCACCTTTGGGAGAGTCCAAAGATGACCAAAGAAGATGACCAAAAACAGCAAATAATTAAAAAATCAAATAAGAAGATAACCAAAAACAGCAAATAATTAAAATATCAAATAAGATAGCATTGGTTTTGAAGCCTATGGGCTGTGAGGTATTAACAATAAAAGCCAACAATAGCCATCTTTCCTTGATCTTTTCCGTAGAATCTGGAGTCGTACTGAGCACCTTTCACACATTATTATTTAATCCTCACTGTTACTTTATGAGGAAGGTATTATTTATCTTTATGTGAGGAAACCTAGCAAGGCACAGGGAAGTTAGTTAATGATGTTAAAGTCACATAACCTGGGAGGACGTTTTATAAAACAAGGAGAAAAATACTTTGAATTTAAGAAAGGTTCTTTGGAAACTTGTGTGGGGATGCATAGTTTTAAAGGCAAGGAGGTTTTTAGAGGAGGCAGGTGATTGCATGAGCGAGGCCAGAAGATTCAGAAGAAGATCACGCCTCGTGGAACTCAGACATTTCTTGTAATGAGGAATCGCTGCTCCTGATAGCAAATAGGGTTTTTGTTTGTTTTGTGCATGTGAGGGAAGCTCAGTGTTTTTAATACACTAGGAGAGAACTCAGAGAGGTATACAATATTGAAGGCTGGAGAGAAGGTAAAGATGTGGGTAACAGAAAAAGGCCTATCAGAATTGAGATAAGAGGGAAGGAGAATGGTCGGCAACAGACCAAGGCCTGGCTCCTGACCGGCAGGATCTTTCCAGGGAAGATGCAAGGGGGCCACCCCAAGTAACGAGAAGGAATCCCTGAAGGAGACAAAGGCGTTTTTCAGGGAGTAGCTTCTTTCCGGTATTCACTCAGGCCAGCACTCCACGGAGAACCCAGCCTAACAGAAGGCAGGAGAACTGCACCATGTCACTGGAATGGAAGAAGCAAATGGAGCGTGTCTGTGCATGTGGCTTAGTGTGGCATCCTGTGAAATGCGATGTTGATGAAAGCCCCGGGAGTTTTAGGCCTGTACCTGAATCGCAGAGTGAGACACATGATTCAAATACATGACTTTTTCTACCCTATTCTGAACAAGTTATCTGAAAAGTACTTAAAAAATAATAAATCACGAAATGACCAAGACATTATTCTTGTCAACTGGAAACATGGTAATGGATATTTCCTTAATTAAAGGTTATAAATAAACAGATTATTTCATATTTTCAAAGACTCTTCAATGAGTTTAATCCAGAGTTTCAACTGAACAAAAGGAGAGCTAGGTGCATGATAAAGTATGCTTTTTTAATTCTTTGATAATGCAGGTAAATGGAATTTGGTGGATGTTTAATATTGAACATATAAAAATATAAAGAAAACTAGAAAAGGTGATAACTAAATTCAAAATAACGCATAGTCTAATGTCCTTGCTATATTAGTTTCAAACATGCTTCCTTTTGGCAAGTTATTTCCTGCCTTTCCCTCATCTTTTCTTTTCCTTCCTTCTTTCCTCTCTCTCTTTCTTTCTCTCTGTCTTTTTAATTCTCTCTTTTTTCCTTATTCTTAAGATTTATGCTACCAGTTTCTAATAAATGCCATACATATAAGAAGCAGTGCTACCTAATACATTTCCCATAATAATTTTATGGGAAATCAGAAGTTGAGACTGGTCTCCTTAAAGCAAAATAACACATGACATCACATAATAAAATACTTAATATTTTTATCAATGTATCTTCACAGCATTTCCACAAAAAGGTAAGCAGAATAGAAAAATTACCTCAATACTTCTGCTAAAATGAAGGGCAAGCATTAAAATAATATATTGATAATGTTTTAGAAATTTTACATTAATGATAATTTTAATTTTGTCTAATATTAATCTTTATAGGGCTTATATGTTGATGACTATGCTATCTTTAGGTAATATAAGGTGAATAGACAAGAAAAAAATCTGAACATAACAAAGGTGTGACCATCCCATGGCCGAGTACTTTGTCAGTTTGATGGGCCAGGGTATCCTGCTTCCCAGGGCACGAGATCTGGGTGGCCCAGAGGTACTTAACTCTCAGAGACTATTCTGAATCCCTTTGGCGACTGCAACTTCTTAGAGGTAGTTAGATTTACTTGGAACCTAAGTAAAGATTGTAAATCTTCCTTAACTTGAATTAGATTCTCAGTTCTTGCACAGAGCAAACTTGTTACTCAAGTCATCTTAAAACCATCTCTAATAGTGCAGAGTCCTGAAAACCAAGGATGACCTGGCCTCAGTGTTTATACATAAGCCCTCAAGGGGTGATCCAGATGACATAGAGACCTGAAATGAATCTCCATTAGCCTTTGGAGGCCCCATAGAGAATGTGAAGTAAAGTGGAGAGAGATTTTTCTTGTCTTTTCCCTGTGTCTCTATTTATACTAGAGTTTATTGTAGACCGTGAAATATCATAGATGTCTCACACAGCTGCATGAGACTTGAAGATTAATAACAGATAGCATGTTGAACATTATGTTGAGTGTTTTGCAAGCATTATCTAATTTAATCCCATTGCATTCCATAAACAGATACTATCATCATCCATACTTAAGGAGGAAATTGAGGCTTAGGTTAAATAACTCGCTGATGAGATTATATAACCAAACATCTTTTACTTATAGATGGAGATTGTGAAATATACAGATGACAGTTAACCTACTTATGGTAGACCGTATTATTGTTAATTCTTTGCTCCTTCCCTCTGCCATGTGACTTTGTGGAATCACAGAGTGGGTGAGATATATTTCTCCTTCCCATTGATGTTGGCTTTAGTCCCATAACTTCATCCAACCAATAGAAATTCAGCAAAGGTATATGAGAAGAGCATGCCTCAGTAGCTACCTCCATGGAGCTTTAGCCCCCAAATGAGACGAATGGGTCAGCCCTGCAGCCTAGACCCCAGAGTCAAGCCCTGGCAACCTGCATCCTCAATTAGAGTTGCCCTAATTGGTCTGCAGAACTTGGAGCCCCCACTCCAAAAATTAATGTTCTTCAGTGTCGACCACTGAGATCAGAGTGATTTGATCAGCAGTATTATTGCAGCAATAACTTAATAATGCACTGTCCTTGGTAACAACATATTTTAGATAAATTAATCCTGGAGAAAATAAAAAGACAAGTTAGAAAACCTGAGAGTTATCAAGTGAAAAGGCAAAGGGGAAAGAAAACCAATGACCCCAGGTCCATTTAGCTGGAACCAGGAGCACTTTTCTTTAAAAAAAATCATAAAAACCACATATAACCAATAACAAAATTTGAATAATTGCAAAAATACTCAGGTATAATCACTCTTTCAAAATACTGCTAACATTTTTGTACATTTTATATATCATATTTCAAATGAACAAACCAATTTTACCTAGTAGCAATGACCTTGTATATGTAATTTAATATCCATGATTTTCCACTTATAACTTTACACTATTTCTAGAATCGTAAAATTATAATTTTAATGGATGCTATATTGAGTTAATCATAATTTACAATTTATTTCCTGAGAATATATTTTAGCTTGTTCTGCACTACATTTACTGATTTAAAGAATATAGAGACTTTTACCTTATATTGCCAAATTGCTTTCTAAAATGGTTATAAAAATTTAGGCTGCCACCAACAATATGTGAAAGCAATCCTACTTTACTGCGGTTTTACCATCTAAAATTTTTCATATTTATTTAGTTTCCACACTGTATCACATTTTAAAAATGTTTTTATTTTTAATTTTTGTTGTTATATAGTAAGTGTATATATTTATGGGTTACATGAGATATTTTGATACAACCATGCAATCAGTAATAATCACAGCAGGGTAAATGGTGTATCCATCACGAGAAGCATTTATCTTTTGTGTTAGGAACAATCCAATTATACTCAACTATTTTTAAATGTACAATTAAATTATTTTTTACTATAGTCACCCTATATTGCTAGCAAATACTAGGTCTTATTCATCCTTCTAACTTCTTCTTTGGACACACTGACCATCCTCACTTCCTCCCCACCGCCCCCACTACCCTTCCCAGCCTCTGTAACCATCCTTCTACTCTCAATCTCCATGAATTTAATCGTTTAATTTTTAGCTCCCACAAATAAGTGAGAATATGTTTGTCTTTCTATGCCTAGGGTATTTCACTTAACATAATGACCTCCATTTCCACTCATGTTGTCAAATGACTAGATCTCATTCTTCTTTACGGCTGAGTAGTATTCCATTGTATACATGTACCACATTTTCTTTATCCACTCATCTATCGACGGACACTTAGGTTGCTTCCAAATCTTGGCTATTGTGAACAGTGCTGCAATAAATGTGGGAGTGCAGGTATCTCTTTGATATACTGATTTTCTTTCTTTTGGGTATATACCTAGGTGTGGAATTGGTGGACCATATGGTAGCTCTATTTTTAGTTTTTTTATGATCCTCAAAACTGTTTTCCATAGTGGTTCTACTAATTTACATTCCCACCAACAGTGTATGAGGATTCCCTCTTCTCTGCATTCTCACTAGCATTTGTTATTGCCTGTCTTTTGGATAAAAGCCATTTTAACTGAGATTAGATAATATCTCATTGTAGTTTTGATTTGCATTTCTCTGATGATCAATATGTTGAGCACCTTTCCATATACCTGTTTGCCATTTGTATGTCTTAAAATGTCTATTCAAATCTTTTCCCCATTTTTAATCAGAGTGTTAGACGTTTTCCTATAGAGTTGTTTTAGCTTTTTATATATTCTAGCTATTAATCCCTTGTCAGATGAGTAATTTGCAAACACCTTCTTCCATTCTATGGATTGTCTCTTCACTTTATTGATTGTTTCCTTTACTGTACAGAGGCATTTTAACTTGATGTGATCCCATTTGCCCATTTTTGCTTTGGTTGCCTGTGCTTATGGAATATTACTGAAGAAATATTTGCCCCGTTCAAGGTCCTGGAGAGTTTCTCCAATGTTTTCTCTTAGTAGTTTTATGGTTTGAGGTTTTAGATTTAAGTTTTTAATCCATTTTGATTTGATGTTTGTATATGGTGAGAGATAGGGTTCTAGTCTCATTCTTTTGTATGTGGATGTCTAATTTTCCCAGCACCATTTATTGAAGACACTGTCCTTTCCCCCAGTGTATGTTCTTGGGAAATGGCAAAAAAGAGTTCACTGTAGATATGTGGGTTTCTTTCTGTGTTCTCTATTCTGTTCCACCGGTTTGTATGTTGACTTTTATGCCGGTGCCATGCTATTTTGGTTACTATAGCTCTGCAATATAATTTGAAGTCAGGTAATGTGATTTCTCCAGTTGTGTTCTTTTTGCTTAGGATAACTTTAGCTGTTCTGGGTCTTTTGTTGTTCCATATAAATTTTAGGATTTTTTTTTTCCATTTCTCTGAAGAATGTCAATGGTATTTTGATAGAGATTGCATTAAATCTGTAGATTGCTTTGGGTAGTATGGACATTTTAACAGTATTGATTTTTCCAATTCATAAACATGGAACATCTTTCCATTTCTTGTGTGTTCTCTTTAATTTCTTGCATCAATGTTTTATAGTTTTCATTGTAGAGATCTTTCACTGCTTTGGTTAAATTAATTCCTAAGTATTTTATTTTATTTGTAGGTATTTTAAATGGGATTACCTTCTTGATTTCTTTTTCAGATTGTTTGCTTCTATATAAAGTGCTACTGGCTTTTGTATGTTGATTGTGTATCCTGCAACTTTACTGAGTTTGTTTATTAGTTCTAATAGGTTTTTTAATGGAGTCTTTAGTTTTCTGCAAATATAAGATCATATCATTTGCAAATAAGGATAATTGGACTTCTTCCTTTCCAATCTGAATGCCCTTTTTCTCTTGTCTGATTATGTAGCTAGAGCTTCCAGTACTATGTTGAATAACAGTGGTAACAGTAGGCATCCCTGTCATGTTCCAGATCTTAAAGGAAAGGCTTTCAGTTTTGTCCCATTCAATATAATACTAGCTGTGGGTCTGTCATACATGGCTTTTGTTATGTAGAAGTATGCTCCTTCTATACCCAGTTTTCTGGAAATTTTTATCATGAAGGAATGTTGAATTTTGTCAAATGCTTTTTCAGCATCAATGAAAATGATCCCATGCTTTTTGTCCTTCATTCTGTTGATATGATGTATCACATTGATTGATTTCCTTATGTTGGACCACCCTTGCATCCCTGGGATAAATCCCACTAGGTCGTGATGAATGATCTTCTTAATGTGTTGTTGAATTCAGTTTGCTAGTATTTTGCTGAGGATTTTTGCTTCAATATTTATCAGTGATATTGGTTTATAGTTTTCTTTTTTTGTGGTGTCTTTGTCTGGTTTTAGTATCAGGGCAATTTGGCCTCATAGAATGAGTTTAGAAGTATTCCCTCCTCCTCTATTTTTCAAAATATTTTGAGTAAGATTGGTATTAGTTACTTAAATGTTTGGTAGAATTCAGCAGTGAGGTAATCAGGTCCTGGGCTTTTCTTTGCTTGGAGACTTTCTATTATGACTTTGATTTTATTACTTGTTATTGTTTTGTTCAGGTTTTAGATTTCTTTCTGATTCAATCTTGTAGATTGCATCTGTCTAGGAATTTGTCAATTTCATTTAGATTTTCCAATTAGTTGGTATATAGTTGCTCATAGTAGCCACTGGTGATCCTTTCCATTTCTGCAGTATCAGTTAAAAGTTTCCTTTTTCATCTCATTTTATTTATTTGGGCCTTCTCCTTTTTCTTAGTGTGGCTAAAGCTTTGCCAATTTTGTTTATCTTTTTAAAAAAGCAACTTTTTATTTTATTGATCTTCTTAATTGTTTTATTTCAACTTCATTTATTTCTGCTCTGATCTTCATTTTTAAATTCTACTAATTTTCAGATTACTTTCTCTTGTTTTTACAGTTATTTAAGATGCATCATTAGGTTGTTTATTTGAACTTTTTCTTCTTTTTTCATGCAGGCACTTATGGCTATAAACTTCCCTCTTAGTACCACTTTCACTGTATTCCATAGGTTTGGCACATTGTGTTTCCATTATTACTTGTTTCAAGACATTTTTCAGTTTTCTTCTTAATTTCTTCATTTTCCAACTGGTCATTTGGGAGCATATTGTTTAATTTCCATGTGTTTATATAATTTCCAAAATTCCCCTCATTATTAATTTCTAATTTTATTCCACTGGAGTCAGAGAAGATGCTTGATATTATTTCAATGTTTCTGAAAATTTTAAGACTTGTTTTGTGACTTAACATATGGTCTATCCTTAAGAAAAATCCATGTGCTAAAGAAAAGAATATGTATTCTGTAGCCATTGGGTGAAATGTTCTGTAAATATCTACTAGGTCCATTTATTTGATAGTGCAGATTACGTCCTATGTTTCTTTGTTGATTTTCTCTCTGGCAGATTTGTTCGGTGCTGAAAGTAGGGTGTTGAAGGCTCTAGCTATTACTGTGCTGAAGTCTGACTCTCTCTTTAGCTCTAATAATATTTGCTTTATATAACTGAGTGCTCCACTGTTTGATGCATATGTATTTACAATTATTATATCTTCTTGCTGAATAGACTCTGTTATCATTATATAATGACCTTCTTTGTCTGTTCTTACGGGTTTTGTCTTGAAGTCTATTTTGTCTAAGAGGAGCTACTCCTCTTTGGCTGGGCACGGTGGCTCATGCCTTTAATCCCAGCACTTTGGGAGGCTGAGGTGGGTGGATCACAAGGTCAGGAGATTGAGACCATCCTGGCTAACATGGTGAAACCTCATCTCTACTAAAAATACAAAAAATTGGCCACGTGTGGTGGCGGGCGCCTGTAGTCCCAGCTACTTGGGAGGCTGAGGTAGGAGAATGGCATGAACCCAGGAGGCAGAGCTTGCAGTGAGCCGAGATCGCACCACTGCACTCCAGCCTGGGTGACAGAGAGAGACTCCATCTCAAAAAAAAAAAAAAAAAAAAAAAGAATAACTACTCCTCTTTTTCGGTTTCCATTGACATGGAATATCTTTTTCTATCCATCTATTTTCAGTCTATGTGTGTTTTTGGTTGTTGTTGTTATTGTTGTTGCATTTTGGTTTTCTTTTGAGATGGGGTGTCACTCTTGTCACCCAGGCTGGAGGGCAGTGGTGCAATCTCAGCTCACTGCAACCTCCACCTCCCAGTTCAAGCGATTCTCTTGCCTCAGCCTCCCAAGTAGCTGGGATAATAGGTGCCCACCACCACGCCCAGCTAATTTTCTTGTATTTTTAGTGGAGACAGGGTTTCACCATGTTGGCCAGGCTGGTCTCGAACTCCTGACCTCAGGTGATCCACCCGCCTCGGCCTCCCAAAGTGCTGGGATTACAGGCATGAGCTACCATGCCTGGCCATCTATGTGTGTCTTTATAGGTTAAGCGTGTTGTTTGGTAGGCAACAGATGGTTGAGTCTTGCTTTTTCATCCATTCAGAGGCTCTGTGTCTTTTAATTGGAGAGTTTAGTCTATTTACATTCAATGTTATTAATCCTAAGTAAGGACTTATCCTGCCATTTTGTTATTTGCTTTCTGGTTATTTCTGGTCTTCTTTCTTTTTTATTTCCTTGCTGTCTTCCTTTCAGTGAAGGTGATTTTCTCTGGCGGTATGATTTAATTTCTTGATTTCTATTTTTTGTGTATTTGTTTTATGTTTTTCAATTTGCGGTTACCATGAGACTTGCAGATACTATCTTATAACCCATTATTTTAAGCTGAAAACAGCTTAGCACTGTTTGCATAAATAAAGAAACAAAGAGAAAACTAATATAAATTCTACACCTTAACTTTGTCCCCTTGCTTTTTACTTTTTATTGTTTCTCTTTACATCTTACTATACTGTTTAGTATAGTATTGAAACTATACTATACTATAGTATAGTATAGTATAGTATAGTATATACTGTTTAGTATATATTGAAAAGTTGTCATAGTTATTATTTTTTATTGGTTGATTGTTTAGTCTTTCTCCTTAGGATAAGAGTAATTTACACATCACAGTTACAGTGTTATAATATTCTCAATTTCTCTGTGTACTACCACCAGTGAGTTCTAAACCTTCAGATGATTTCTTATCGCTCATTAGTTTCCTTTTCTTTCTGATGAAGTACTCCTTTAGCATTTCTTGTAGGACAAGTCTGGTGTTGATGAAATCCCTCAGCTTTTGTTTGAGTGGAAAGTCTTTATTTCCCCTTCATGTCTGAAGGATATTTTCACCAGATATACTATTCTAGGATAAAAGTTTTCTTCCTTTAGCACTTTAAATATGTAATGCCACTCTCTCCTGGCCTGTAAAGTTTCTATTCAAAAGTCTGCTGCCAGACTTATTGAAACTCCATTGTATATTATTTGTTTCTTTTCTCTTGATGCTTTTAAAATCCTTTCTTTATCCTTGACCTTTAAAGTTTGATTATTAAATACCTTGAGGTTGTCTTCTTTTGGTTAAATCTGCTTTGTCTTCTATAACCTTCTTGTACTTGGATATTAATATCTTTCTCCAGGTTTGGGAAGTTCTGTGTTATTATCCCTTTCAATAAACTTTCTACCCCTACCTCTCCCTCCTCCTTAAGGCCAATAACCCTTAGATTTGCCCTTTTGAGGATATTTTCTAGATCCTATAGGCATGCTTCATTATCTTTTATTCATTTTTCTTTTGTCTCCTCTTACCATGTATTTTCAAATAACCTGTCTTCAAGCTCACTAATTCTTTCTTCAGGTTGATCAGTTCTGCTATTAAAACACTCTTATGCATTCTTCAGTATGTCAGATGCACTGTTCAGCTCCAGAATTTCTGCTTGATTCTATATAATTATTTCAATCTCTTTGTTAAATCTATCTGATACAATTCTAAATTCCTTCTCTGTGTTAGCTTGAATTTCTTTGAGTTTCTTTAAAACAGCCATTTTGAATTGTCTTTTGGAAAGGTCAGATATCTGTATTTCTTCAGGATTGGTCCCTGGTGTCTTATTTAGCTAATGTGGTAAGGTCATATTTCTGTGGATGATCTTGATGCTTTTGAATGTTTGTTGGTGTCTGGGCATTGAAGAGTTAGGTATTTATTGTAGTCTTTGCAGTCTGGGCTTATTTGTACCCAACCTTCTTGGAAACGCTTTTCAGGTATTTGAAAAGACTTGGATGTTGTGGTCTAAGCTGTATCTGCATTAGAGGGCACCCAAGCTCAGTAAGACTGAGCTGACTTGTTGGTCTTGGATAAGGTCAAGAAGAATTCTGTGGATTGTCAGGCAGAGAATCTCACTATCTTTCCTTACTTTCTCACAAACAAATGGAGCCTCTCTCTCTCTCTGTAGTGAGCTGCCTGGACCGGGGGGTGGAGTGACACGAGCACCCCTGTGGCCACCACCACTGAGACTGCTGAGTCAGACCTGAAACCAGCACAGTGCTGGGTATCACCCAAGGCTTCCTATAACCACTATCTGGCTACCACCTAGGTTTGCTCAAGGCCCTAGAGCTCTGTGATAAGCAGATGGCAAAGCCAGCCAGGCTTCAGGACACTGAGTGCCCCCAGGCCCCAGGAGGGTCAAAAGGTGCTTTCCAGGAGCCAGGGACTGGAGTCAAAAACCTTAGAAATCTACCTAGTGTTATATTACACTTCAGCTGAGTTGGCCCTTAAACCATGAGATGTAGCCCTCCTCGCTCTTCCTTCCCCTTAGCACAGGTAGAGGAGACTCGCCTGGTGGCTGCCACCACCACAGGCCCATGGGAGTACCTCTGGGCTACTACTGATATTCCCTTAAGGCCAAACGGCTCTTCAGTCAGCTTGCGGTGAACACTGTCAGGCCTGGCACTCACTCTTCGGAGCAGTGGGCTCCCCTCTGGGTCGGGGCAGGTCCAGAAATGCCATTCAAGAGCCAAGCTCTGGAATTGAAGACCTCAAGAGCTCACTTGGTATTCTACCCCTCTGTAGCCAGGCTGGTACCTAAGGTGCAAGATATAGTCCCCTTTAGTTTTCTCTCTGGTTTCTCAAGCAGAAGGAGCCATAGCTCCATAGCCACCCCTGCTGGGAATGTGCTGGGTCTCATCTGGAGCCAGTAAGTCTCAGAATCTCACCCAAGGCCCACAGAATAATACCTGGGTGTCACTGCTGGTTATGCATGGCCTAAGGGCTCTTTAGTCATCAGGCAATGGTTCCTGCCACAATGGGGTTCTTCCCTACAAGGTAGAGGGGTCCCCTCTGTCCCAGGGTGTGTCTAGAAATGTGGTCCAGGAGCTAGGGCCCAGAAAGGAGGCCTCACAACCCTGACTGGTGGGTACCTGTCCATCTTACTGTGGCCGAGCTGTTATCCAAGATGCAAGACAAAGTCCTCTTTACCCTCTCCTCTCTGCAAGGGGAATGAAAGGATCTCTTTCAGAGCTGTAAGCTGTGCTGCCTGGGGTTGGGGGAATGGCGCAAGCACTCCCTTAGCCACCCTGGCTGGTGTCTTAGTAGGTTGTATGCCTTTTAAGTCCACTGGCTTCGAACCCAGCTTAGCACTAGGACCTGTCCAAGGACCTGTCCGGGAATCACAGGCCTCGCGGCCTAGATTGCCTTTCAAGTTTATTTGGAGCTCCCCCTTTAGCCCATGGTGGCAAGGCTTGCCAGACTCAAGTTCTGACTGCTGGGACAGGCAACTCCCCTCTGGCTCAGGCTAGTCTAAAGGCTCCCTCTGTGGGTAGGTGTCAGCTGAGTTCAGCCTGGTTTTGCTTTCCACGGTGACAGGGAAGCGCTAAGTTCATGTGATGTCTCACCGACACTGCGCTCTCCTTTCCCCAAGTGCGTAGATTCTCCATGCCCTGCAGCTGCTGCTGGAGGATGGGGGAAGGGTGGCCTCGGTGATTCAAGACCCTTTCCTACCTGCTTCGCTGCCTCTTTCAGCGATTAGAAGTTTAAACCAGACACTGTGAGTGCTCACCTGATTTTAAGCTCTATGAAGGTGCTTTTCTTGTGTAGATGTTGAGGTTGGTGTTCCTGCTGGGGAGATGGTCAGTAGGGTCTTCTTTTCAGCCATCTCCCTCCACCGGTTCCTTTACCACATTTTAAAGCCAACATTTAGTTAAAACTTCACTACCTCTTGTTTCAACTGCAAGTTCATATCCTTTTATCATTTAACTAATGCATGTTTATGTTTCTAACTTGGATGATTTTTAAACATAACATTCTTGTGTGCCATTATCCTCAAATCTATTGATGCTTTTAGCAGTTTAAGAAAGAAAATCTTGTACATGGCTTTTTCCTTAAAATTTTTTTGAAAAAAGAAAGAAAGAAAGAGAACCTAAGAAAGAGAACCTTTGAGATTTGGGGAAAAATAGTCTTTAAAATATTTTTAAATAGAATTATTTTGGGTTATAATGTGGTATGGATTTAAATTGACCTTCCTCCCAAATATAAAAATAATTATTCAATAATGTTTATTTTATATAAATATGCATTATATATAATATATAAAAATATATAAAACATATTTTTATATAGTACGTATATAAAATATCCCTTTTAATAGCATAATTGTGTGATATCTTGTTTAGGATATGCTAACTGGTTATGTAGGGAATTCTCTCTTCTGAGGTTATCTGTTCTCTTCCAGTGTTTACATAACTATCCTTTAGTAAGCCTTTTGAGAACCAAAAACACACGTAACACTTTCTTTTATTTTCCAGTGTTCTGGCCAGGAAGCAGTCAGTAAATGTTTATTGTTGTTGAAACTGAAATAAAACATGGAGAAGACAAAAATATCTTATATTCCACTTTGTGTCCTTAATTATGTTAAGAATAACACAGAACAGGCCGGGCGCGGTGGCTCACGCCTGTAATCCCAGCACTTTGGGAGGCCGAGGCGGGCGGATCACGAGGTCAGGAGATCAAGACCCTGCTGAAACCCTGCCTCTACTAAAAAATACAAAAAAAAATTAGCAGGCGTGGTGGCGGCGCCTGTAGTCCCAGCTACTCAGGAGGTTGAGGCAGGAGAATGATGTGAACCTGGGAGCCGAGCTTGCAGTGAGCCGAGATGGCACCACTGCACTCCAGCCTGGGCGACAGAGCGAGACTCTGTCTCAACAGAAAAAAAAAAAAAAGAATAACACGGAGCATTTTCCTCCATTAAGCAGCAAAAACACTGATCATGTGATAATCATGTGATAATCTCTGAATTATAAATGAGTCTTACAGGTGCATGCAGTTGCTGTTCAACATTCAGATTGATTTGAGGGCTTCCCAGTGTAATGGCTGGGAAAGAATATGGTTAGAAGATTTGGTAAAGACTCAGGGGAAGAGCCTGTGGGATAAAAAAAATCATTAAAGTTTTAAAAGTTTTGATGCAAAGAAGGAAAATACAAGACTTGAGGCAATGAAGATAGCTAAGAACCACTCATTGTGTTTTCCTCACATTTCAAAGATGAACATGAATACTAAGGTAAAAACATTTAAGAGTTTATTTAATTCTTATCACTTTCTTATTGTTTCTATTTTTTAAAATCTTTTCCTTTTTCATGAAGTATTTAGTAGTAAAAACTCTTTAAACTCAAAATAAATTCTAACTCTTGGGGACAAGAGGGTGAAAGAGAAACTAACTAAAATCTAGTAAGATGAGAATGTGAGTGGAGGAATGGCTGCTGATAACAAAGAGTGGGCCAGACAGACCCGTCACTACAGCCCAGGAGCACAGTAACGAAAGGAGTCTTTGGACCAATGCCAGAGCGGGAGTGGTGCTGAGCCCTGTGAGCCAGCAGGAGGATGAGGTGCCTGTTTGAGATCAAGGTGCTATTTCTCTTCCATGATGAAGTGCTCTCCTTCTGTGTCCACCTCTTTTTACCACCCACTTTAGCATTTTCAGCTAGGTGGATGTGTTTACCTCTTAGAAACCAGTTTGGAGATTTCTCAAAGAATTTAAAAGAGACCTACCATCTGACCCAGCAACTCCGTTACTGGGTATATATCCAAAAGAAAACAAATTGTTCTACCAAAAAGACACATGCCCTTGCATGTTCATCACAGCACTATTCGCAATAGCAAAGACATGGAATCAAGCTACGTGCCCATCAGTGGTGGACTAGATAAAGACAATGTGGTATGCATATACCATGGAATACTATGCAGACACAGAAAAGAATGCAATCATGTCTTTTGCAGCAACATGGATGCAGCTGGAGGCCATTATCCTAAGTGAATTCATGCAGGAACAGAAAACCAAATACCACATGTTCTTGCTTTTAAGTGGGAGCTAAACATTGGGTACTCAAGGATATAGAGATGGCAACAATAGACACTAGGAACTATTTGAAGGGAGAGGGAGGAAGGGGGACAAAGCCTGAAGAACTACATATTGGGTACTATGCTCAGTACCTGGGTGATGGGGTCATTTGTACACCAAGCCTGCCACCTATGAACACCCAGGCACACCCATGCCATAAACCTGCACATGTACTCCCTGAATCCAAAATAAAGGTTGACATAAAAAAATAAAAATCTTGTGGAGTGATACTAACTCTAGCAAATAATCTTTAACTGTATGGCTCCAAGTTCCACACAGTCAATGAACTTAAATGTCCCACACATTGCTTCTGGGAGGATTTATGGAAAGGCCTCATAGACAATCCAAATGTAGTGTTTGCAAAGCCAAGTTTATTATTCTTCCCACTCTGCACCAGCTACTTCTTCTATATTCTCTTTCTTAACTAACAACTTCAACATCTACACAATCACTCACACAAGAAATCCTGTAGCTTCCCAAGTTGTCTGTTCTATACCCCAAATTCAAGTGTTCATACCCCACATCCATGCCAGTCCCACCTTTGCTGAAATGTCTCTGAGTTCAGTCTTACTATGGCTCCTATTAAGTTGGGTCCTTGCCTGGAGGATCACACTAAGTGCCTGTTTTGCTCATCTTATTCTTTTCCATCTCTGATCCATTCTCCTTTCAACTGGATATATATTAAAAAAAATACATCTGATATTGATAGACTATTTTAAAATAACCATTAATGTCACTACTTTGTCTGTTGGATAAAATCCAAAATGTTACCCAGCTATTTTCTTAACCTCATGTAGTTTAAACTTGGACCATGCTAGGATATTTCCCTTCTGCAAATATGCTATTCAGTGTCAGTCTTCCATGACTATATGATGAGATTAAAAATTCATCAAAGTAGAGTCAATCCTGCTGTGTTTTTTTTCTCCCAAACAGTCTTTAATGCTGCGTAACATTCTTGAGTTTTTTTGCAGTAATGGTGTTTGCACATTTCAGAAACACATACCAATTGAAGACAGAACTACGGTGACTTCTTCATCCTAGTGCTTTCCTATGCCTTCTGTGAAATTTATTATTGTGGTTTTGCACACAGCAGGTGTCCAATAAAAGTGTTTTATTGAATTGAATACTGCTTTCTATTCTTCTAAAATATTCCACTTTGATCACTGGCTGTCACCTATTCTCTACAAGCCTTGGCACTATAAAACCTATATGTATACGCATAGAAAATAACCCGAACACTGCTCTGTGCAGTGGCTCACACCTGTAATCCCATCACTTTGGGAGGCTCAGGTGAGTGGATTGCCTGGGAGGTGGAGGCTGGTGGATGGCCAGACCCCAGGAGTTTGAGACCAGGCTAGGCAACATAGCAAGATCCCATCTCTACCAAAAATACAAAAAAATTAGCTAGGTGTGGTGGTGCGCACCTGTAGTCCCAAATACTCAGAAGGCTGAGGTGAGAGGATCGCTAGAGCCAAGGAGGCGAAGGTTGCAGTGAATGCGCCACTGCGCTCCAGCCTGGGTGACAGAGCCAGATCCTGTCCCTCTCCCCACCTCAAAAAAAAAAAAAAAAAAAAGAAAGAAAGAAAATAACCTAAGCAGTACACAAAAAGTTGTTAACTGTGGTTACTTCAGGAGGGAAAGATTGGGTAGAGAAGGGCAGAGGGAAACTTGAACTTTTCACTGTATAATCTTCTGTAGAGTTTAGAATATTATACTATTCATTTTATAATAAAATAAAGCAAATGAAACTCCTCAGCCCCATGACAAAACCCATCACCTTTGTTTAAAGATAATCCCACGACAACTTAATGTTGATTCAAATGTACAAGTCAAGAGTGGAGAATTATTCTATTTTCTCTTTTTTAAAATAAAAAAGTTTTATCATGTCAAATTCTAGGCGAATAGCTGTCATGAGAAGGCTTTAAAATTTCTTCTTGGGCCAGACGTGTTGGCTCACGCCTGTAATGCTAGCACTTTGGGAGGTCGAGGCAAGCCAATCACCTGAGGTCAGGAGTCTGAGAGCAGCCTGGCCAACATGGTGAAACCTGTTTCTACTAAAAATGCAAAAATTAGCTGGGCATGGTGGCGTGCACCTGTAATCCCAGCTATTTGTGAGGCTGAGGCAGGAGAATTGCTTGAACCTAGGCGGTGGAGGTTGCAGTGAGCCAAGATCCTGCCACTGCACTGCAGCCTGGGCTCTTGGAGGTATACATAAAATGTTATTTCAGATTTTAAAACAGAAAACAAGAAAAAAATGGAACACATATTGTGTCCCACTTGCTGTAATTGTTGAATATTTAAAAGATTTTTTGATTTTTAGAATAACAATATCATTTGAATCACTTCTGTTTAAGAATTTTGTTTTAGTTCTTCCAATAGTTGAGAAGAAACTAATTCTAGTTAATATATTTATCCCAAGATACATCCAATCATTCCTGTCATAATTTTACACACTAGTTATTTAGAAATATATAATAATCAATATATCCATAGTTTAAAATGCATAAACAGTAAGATCATATAACTCATGTTACACAGAACAGAGTTAATGAGCCATAAACCTACCTTGTATGAAAGTGATGGCTTCAGATGGGTCGTATA
Source organism: Homo sapiens (assembly GCF_000001405.40). Taxonomy (NCBI): domain Eukaryota; kingdom Metazoa; phylum Chordata; class Mammalia; order Primates; family Hominidae; genus Homo; species Homo sapiens. The sequence goes on along the minus strand of NC_000004.12, from coordinate 187,793,490 downwards.
CATAATTTGTAACTTCAAGGATATGACCTTTCTTTTTCCTTTTACCATATGATAATTAGAGTTGTATGAAATATAAATTATTCTTTTCATTTATTGTGCATGTTGAAGAATTACATTTTGTAAAATCCCTTGGGATCTTACTGTTTTCCAGACAGCTACAGTGGGTTAGAAAAGATGATTCTAAGAGCAGCTTTAACTCCTTAGAAGTCAACACTAATCCCCTGAGAGCAAATATGGAAAGAAGATGGCAAATTGGGATATTACCAACAAAGCGTGGGTATTTTCACTAGGCACACAACATACAACTTAACTAAAGAAGTGTTATTTTCTTCCCCAGGATACTCTTCCTTATTTTAGAAACATAAAGAACATCATTTCTAGGATTTTTATTGGGCTAATACAAAAACAAACAATTGTAAGTCTGACTTCTTTCCTATCTTAATTAAAGTAGAAGTTAGGTTCTTGAAAGAAATAATTTTATTTAACTTCAAACTTGGAAAAATGTACTCTAGACCCATGTTATCTTGTTATTCTTTATTGCACTGTACTTTTCATGTTTCTACAGTTTTGCATTAATGCACAAAATGTGTCTTCGTAAGTACTCTTCAGAACTGAAATTTTCTCTGCATTAAACTAGAATCATTAATATAACAGTTTCTGGTGAATACATAATACTGGATATGAACTGTATTTGTTTTAGTAATTTGTTCTTCCATCTGATATAAAGCATTTGCATGAAAATATTTATCACCACAAAAATATGAAATAAAAATCATGTTCTTTATGTTGAGTTAAGCTACAAGAATAAACAAAGATTTGGTCCAACAGGAAAATGTGTACTTTTTCGTCACAGAGTGAAGATTTGTCACAAACAAACCTGATGTCAATACATACATGTATCTGAAATGACTAGCTTATATTTTCTTTTCTTGCTAAAAAAGAAAAAAAACATTTATCTCATTGTTTTTGTTTTCTGTTACTCCTTTTTTTCAATTAAAGATGTCATTGACACCTAAGAAACTGCAGGTATTTAAAGTACAAAATCTGGTAAATTTTGTCATGTGAATAAACACATAAAACCATTAACACAATCAAGAAAGTGACCAGACCCAACTCATGCTCTTAAAATAAAATAAAATTTTATAACAATTTTTTATGGTGCATTAACTTTCACATCTATAGTACATTGTAAACATGCAGGGAGTGTGGAGTACAACGTCATTATACATTTCATCCCAAGTGTCCTGCCTGCCACTGTCTCACCCCTAAACCCAAGACTACATTTGTCTTTATTTTAAATGTTTGAGGAACCAACCATCTGCTCATTTTCTGTAGATACAGACAGGCATTCTACTTAATGGTGTCCTTACGTGATGTATTACTTGGATAACACTAATGGGCAGAAAAAAAAAGTGGAGTTGATTAGAGAAAATAAACATTTTATTGAGTGGAAATCCAATAATAGATGTCATCTGTTTTAGTCACATTGTTTTCCTTATGTAGAAACACTGACAATATAAGGACCAAAATATGTGTTTCAGTTTCTTACCTTTAAAATTTTCCTCTGAATTTCAAGGGAAAAGAATAAGGCTAACAGAGGCAGACTGACTGCCTGTATGGAAAATTTTACTTACCAAGGGATTATTTCATCATAACATGAATACTAGAAAATATCAAACACATTATTTTACATTATGAGTAGTGGGATAATGTAATGAGACCTTTACTGAATCTGAAAGCAAAAGACCTGTGTCTTCGGCTAACTTTTACTGTCTATGTAACCATGGGCAAGTTACTTTATTCCTCAGGGGTTCAACTTCTTCATCTGTAAAAGAGGTGGATGAACTAGATTAGAGATTAACAGGTCTTTCTGTAAAGGGCTAGATAATTTTTTTTTTTATTATACTTCAAGTTCTAGGGAATATTTTTACTTTGTAGACCATATGGTCTCATTTGCAACTGGTCCACAGTGCCATCGTAGGACCAAGGCAGCCATAGACAACATTTCAACAAATGAGTGAATAAACATGAGAATGGCTGTTACAATAAAATCTTATTTACAAAAACAGGCAATGGGCAGTAGTTTGCTGACCCCTGAACTAGATTTCTAAAATTCCTTTCAGCTATAAATTCTGGTTATTTCATAAAGAATATGCTTACTTTTCTAGTGTTGAAAGTTGGCATAAAATTATATCACTGTAAAAGACCCCAAGAGGTGATTAGTTTTTCTATCTACTTCAGGCAAAATTACATTTAAATTACCAATGAAGACAGCTGTCCAATCATCTACTACTAGTAAAAGGATGAATATTTCCTTACTTTTTAAAAATAAAGTCATTGTATAATAGGTAACATATCTGAAGCTGGTGTAAGGTTTTGGAAATATCTTTAATGGCTTTAGATTGAATATCTTGCCATATTAAAAATCGACTTTACACATGATAAAAGATAGAAGAATGATATATCTTTTTTTCCATTATTCTTATAGCTTCAAATCCTAGGAAATCATTCTTCCCCCAATAGATCTAAACATTATAAAATTTTTCTTCCATACAAAGAAATTGTCATAAATTATTTTTTCAGATATGGAATAGAGATGAATAAATCAAGAAACATAGCTCCATCAGCTCTTCAGGCTTTTTACTATTTATCTTTTTCATTTAGGTTATTTTATGAGCTTTATAAACGAAACGTAAAAAGTGCCTTAGATGATGTAGTAGTCAGAGATTTCACGTAGCAAAAACTACTGGAACCATCTAATTTTTGAAAAAACAACATTTATGATAATTGTTGCTTCATGGTTTCAAAATCATTGATATAACTATTTTAATTTAAATTAGCTAAAAATTGCAATATATTATATGACACAGTACATCAACTAAAGTTAGCATTAAATTTTACTTCTCTATTTTCTGCCTCTAAATACAAGTAATGATTTATTTAGCTACCTTCTGGAAACAGTTTAATTTCTTTAAATTGTCTCTAGTACTTATTATATATTTTTGTTCTGATATTAATTGGATAAATGCAAACATAAAGACACATTAAAACTCAAAAAGGACAAATATTTCTTAAGATTAGTGTTTACATTTACTTTAGGCCCACAAATATTTGTATGAGTCATAAAAAGACTGATAAAAAATACTTACTGGAAATCATTCCCATTTTCTTCTTCAAAGTCTTCCTTCAAACGCCCATTCTGTGCTGAGAACACATGGAAACATGGAGGGTGGGGGCACAACACACACTGGGACCTGTTGGGAGTGGGAGAAAGAGCATCAGGAAGAACCGCTAATGAATGCTGGGCATCATACCTAGGTGATGGGACCACCTGTGCAGCAAACCACCATGGTGCACGTTTACCTATGTCACAAACCTGCATATCCTGCACATGCACCCCTGAGCTTAAGATAATTGAAGAAAAAAAAAGTGTTCATTCTACTAATGTGGCATTCAAAACTCACTAGCTTTTATTAACTAATTTATGAAGCAGCTGGTAGTCTCAATGTCTGTTTGAGTCTGGCTGAGTCCAGGGTTTTTATGGGCTCAGAAGGGAGGAAATGCGTGCTGATTGGTCCATGGATGGCCATGGGCGGCCCAGAAAAAGCACCATAAGTTCTCACTCCTGGCCATAGACTCCACCTGGAGCTGGCAGCTTGGTCCCCAGGCTTCAGTCTGTCCCTGGCTTAAAGGTTGGGTTTCACTGGGGACCCACGCCTTTCCACCCAGGAGCCTGCCTCCTGCCACCATCAACATGCCATCCACAGCACTAAGGCTGTTCCTGCTGAGGGGCACCTGCAGGCCCATGCTGAGCCACCCTCAGCGTCCCCTCAGCCTCCCTCCCATGCTTGTTGACACCCAAAGTCCAGAGGGGGCTGAGGTGGCAGGGGGCTGGTGTGTCAGCGCTGCCCTGAGCGTACACATACATGGCCAGGTTGCCAAAGCACTTTGGCTCTGCCACAACTTTGCTCCAAAATTGGAGGCAATGGGAGCAGGGAAACACCAGGGAACAGGAGGAGGCAATTCCAAGTCTGTTGGTTGAGGGGGGCGGCTTCCTGGGCCACTGAGACCGCAGGGATGCCGAGTCCAGAGCCGTGGCTGGGTGGCTGCAGCTGTTCCCAGAGCACTGGGCTCCCAACCTGCCAACTTGGTAAGGGGTGGGGCTCCCACTTGTTCCCAACCTGGCTGACTCTGTGTAGCACGCAGCCCCGGCCACACCTCCCCCACTGCAGCTGGTGTCCCGCAGAGGCTGCTCCAGAAGGGCTGCCACCGCCATCACTGTGACTAGCATGCAGATAACACACAGAACATTGCCAGCATCTCAGAGCCATCCTGTGTCTCTGTTTTTTTTGTTTCGTTTTGTTTTTTTGTTTTTTTGAGTCAGATTTTCACTCATCCCCCAAGCTGGAGTGCAGTGGTGTGATCCTGGCTCACTGCAACCTCCACCTTCTGGGTTCAAGCAATTCTCCTGCCTCAGCATCCCTAGTAGCTGGGATTACAGACATGAGTCACCAGGCTAATTTTTTGTATTTTTAGTAGAGACAGGGTTTCACCATGTTGGCCAGGCTGGTCTCGAACTCCTAACCTCAGGTGATCCACCCACCTTGGCCTCCCAAAGTGCTGGGATTACAGGCATGAGCCACCGCACCCGGCTCATCCTGTGTCTCTTTGAATCACTTTTCCCCAGGGGGAACAACTATGCTGACTTCTATCACCATGAATTTGTTTTGATTGCTTTTGAAATATATATAAATTAAATAATACAAAATGTATTATTTGGGTCTAACTTATTTTGCCTACTATGATTTTAGACTCATCAGCACTGCTTTGTATAGATGTAGCTTGTTAATTGTCATTGCTGTATTGGATTTCATTGTATGACTATAGCACAATGTATTTATCCATCCTATTGTTGACTCTCATTCAGTTTTCTATATATATGTATATACACAAACCCACAAACATACATACATATTTGGTGGACATAAATATCCACTTCTGTTGCACATATTTTAGATGTGAAATTGCCAAGAAATAGGAGATACATATGGTCATTTCTAGTAGACACGGCCAAATGCTTTTCCAAAGTTTTGCCTGAGAATTCTAGTTGTTCTACATTCTTACCAACATTTGGTATTACCTGTGTTTTTCATTCTAGACATTTGGCAAATATGTAGTGGAATCTTAATATGATTTTAATTTTAATTTCTCTGACGAAGAATAAAGTTTTGATATATTTATTGGTCATTTGGATATACTCTTCTTAAGTGCTGGTTCAGTCTTGTGCCCATTTTTGTCAATTCTCTCTAAACTGATCTGGAATTCCACACAATCTCAATCCTATATCTTAGCAGGGTGTGTATGCATGTGTGTTTACATAAATTAACAAGCTCATTTTGTAATTCCTATGAAATTGCAAATGATCAAGAATAGTCAAGGAAAACAGAATTTAGCTGGAAGATTTACATTTTTAGATATAAATGCCAATTATAAAGGTATAGTAATTAAATCTTAACTATGTATGCCAATGGCTAAAGCCAACGGAAAAGAGTAGAGAATCTAGATTTATGACAAAAAAGGCAGTGGGAGAAAGGATGACCCTTTCAATAAATGGCTGTAGGTCAGTTGGAAATCAATACAAAAAATGTATTTTGCTTCTACCTCACAATACACACAAAAATAATTCCAGATCTAAAAATGAAAGATTAAACAGTGATGTTTTTATAAGAAAAAAATAGGAGAATATCTTTCTGACCTTGAAGCAGCCAAATATTTTTAAACATGTAGAATAGATAGAATTTGCTGTTGTCAAGATATAAGTTTCAGAGAAAAATGTCTCAAGGACAACTCCAGAGCTTTAGGACTGTGTACTAAGAAGCAAGAGATGTCATCTATTGTGATAAGAAAGACTGCAGCATGAACTATGGTTGAGTGTCCAAGTCAAAAGTGTAGTATTGAAGAAGTTACATTTGAGATACTTATTATATATTACACCATTATAATAATATTATTATATTATAATATTTCTGAAGAGAAGTGAAGCAGACAGTTGAATATATGAGTCACATTTCATGGGAGAGGTCCAGGCTGGAGATGGAACTTTAGTAATTGTCTGAGTAGAGATTTATTTTACTACCAAGAGTTAAGAGAAGAGGGTCAAGGACTGAAAAATCAGCATTTTATTGAAAAATAATGTGCAGAAGACCCAAATGGAAATTCTAACAAGGTTGGGAACAAAGCAGACTTTTAAATATTATGTTGGCAAGGACATTGTTAATTTGCACATTACAGATAAACCTTATGTGTGTCAGGTGTAGTATTTACCCCATTTTAAGGATGTGCAAACTGAGGCTCAGATGTGTTTAAAATTTAAACTGAGGTCTCTCTGACCCTATGCTCTTTATCTTTTTCTTTATATCCATAATGCTTTCTGCCTCAAGAAAGACCTATGTCCTCATTTCCAAAATCTTTTCAACAAGAAATGGTCAAATGAAACTTATAAACTCTAACTTTTTATGACCTACTTAGTATTAAATAAAATTTGAGATTACCTTCACATTATGAAAAGATGTTTACTGAGGAAACTTAAAGTGTTCTTTAAGCAGAAAGCGGCTCACAAACAGCTTCATTGTGGTGGAATTCCAAGGTGAACTTGCATCCACATGCTGTTCTCAGTCACGTAGCACAAGTGTATAGTTTGTAGTTGGAGACGGATGCCTGTTCGCTCTCTGAACAGTAGAAATACAACTGGGACTACATCTCCATTTAGAAAGTGTGGTAGGCAAGGTCTATGAAATAAGGAGGGTTGGAGGTAAGGAGAAAAGGAATTTTTTGATAGAACACTCTTTGATTTACTAATAGTGGAAGCTAGGTACAGTGGGATTTTAAGTTAAATGACTAACTTAGAGATATGTTCCTATGGAGCTCATTAAAATATCTCTGGGTTTATTATAGTGTGAAGTCCTTTATGTGTTGAGCATGTTAAAGAAAATTACTTCACTACATCATTTGGTGTTCCTACACTAAATGATATTAAATGAATGATAAATAATAAAAAATAAAAATAAATAATAAAATAAAAATAAAAATAAATAAATGATAATAAATAATAAAAATAAATACAATAAATAAATATAAATAAATGATAAATAGTGTAAGTACACACATTCAGGTACTGGGCTACCTAGGTTCAAATCCTGACTCTGACACTTACTAGCACCATGCTCTTTGACAAGATACTTTCTCTCTGTGCATTCTCTTCATCTGTAGAAATAGGAATCATAATAGTATGTTATGATTATCACCATCATTATTATTAGGGTGGATTTGAGGACTAAACACATTTGCATGTATATAGCATGTAAATGGTGTGTGGCACATAATAAGCTATGTGATAAATTTATGCAAATATAATATAATATAATCTGTGTAATAAGCTAATAATGTCTATTAAGATGAAATTAATGGCAATAAGAAATAATCTTGTGTCGTAAGTCTTTTCTGTGGCCAGAGCATGTTTTGCTTTTGTTTAGAGCTATTTGAGAAGAGCTGCAAAAGAAGAAAAATCCATATTTGTACTGCTTGTCTTATCATCAATCAAAGGATATTCATTAATTGTCTCTCCATTGTGCCTCGTCTTATCATGATAAACTCAGACAACAGCATTTATCATCCATTCCCTGTGTGCAGGTGTAGAAGGAAGTACTTATTAAATGTTCACTTTCACACTGTGTCAGATTCTTTTCAAAGTGAGTAAAAAAGCAGAGACCCTATTCTGAAATAAAATCATGATTTACAGTTGTGTAAGGATGAAGGTATTGCGGCTTTGAAGAGCACCCTGCACAGTGTGAATTGCAACTTATAATTGATGCTAGACATATTCTTCCTATTACTTAGCACGTACAATGATACTTCTCTAGACAAGTTAGCAGCATTATACTGTCCAGGGGTAATGCTCTTGAGACTAAAATATTGATAGGCTCAGTTAGTCTTCCATTCTCTACAAATAGAAGCGCCCACAGTCCAGGACTTTCTTATTGTTATCTGTTGTTCTGCTTTATCATTTTAAGAACCAATTAGTTAGAATAGATGCAATGCTGGCTAAGGTGCAGACGGATGTGGAATGAAACAGGGCAGAGCAAAGGGGATTTCCGAAAGGCTCTTTACATGCGGCTCTGAATATCACTGTCTGCCCGTATTTCAGGGGCTTTCTTCAACACTAAGGCTGAGATCATAGCTGGAGGCCAAACAGTGTCCATCATGACTTTGAGTTGAACTGAAGATCCATTGTAGATTATTAATAAGCATTACAATAACTACAATCCTGATGAATTTTTTGTACACAAGCCAAAAGACCTTGATTTTATTTTTAACTGGTAGGAAAGCTAGACGAGTACTTCCTACTAAAACAGAAGAAGTTCCCTTATCCCCCCTCTCAGGGCATGTGACAGGGGCATGGCTTGCCCTGCTGCCCAAACCCCTACGGGGAGCATGCAGGCAGGCAGGTTGTGGGGAGCATTTCTGGGCTCCGACCCCATGGCAGTGTCTAGGGTTGAGTGTTTACAGCTCCCGAAGCCCCAGTGGGCACGTGTTACAGTGCACTCTTTCAGCTTTGTTGTCTGCAGAAGCTTGTATTAATCAGCTCGATTAGACCCTCTGCCTTATGGCAAGGACAGAGGGCTTTCTATATCCCGGGTTCTTGCTCTAGCGTATCAGAAAAATTGGATCATATGTGGGCTTGGAGGACAAGTGCTGGGTTTTACTGAGTGGTGGAGGTGGCTCTCAGTGAGATGGATGGGGAGCTGGAAAGGGGATGGAGTGGAAAGGTGGCCTTCCCCTGGAGTCGGGCTGCCCAGCACTGGACTCTTCTTCGACTGGACCTGGCCGAATTCCCCTCAGCATCTGTGTCGTTCCATTATCACTGGCCTGCTGATGTCTGCCAGTGTGTCTTCTTCTGCTCCTCTCAATGTCCAGCCACTTGTGTATGTGCCTGTTGGGTCCTGGGTTTTTATGGGCACAGGATGGGGGGTGTCGTGGGCCAAAGGGCAACTTTTTGGACACAAAATCAGAAATGCCTGTCCTCATTTGGGTCCGTGGGCACAGGCTCGAGAGTGAAGCTCTCACCAGGGACCCCATCTTTCTCAACCCAGCACTTTCCTGCTCCTTTCTCGTATCACTACTTAACATTTTTATTTATTTTTATTTTTTAATTTTGTCACCATGTTGCTCAGCCTGGTCTTGAACTCCTGGGCTCAAAGGATCCTTCCGCCTTGGTCTCCCAAAGTGCTGGGATTACAGGTGTGAGCCACCGTGTCTGGCTGTACTTAACTTTTTAAAATGCAAGATGTAAAACCGGCGAGAGTGGTACCTCTTCCTTTGTAATAAAAGCACAAAAATCTTCAGCTGAGATTCTTTCAAATATAACCTAATTTCTTATTTTTTTAACTTTTAAAATGCATTCACTCTATATACTAGATTTGAATTCAAGTATCTTTTGAAATAATTTTATCTTTCATAATTGATGTGAAAACTACTTAGGTCTAAAACTCAGAAATATCTGACTAGGATTCCAATAGAAATACTAATTTGCTACAAAATTTGCCAGAAGCCCCTATGCCCAAAGAAGAAATTTAAGTACATCCTCCTAGATACAATCAACCCCTCCCCAGAGCTTCTAATCTGCATGTTAAAAACCTTGCTGACTAGAGAGTATGTTTTCAGTTGGATTCCGTTGAGTGAAATGGATTCTACTGAACCCATTTATTTATCCCTTCCTTCATTCGAAAAATATTTAGTATTTACCTATTATATACCAGGCACTGTTCAAGGGACTAGGAGTAGAATGGTAAGAAAACATACCAGGTCTTAGTTATCATAATGCTTCCAGGATGAAGGAGAGTGGTCATGTCAGTAACCAAATACTTGAATAAGATAATTTCAGGTTCTGATTAATACTGTGAAAACAATTAAATAATGAATAGATGATACTGTAGAGGGTGCCTAGGGAAGGTGGAGCTGCTTTCTATAGCACTGCTGAGGAGGAACATTTGCACTGGGGGCCAAATGATGACAAGGAGCCAACTGTAATGATGTCTGGAGGACGAGTTAGTGTCATTGTTAGGATGTCTTTCATTTAATAAATATTTCTTAGAAGTCACAATTGGAGGACAAATTTATATGAATTTATTTTGGATTTCAAGAAATTTACAAGTTTATAAAAAGAAAAAATATATACATGTCATTGTTTATATACATACACATGTCCTTGGCTCAAAATTCAGCAACTCTTCAAATCCCCCAGCATTTGTGAACAGCATAAATTTTATAGCTATTTTGTACTAAAGAGAGAGGAACAAATCCCTGAATAATCTTTATCAGTCATGTCTTTCCTTCAAAATCTGGTCTTTGAACTGAAGGAAACCAGAATGTGTCACCTCAAAGTATGCCTCTTTGACATAAATATTGTTGAACTGAAGACAACTAAGATTCTCTAAGACAACTTAGATTCTCAACTAAGAGTCTCTGCCTTCCCTCTCTGTTTGCCTAAAAGCAGGACAGAGATTGATAGAAGAAAACATCTTTCCTATCCTTCCCTTGTTTTCTCACATAAACACGGATGTAAATTCTCCACTCCAACGCTCATCAGCTCAGAAATGGCTCAGAGGAATCTGTGAGCAGATTTTTACTTCGTTAGTGTATTTCCATATATTTACCTTCCCACAGTTTCTGGTGTTTGGAAGTCTGGTGCTGCTTTTCTTTGTCTTGTCACTTGTATAAAACTTATTGTTCTTTGTTTATGTAAGTCCTAGATCACTGCTTTGAGTTCCTTTTCTCACAGGTGATGTGCACTGCATGTGTTAATAAGTCACCTATTTTTCTTTTGTTAATCAGTCTCGTGTTACAGGAGTCTGTTCCAACTGTGAACTTGGGAGGATTGAGTTAAAATTTTTATTTTCTCTGCTTGATTTTGGTGATCTAGCCAAGAGATTCTGGCACACTCCACTTGCCCTGACAGCTGCAGATGTGATCCTGGGAGAAGTGGCAGAAGCTGGCAGAAAAAAGAGAATTTTTACCAAAGTGAGCTCTCTCGTATCTCTATGTGTAGTGCCTCGCTGAGAGAGAAAGGAAAAAAAAAACAAAACTCCTATTTTTTTTGTTTTTTAAATTCAAATTTGCAACAGAAAAAAATGATTTTGAAAAAATAATTAATTATTTGAATTGGTGACTCTTGTGGATTTGGTTTGGGCACCTGTTAGTTATTGATCTTTTTTTTTTTTTTTTTGTTGAGACAGAGTCTCGCTTTGTCGCCCAGGCTGGAGTGCAGAGACGCGATCTTGGCTCACTGCAAGCTCCGCCTCCTTGTTCATGCCATTCTCCTGCCTCAGCCTCCTGAGTAGCTGGGACTACAGGTGCCCACCACCACGCCCGGGTAATTTTTTGTATTTTTAGTAGAGAGGGGGTTTCACCATGTTAGCCAGGATGGTCTCCATCTCCTGACCTCATGATCCACCTGCCTCGGCCTCCCAAAGTGCTGGGATTACAGGCGTGAGCCACCAAGCCCAGCCTAGTTATTGATCTTTAGCCTTCCAGGAGGTCTTTGTTTTCCTTATCTCTGTCTTTTGTGTGGTTTGTCTTAAGGAGGAAAATTATGAAAATATCTTCCTTTTGTTTTTCTTTATGTTTTGAGAGTTTGGCTTTGTAACCAGCAAGGTGTTACAGAACTGGAGTCCACTCACCCAACACAGTAAAACCAGATATCCACACTGAGGTTGCAGTGGCAGAAAGGAAGTCATTTATTTTCAGGGTGCCAAACAAGCAGGACCAGACAGCTCATCTTCAAATCCTGGCCTCCCAAATGGTTTGCAGGCAAGAATTTTTCAAGGCAGGAGTAGAAGCTACAGGAAAAATCATAATTCAATACATGGAGGTTACATTGGTTCTGGCCTAAAAGGGTGGGAAATCCTGTAGCAAGGGCTTACAAGTCATGGGCACATTCAAAGATTTTCTGATTTGCAATTGATTAAGGAAGAGAAGCTTTATTTTAAAATTAGGGATCAGCAGAAAAGAATGTTAACCAGCTCATGGGTGTGACTCCCACCAGGCCTCTCAGGAAGACATTTGGGACAAAGAGTGGTGGTCACAGTTCAGCCTTCAGTTCTCCCTCATTTGAGGTCTACATGCCAGTGAATCTGTTCTGTGGGGATCCTGGTGGGGGTCCATGTTTCTGAAAGACAACTCAGGGACATATGTTAAGATGTCATCCTTAGTTTCCATAGGGAAAGCAAACATCTCCTGACCCCAGCTTCCTTGGCCATCGTTTCAGGCTACTATTATCTCCTTTAATAAGTTGTTTATTTACTTCTCAGGGCTAGCTATGTGCCTGGAATTTCCTTTGAAGGAACTCAAGATCTTTCCATATTTCCATGCTTTTTGGGGGGCTCTCAGGGCCCTAATAGGGGGTCCCTGCTGTGTCTCAAAGGTTAGTCTTTGTAGTATCTTGGGCCAGCCTGGGGATCACAAGTTGTTGTACTTATGCCGGCTAGCTAGAAGTCCAAACATTTGTCTCACCATGCCAGCTCTCAGGAGTTTGTCTTAATTGCCTCAACCTTCGTTACCTTGTTAATAATGAGAGTTTTTGCTTTCCTAGGGTATCTTAGGTAAAAACTTTAGATCTTGAGGGGCTGCATCTTTTGCACCCACTTTGGAACCTGATACTTGCATCTGTGGTTTTAAGTCATATAAAGGCTTATTGTTAGTAAAGGAGTGCAGGGAATTTTACTCTAAAATATGGCTCCCTGGTATAATCAGTATTTTGAATTACGGGCCCTTACAGATCAACAGATGCTGGCAGACCTTCCCCACCTACATAAAGACCACAGGGAGCAATTGTGTTTCCTTCCCCTCCATGTCATCTTATTATTTATTATAGAAAAGAAGACTGAAGAATGGAACCACACCTGACCAGACCCATTCACAAGATAATGTCCCTCTTTCAGGCTCAGTTTCCAAGGAGGATCATTTACAGGTTAATCTCTGCTCCCTGATCCGTTTGTTCTCTCTGGTAATCATTTATTGTCCCTACAATAAGTGGGGGAAGTCTTCCCTTGGCCCCTACATTAGTGATCCTTCCCCCTACACCTAATGGCAAGCTTGTCTTTCTCTTTGTCTTACTGACTATTGTCTTTATGACTTTGCATCCACCAAAGGCCCACAGGTTATTGGGCCTTTGTTTGCAGGCAGCCAGCCAAAAGGTTGGGAGACTTAAGAATGTCTCTGGAGGAAAATGTTTGTTGTACCCTATTTGTGGCTGGCAAAGGTTTTCTCGCTTTTGGCTGTTTTTTGGGAGGGTCTGTATTTTGAAAGGGATGCATATTTTTGCTCTTTTTTTGGAGATGTTAATTAAAGCCTTAAAGTCTTATTGGTTTTGTCTTAAGTATTAATTTTGCCTTGAGTCATTTTCCAGGTATACCTTTGGTTTGAAACTTCGTTCTTACAGAAACTTCTGTTTGCTTTTTTTGCCTTGTCTCCTTAGCTAAAATGGAACGATATATTCAGAAAAAAAAATATTAAAACATTTCAAAGGTAATTAAGTCTATATCTGGAACAGAAAGATCTTTTGATTTTCATCTTAGTTGAAAATCTGCTCCTTGATAGAGAGAAATAAGTTAAAGATAATATAGTTGGATAGATGGGACAGTCCCTTAAAATCATTCAGGCTGCCACCCAATTCTTAAGGGAATTAGAAGTACCTATTCTTAGGCCAGGCGCAGTGGCTCACACCTGTAATCCCAGCATTTTGGGAGGCTGAGGCAGGCAGATCACCTGAGGTTGTAGGTTCAAGACCAGCCTGACCAACATGGAGAAACCCAGTCTCTAGTAAAAATACAAAATTAGCCAAGTGTGGTGGCGCATGGCTATAATCCCAGCTACTCAGGAGGCTGAGGCAGGAGGAGAATCGCTTGAACCCAGGAGGCAGAGGTTGCAGTGAGCCAAGATTGCACCATTGCACTCCAGCCTGGGCAACAAGAGCAAAACTCTATCTCAAAAAAAAAAAAAGTAACTATTCTTGTCTTACAAATTGAGTCTTTACAAAAACAAAAATTTAATTGCTTTAAAGCAATTCAAAGAAAACCCCAAACCTCACCTATTCACCTCAGGATGTTATCTGATACTGAAAAGCATCAGGAAACAGGGCTCTCTTGCACTTTTTAAAAAAGGAATTTTGAATAGCAATTATCCTAGACCTTTAATAGGCAAATATACCTCCCCAAAATACCTTCTTGGTGAAAACTGTATTTCCCTGAGCCTTTGAGATATAAATTTCCTAATCAGTTTTACCAAGAAACCATCCCTTTTCAAATGCAAATTTCAGGGAACGAGAAGCTAGGAAGCAGAATTGTTTGCTGTTTGCCCCAGCTAAATTTGATAATAAAAATATTTGAAAAGAATATTTTTAATAAAGAGGTCTATGGTCAAAAGTTAGTTTAATTGGAAGCTGATATTCAGGCTATGCCTATCAATCTATCAATATATATTTTGAGGCATCTCTGTTCTTTCTAATGGATCTAACTGTCCTTTTATAGACTAGTAAGTTTTATACTATTATACCTGTCTCTTAACTAAAATTTAAAAATAAAAGCTACAAGATATTTGTTTGTGTCTATCTGTATGTTTGTGTATATTTATACATGTGTATATGTATACTTGCACATTATGTCTATATGATATAAAATCTCTTAAAATAGTCTATTTAATTGGCTAAAGACATAAATGAGTACTCATATAAAATATATGCTTAAAGATGATAAAATATAGGAACTAACCCAAATGCTTTCTAAGTTTATGTTACTTGGGTAAATCTTTGGTAAATAATACTAGTTTAATACTATTGGTTTAATTTAAGCAGACATATCTATCAGCAATAAATACACTGTAGACATACAACTTTTATTCTGAATCTGTTGATGACTCTCATGAGAGAGGAGAAAGGAAGAAACCAGTCAGGCAGGCAATTAGGGTGGGTCCCTGGTAAAACTCCTTCAAACCAAGAACAGCCTGAAAATCAAACTGCAGGCCCCAGATAAGAAGGAGCCAGCATCCTTGAATGGAAACACCTACTCTGTGAACCCAGATGAACAAATTCCACTTCCTTTTTGGACACATTTCTCTCTCCTTGGTGCACCTTAGTCTCTTACTTTTCACTTATTTTATATACGCCTACCTTTCTGTGATTGACAACAAGCTGAATCTTCATTTACATAGAGTGAATCATCACTTCAGCCACTGATTTGTCCCAGGCCAACGTCCCAGGCCAAGCCTTCACCTCTGCCTTCAATTGGCTGTTTACACTATCATACCTCTTTTTGAGTGGTGCTGTCTCCAAGACAGCTTGCAGACCAGTCAGCACACTCCTCTCACATTGCAGTCCATAAAAACCCCCAAACTCAGACTCATGGGTGGCTTTCGGGTCCTCTCTCTGCTAAGTGCTTTTCTATCATTTAGTAAATCTGACTCTGCCTCACTCTCTCTGGTGTCCATGTGCCTTATTCTTCCTTGTCATGGGACAAGAGCCTGGCGCTTGCCCATGGTGGGAATAAAAGAGCTGTAACACTCCCTCCCACTTGCCAAACAACAAGAGTGAAGAGCTGCAACACAGATTAACCAAGTCTACTTTTTAAACCACTATTTTGCTTTGGCCAAAATCTTGAACTGAAAACAACAAGAAAAGGTATGCTTATCTGACAATTAAAAATGCTTTGTCTGCAGTGCATGGATAAGAAAAATAACAACAATAACAACAAAACACCAACCCTGAAAATAACCTTTGAAAGCCATTTCTCACCTACACTAACTAGACAATTAAACAGACCTATAGACACAAGAAAAAAGAACTGTTACTGATTTCAAAAGCTTGCTGTAAGTTTTAAATTTTTTCTGGCCAAAACAGGGAAAAATAGGCTTCCAAATTAATAACGTGGTAGGTAGAGTGATTTCAAGACAACAAGAACTTAGAGGACCTTTAGACTTTTATCTAATAAGTGACCTTTTTTTTTTTGAGATGGAGTTTCGCTCTTGTTGCTCAGGCTGGAGTGCAATGGTATGATCTCGGCTCACCACAACCTCTGCCTCCTAGGTTCAAGTGATTCTCCTGCCTCAGCCTCTCGAGTAGCTGGGATTACAGGCATGCACCACCACACCTGGCTAATTTTGTATTTTAGTAGAGATGGGTTTTCTCCATGTTGGTCAGGCTGGTCTCAAACTCCCAACCGCAGGTGATCCACCTGCCTTGGCCTCCCAAAGTGCTGGGATTACAGGCATGAGCCACTGCACCTGGCCTATAAGTGACTTTTAAATCAAACAGATTATCTTCTTTGATGACTAGCTTTGTCTAATGTCTCATAAATTTTCCAGGCATAATTGTTAAAAAAGAATGAATTAAATAAGATGTAAGTTAGGTAAAAGTTTATAAAAATACTCTTAAAAAGCTATATTTTATAAGGTGCTTACTTAGTTTCTCAAGTCTCTACCTATACCCTTACAGTTTTGCTAAGTTAAATGACAGATGCTCATTGAAGATCTAGATCAGTTCCAAATAAGATAAAATACTGAAACATTAATTGCTGAACATAAGTTTATTTACTTTTGGTTTCTTAAATTTTACATAAAGACAAATATATCTGAGATGTTAGTAAACATGTCCTGTTCCACATGAAAAAATTGTTCTAAGAGAAAGCTTATGTCTCTAGAAATTATAAAATATGTACTTATAAAATACTGGTAAATAAGACTTCAAAATATCTTACTTCCTGGATTTTTACTGGAAATTAAGTTATAAGGCCTAAAATTCTAATATGTAACTTAAACTACTAGAGATAAGGAAATAATTCTGTACACAAAGTATACAAGAAAATTACAGTGTCATGAGATATTATGATATGCTTTTATTGAGGAAGGAGAGTTTTGCTTAGTTTGGAGGTTATTTAGATGTTTTTGCAGAATGAATGAATAACAAAAGGAGTGATATAGATAAAATGAATGGATTAGAAAGTTGTGAAAGGTTTGTTGAAGATAAATCTTGTGAAAGAAATTTTGTGTATATCAAGCTGGCTAAACTTAGATGATATTTATAAGTTTTTCTAAAAATTAAATCTTCATATCAAAAGTGCACTGATGCAAAAGTAGAACATGACCTTTTAAAAACAAAATTTTCATGTGGAATTGATAAGAGACAGTAAAATATTTTTGTTTCTCTTTTAAGTAAACTAAAAAAAGTGAGAGGAGAGAAAGAAGAGAGAAAAATTCTGTGTTTCATCAAGATAATTTCCTATGCTTCATGCTGTCTTCATTAGGTCTCTGATTACTTAAGAAAAGTGAATATTGAAAGAGTTAAGGTTTTTCTACAAGTCTATAAATTCTTTTATTTGCTTTTGAAATCTGTAAATATCACTCCAGTTAAGTAAATGACTAATATTTCATAGTAACCTGTGATTATATTTTAATCAAGTGTTTTATACCTTTGCTGTAAGATGAATTTCCCAAAGATCAAATTCTAAATTAAGTCTTTTTGACCTTAGTGTAACTTTGAGATGTCCCAAAGGACCCTGGAACTTCCCAAAGGAAATATAAAAGATATACTTATTAGGCTTATTTTTTATATTAAATTACATGGGAGGAATTGTCAAATAAGAAATAATGTTCAACAGTTTTGAGTTATCTTTGTATGAGTATATTAACATGTGTTCCAAAATTCTGTAAGATTTCTTATACATAATATGTATGTATTAAAATGTTATCTGTCATAATTACGATTTTTATGTTAAAATATTGTATGCCACAGAAATAACCACTTTTTTTGGTCAATTGTATCATTATTATAATAAACTCTTAGCAAATTGTGAAAGGAAAGTATCTTGGGCCCCCAAAATCACTAAGGAAAACTCAAACTGGGAACGGCCTAGGGCAAACCCACCTCCCATTCTATTCAAAGTTACCCCTCTGCTTCATGAGATAGATGCATATGTGATTGCCGCCTTTGAAAAGGCTAATCAGAAACTCAAAAGAATGCAACCATTTGTGTGTCACCTATCTGTGACCTGGAAGCTCCTTCCTCACTTTAAGTCTTCCTGCCTTTGCTCCAGACCAAACCAATGTACTTCTTACACATATTGATTGATGTCTCACGTCTCCCTAAAATGTATAAAACCAAGCTGTGCTCCACCACCTTGGGCACATGTTGTCAGGACTTCCTGAGGCTGTGCCACAGGCTCATCCTTAACCCTGGCAAAATAAACTTTCTAAATTAACTAAGACTTGTCTCAGATTTTCTGGGTTCACATTTCGGTAACCATTGCGGGGATTCTGAGTGGAGATGCCCCTGACCTTTGACAAATCTATCGGTGCTTGGGACCAGCATGAGCTAACTTGGTAAAGTCATATTAGAAATGTCTTAAGAATTGCCAGCATAGACCAGGCGTGGTGGCTCACGCCTGTAAGCCCAGCACTTTGGGAGGCTGAGGCAGGTGGATCACGAGGTCAGGAGATCGACACCATCCTGGCTAACACGGTGAAACCCCATCTCTACTAAAAGTACAAAAAAATTAGCCAGGCGTGGTGGCGGGCGCCTGTAGTCCCAGCTACTCAGGAGGCTGAGGCAGGAGAATGGTGTGAACCTGGAAGGCGGAGCTTGTAGTGAGCCGAGATCGTGCCACTGCACTCCAGCCTGGGACACGGAGTGAGACTCCGTCACAAAAAAAAAAAAAAAAAAAAAAGAATTGCCAGCATACATTTTTGTTTGCATTTATTAAACTATTTCATACTTATCCCTGCCAAACACTATAAGGTGTTAAAAATTTGGCATAGGGGTTACAAAACTATAAACCTGGTCCAAAACAGAATGATCTTTGCTTGTGTAATTTTTAATAAATAAGACATCAATATGACTTTAATGAAAATAGTTCCATCTTGAATTTAGTAAGGTTACCATAACTTCTAATCCTGTGGCTTTAGGCAATTTAGTCCACAGACAATAAGGAGGTTTGTTTTGCAAAACGACTGTTATCATCTTTGTTTCAAAGCTAAACTATAAACTAAGTTCCTCCCAAAGGTAGTTCAGCCTGAGCCCAGGAATGAACAAGGACAGCCTGGAGGTTAAGAGCAATATGGAATCAGTTACGTTAAATCTTTTTCCACTGTCTCAGTTATAATTTTGCAATGGTGGTTTCATAACTTTAAATCATGACTATCACAATTTTCATAAAGAATCTATGTAAACAAAATAAAATAATTAGGTAAATATAATGGGATAAATACTTGTAGACAAACTGGCCATAATTTAGATTATAAAGTTACATTAAACCAAATAAGGGATATTTCATTATTTGGGTATTTTCCAATAAATATATATTGTAGGAAAACATTCTTGCTAAACAAACAAAAAACAAGTGTGTCTCTTTTATTTTTTTCTTTAAAGGTGAACAAGTTTTGTCTAACTCAAAGCTTATTTAAAGGTTATGTATAAAACAAGGTAAAAGGAATCAGGAAATAAAAAAGATGTAAAGAAAGTTATCAAAATAAAGAGATTGTTTTTGAGGTTAAAAAAAGCTTAAAGAGAAATAATATTATATATGAAAGAATCTTGTATAGTTTCATTCTAAAATGAAATAACTGGTTGTTTAAAAAGAAGGGATATTCAAAACAAATCAGAAAGTCTGATGAGCAGTCAGTGTGAGTCACAATAAGAGGGTTTATATATTTAAAAAACCCAAAAACTTTTATATAATCAAGCTGTCATATTATTATTAAGTTTTGGTTTGCTTAGGAAAAAAAAATGGAGATAATTTTTTTTAAAAATTGAGGTTATTATATCCACGTATCTTCCTGTATATGCTTTTAAAGTCCTTGTAACATTGAGTTAGAGGGCTTTAATTCCTTGGTCTAAAAAGGACAACAAGTCCTGTTAAATCTTAAACACTGGCAACAATTAAAGCCTCATCTTCAGGCCCCATAGAGGATGCCAATCAAAACAAACTACATTCCTGAGACACAGGGCCAGAAATTAAAGCTATGCAACTCCTCAAGACCCAGGGACAATTGCAAAAGAGGTGGGAGCATAAGATTGTAAGGGTCAATTTTGAAAGATAAAGTAAGTTCAGTTTCTCTACAAATTAATTATTAATGTCAAAGGCACGCTGATGCAAAACCAGTATATGGACCCCTGTGTCAGATTAGCAAGGTTTTCTTGAAGCATGAACCAACCCCTTAATAAAGGTTATAAAGGTTAGAAAAGGCTTATGGAAGTTTTATAATCAAGATTAAATTTTATAGATTGTTTACAAAATTTTGAAAAACAAATGTAATTGGCTTCACTCTGTCTTTATTAGGGCTTCTTGTTTAGAGAATTAAGTCTTCTCTTGCAATGAATGAAGGTTTTTGCTTTTTTTTGAAATCCTTGAATTATCATTTTGGTTAAATAAATGATTTTACAATGACCTGTAATCTTATTTTGTAATATCAAATGTTTTAAACCTTTTATATTTGACAAACTTTCCAAAATCAAGTTATAAATTATGTCTCTTTCTAACCTAATTAATCCTTTAAGATATTAGTTTCCTAAAGTCCAAAAATGACATAATTTGGCTTATTTGGTATAAAAATTATATAGAAAGCATTGTCAAATATGAAATATTTTTGGTTTTCTTTGGGCTGTATTTGTATAAGTTGATTATTGGTATGTGTTCCAAAATTATGGGAAACTCATGTAATTCTGATATAACAGCGTATATTGTGAGTAATAATCATAATTGTTATGTAAAAATTATTGTGTGCCAGAGGTAACAAGTTTCCTTGTCAATTGTGTCTTTTGACTATGACTGCCTTAAAACTTTTTTTCACCTGTGGACAATTGTTGTCTTGTTTTGGTCCCCTTTACAAGGTGCTTTTATAATCAGCTATAAAACTCCAACAGGTGCTCTTAAATGCAGGTTTCTGATAACTTGGGAGATTGTGACATCAGAATAGAGGAAAAAGTTTCAGGACTCATGGAGAGCTAAAATTTTCAAGAGTATCAAGCAGAACAGGATTTCGCTGCATGAACTAAACCAATCTTTTTGACTTTTTGCTTAATATGTTTGCTGATCCTTTGTTTCATTTTCAGAGTCTCAAAACTTTTCTTTTGAGCTATTGGCAGCTTTTAACAATTTGGTATACTCCTATGAACAAAATTTGGAGCACATTTGTTTCTCTTTATGTGATTTCTCCAGAATTTGGAAACTTTGTGAGTATTCTTAAGGTGTGGCAATACAGTTATTTGCATAAGTGCAATAAGAATCTGTTTTCAGGGCAGGCGCAGTGGCTCACGCCTGTAATCCCAGTACTTTGGGAGGCCGAAGTGGGTGGATCACGAGGTCAGGAGATCGAGACCTTCCTGGCCAACATGGAGAAACCCCATCTCTGCTAAAATACAAAAAAATTAGCTGGGTGTGGCGGCGTGTGCCTGTAATTCCAGCTACTTGGGAGGCTGAGGCAGGGGAATTGCTTGAACCCAGGAGGCAGAGGTTGCAGTGAGCTGAGATTGTGCCACTGCACTCCAGCCTGGTGACAGAGCAAGACTCTGTCAAAAAAAAGAAACTGTTTTCATTTGCAGTGGGACACAATTGAAGAAACTGGTTATTTTACCATGGCTTTGACTGGAATGGTGTGCTTTCCTTTAAGGAATCAAACTTGACTTATGAAGCCAATAAAGCCATTGGAAACTAGCCTCATATTTTGTGTACACAGTCTCTGTACAGGGCTTGTGATCTGTGGGAAGTAAAGAATGTCACTTTCTGACAGGTGCAGAAGCCCCAGGTTTATCTTGGAACCTCCAGAGGAGAGGAAATTCACCCAACCCATAGGTATTTGATGGTACAAATCCATGGCTGGGCTTGGCTTTAAAAGTCTTGTCTGAGATTCCTCCTATGGAACAAAGTTCCATCAAAGCCAATGTAAAGGCCTATGTAAAAAAATAATTATTCTTGCTGCACTATATACAAATAATTAGGCCAAGTATAATAAAGGCAACCAGTCCTACCATAATTTTAGTTAAAAATGGGAAACTGGAGAGAAAAAAATATGTTTCAAAACTATAGTACATCTATTATTAGATTCTAGTCTTGCCTAATTTTTTTTTTAATTTTTATTATTTTCTACAGTTTGGACTGAATTATAATTTTTCTTGGCTACAAGTATTCAAAATAACATTTTCAATTTTTTCCGTCTTCTTTTTCATTTTTCCTAATTCAGAGTCACTGAAAACTAAGCTGTGCTTTCTTTAAACCCTCCAAACTGAAGCCACACAACTTAAATTTCAGAAGAAAATAATAGAAACTTATTCACATCCAAAAGCCACTTTCACACCTGCCTACTAATGTATGGACTTCAGCGTAACGTGGCCTATATCGATTTTTCCAGGATTGTTCTTTTGTTTGTTGTTGCTTTTTCTCCCTTCCTTCCCACTATTTTCTCTTCACAGGACATGAGACTTCACAACCTGCTAAAAATGAGCTTTTGGGACCTCCCCATCTAGGAATAAACCGTTCTAGTCATGAGAGATCAGATGAAACCTGAGACCGGAGATTCATCTTCTTGTAAAATGCTTTTTCCAAAAGGTTTTTTAAAAGAAAAGAGGGGGAATGTGAAAGGAAAGTATCTTGGGCCCCCAAAATCAATAAGGAAAACTCAAGCTGGAAATGGCTTAGGGCAAACCCGCCTCCCATTCTATTCAAAGTCACCCCTCTGCTCACTGAGATAGTGGCATAGCTGATTTCCTCCTTTGGAAAGCCTAATCAGAAACTCAAAAGAATGCAACCATTTGTATATCACCTACCTGAAACCGGGAAGCTCCCTCCCTGCTTGGAGTCTTCCTGCCTTTGCTTCAAGTTGTCCCGCCTTTCCAGACCGAACCCATGTACTTCGTCCATATGTTGATTGATGTGTCTCCGAACCAATGTACTTCTTCCGTATATTGATTGCTGTGTCTCCCTAAAATGTATAAACCAAGCTGTGCCCCGACCACCTTGGGCACATGTGGTCAGGATTTCCTGAGGCTGTGTCACAGACGCATCATCAACCTTGGCAAAATAAACCTTCTAAATTAACTGAGACCTGTCTCAGATTTTCTGGGTTCACAAGATTGCTAACAACCTGATGAGAGTTCAGACGTCATTCTAAGTCTTTGTCATCCATAGATAGCAGCTTTGATTTTTTTTTTTTTTTTTTTTTTTTTTTGAGACGGAGTTTCGCTCTGTCGCCCAGGCTGGAGTGCAGTGGCGCTATCTTGGTTCACTGCAAGCTCCGCCTCCCGGGTTCACCCCATTCTCCCGCCCCAGCCTCCCCAGTAGCTGGGACTACAGGCCCCGCCACCCCGCCCAGATAATTTTTTGTATTTTTAGTAGAGACAGGGTTTCACGATGTTAGCCAGGATGGTCTCGATCTGCTGACCTCTTGATCTGCCCACCTTGGCCTCCCAAAGTGCTGGGATTATAGGTGTGAGCCACTGTGCCCGGCTTTTTTTGTATTTTAGTAGAGACAGGGTTTCATCATGTTGCCCAAGCTGGTCTGAAACTCCTGAGCTCAGGCAATCCGCCCGCCACAGCCTCCCAAAGTGCTAGGATTACAGGCCTGAGCCCCCGCACCCAGCCAACAGCTTTGATTCTTATCTAATTTTTTTTTCCAATCAGCTACAGTCCAAAATTACTTCTTTTTCAGAGAAAATTGTGAAGATTCTGATAAGTACTGTTAAAAGCAAGTTTCTGATAACTTTAAGAACACTCCGTTGAGTGGATAAGAATTTTGAAAACTAATGGGAAAAGTGAGTTAATAAAATTGTTAACATCAAGCAAAAGAATTGATTGCACAACACAGAACTGATGAAGGATTATAATTTTTAAATAGATTTTTCTTTGAAACATTGCTGATTCATTTTATATTTTATTTTCCAGACTTAAGGAAAACTTTTCTCTTAAGCTATCTATAGCTTGTGGCATTTGGTAAAGTATATTTTTGTGAGCAGAATTAAAACAATTACCTTTTCTCCCTACCTAAAAATTTGAAAACTATTTAGAAGTATTCTTACTTCTATGACAATATAGTTATTTGTATAAGTTTAATAAAAATATATTCTTCTTGCAGCAGGCAACAATTGGAAACACTGATTACATTACCAAAGCTGCCAGGAATGTCATATTTTCAGACATGACCACAGAGTTTTAAGAAATTAAGGCTGATTTTATGGAGCCAATAAAAGCCCCTTGAAAAAACTGGCCTGGTACCTTGAATACATGGTTTCCTTACAACGTTTCTGTACTTACAGTGAGTAAACAATGTTGGTTCATGATGGGCCCAGGAAACTCATGATACTTTGAGGAACCTCCAGAACACATGTATTCGTGCTCATTGACAGGCATTACTGGCAACGTTTGATCGTGAGTCCTTAGCTTAGCTTCCTAGTTGTAAGAGGTTTTCAAAAGTCTAATGTGAGATTCCTTATAAAAAGATCCAGCAAAGCAAATTTATAAAAAGCCTATATGATCAATCACCATTCTTGCTGTACTATGTAAGTGATCAAGCTAAATTTAATGAGGGACCAAACTTACTTTGCAAATAAATTGGACTTACCATTATTATCTTTGGTAAAAATAGGGGGACTACAGAGAAAAAATTTATATTTCATAAAAAAGAAATAGGAAACTGTTATGCACCTGATAATTAGATTCTAACCATATTCATTGTTTTTGAGATTTTATTATTTACCTGTAAACTGGACTGGATTCTGAATTCTTTTAGTTTTCTCAAATGTCTGGCTGTGACTTTCCAAACTAGTATTTGAAAATTTTCTTCCATTATTTCTGCCTTGAAATTATGAAAACTAACACTGTGCTTTTCCAAGCAGAAGCCAGACAACTTGATACAAACTTCCAAGAAATCACAACAGCTTATTTATAGACAAGCTTTACGACATTTAAATGGCAAACCAGAAATATTTGTCAGCTTGCCACTGCCTGCTCCTGCTTCAACTAAAGATGCTTGAGTCTAGGCCGGGCGTGGTGGCTCATGCCTGTAATCCCAGCACTTTAGGAGGCTGAGGTGGAAGGATCACCTGAAGTCAAGAGTTCCAGACCAGCCTGGCCAACACGGCGAAACTCTGTCTCTACAGAAAATACAAAAATTAGCTGGGCGTGGTGGCAGATGCCCGTGGTCCCAGCTTCTCGGGAGGCTGAGGCAGGAGAATCACTTGAACCCAGTAGGCGGAGGTTGCAGTGAGCCGAGATTGCACCACGGCACTCCAGTGTAGGCAGCAGAGTGAGACTTCGTCTGGAAAAAAAAAAAAAAAAAAAAAAAGATGCTTGAGTTGAACATCTAGAAATCTTCTCAGCTGGCTGCCCTCCAGACTCAGATAGTAGTTTGTAGATGGCTCCAATTATTAATCTTTTGTTTTTCTTTTATTTCCATAGAAATGCTTCTTCATAAATATATTTGCCTGCACCATATGGAGGCCTTTGATGGGAACACATGTGCAAGGCCACATCCTGAAATGAAACACACCTGTTTAAATACCATATGTATTCCCAGGACTCAGAGACTGATTCAATAAGATATGGGATAACTTACTCAAATTTGTTCTTTTCTGTTTGTTTCAATCTATGTTTTTCTCTGCCTTTGCCAATCCCTTATCTCACAACCCCTAGCCAAATTGCTCCAAAGCTACCAACTTGGCTCTTCTATGTAAAACTTTCTGAAAGGAAAGTTTCAAAGGGGAGACTGAAGGAAACCAGAAGGTGTCATCTCAAAATGTGCTTCTTTGACATAAATATTGTTGAGCTGAAGACAATGAAGATTCAGGGGAGTCTCTGCCTTCCCTCTGTTTGCCTAAAAGCAGGATAGAGATTTACAGAAGAAAACACTTTCCTACTCTCTCCTTCTTTTCTCCCCTAAAGACAGTATGTAAATTCTCCATTCCAACTCTTATCAGCCCAGAAATGGCCCAGAGCAATCTCAAGCCGACTTGACTTTATTAGTGTATTTCCATATATTTACCTTCCTACCGTTTCCCACCAATGGAAGCCTGTAACTGCTTTTCTTTGTCTTTTCACTTGTGAAACCTACTGCTCCTTGTTGACATGCTGTATAAGCCAGACTCCTAGACTACTGCTTTGAGTTACTTTTCTTCCATGTGATGCCCTGCATGTGTTAAAGAACTTGCTTGTTTTTCTCGTTACCTTGTCCTTTGTTGTAGGAGTCTGTCACAACTATGAACTTATGAGAGCTGAAGTAAAAATTACATTTTCTTTCCTTCAGAACCATCAGCATAGGTTTTTTACTCTGTTCTTGCCCCTACAAAGCTTTAAATTATCATTTTTAGCTTCTTCTTCATACATTCCTCCCTTTATTCTCACCCTTCACACCTCAAATTCCTCTAATCCTTATTATGTGGAGTAGTTTAGTCCCTGTCCCAGTTTCCACATCTACATTTGCCTCTCCATAGCTACCATTGGTGCCAATCCAACAATGGGCCTCTTGGGCAGCAGTAAGATATTATAGAAAGCAATGCTTATTTTTTTCCTATTATACATGTGTCATTATCTTTACAATCTCATCACAAAAGGTAATCATTGTTGCTCCACAAGGTGTCCCTTATTGAATTTCTCAGAATTCTCACTTGGTTTTGAGAAGTGAGAGAAAGTTAGCACAATCCCATCTGAAGTCAATAATTCTTGCTTTGATGATTCTTTTCTCCATTATGCTCACTAATATCTATGTATAGATTGGGAAATATGCATATGTATTGTGTGCATGGATGCCAGTGCATACGGAAGTTATGTTTTCACTATACTATCATCTATTCAGTGTGCAAAGCATTATGTCTAAAAAACAACATATATGCCTTAATTAAAAATATTTATGGCTAAAATATGCTGACATGCGGACATGAAGTGAACACATAATGTTTGAAAAATGGCACCAATGAACTTGCTCAATGTATCTATCTATGTAATCTGTATCTATCTATGTAATCTATATCTATCTATCTATCTATCTATCTATCTATCTATCTATCTATCTCCCTGTCTGTCATCTATTCTGTTTCTCTGGAGAACCCTAACTCATATAGCTTTTGATACCAAAAGTTGCCCTGGAGAAAGAATTTTGAGAATGAGTTGTCTGGGTTGATTTCAGGCTTTCTAAAATCTGCTCTCTGATACGCTTATGTTACTGGCGGAGGGTGTCCAGGTTCTTGGCGTCTTGAACAAAGTACTGGACAAAACACACAAGCAAAGCGAGGGAGGAATTAAGAGATTTATTGAAAATAAAAGTAGACACCACAGTGTGGGAATGGACCCGAGCATAGGAGCTCAAGGGCCCTGTTACAGAATGTTGGGGAGTTTAAATACCCTTGAGAGATTTCCATTGGTTACTTGGTGTACACTCTACATAAATGTAGAGGATGAAGTAAAGTTACAAAGTCATTTACTGAGCATATGCCCTATGTAAATGGAGAGGATATTTTCTCTCATAGCTGAAGTGTGAATCGATCTCATGTTCCCTGCCTCAGTTACCCGGGTGGGGGGTCCTTGCTCACAAAGCTCCCAAGATGGTAACTGGCCGCTTCCAAGATGGTGGCAAGCCTTGTGTTCTCTGACCTGGGGTTCTTGGCCTCACGGATTCCAAGGAATGGAATCTTGGGCCATGCAGTGAGTGTTATAGCTCTATTAGAAGCCGTGGGTCACGGAAGAGAACCGTGGAACCTAGTGACTAGTGTTCAGCTCAATTAGGACGAACCCGGGCACTTAGCCGTGCAGGAACAATGGCAAGCCTTTACCCTGATCAGGAGCTGCAATGGGTGCCTCGCCAGATCAGGAGCACAGCTGACTCCCTGCTGGATCCGGAGGGATGGGAGTCAGCAGCGGGTCTGCGACGGCAGCTAACAGTAGTGGTGGATGGCGAGCGAAAGCTCAGCTTGAGCGATAGCAAACACGGACCAGAAGAGAGTGCAGTTGCAAGATTTAATAGAGTGAAAACAGAGCTCCCATACAAAGGGAGGGGACCCAAAGGGGGTTGCGGTTGCCAGCTCGAATGCCTGGCTTTATATCCCAATCCTTGTCCCTCCCGCTGCGCTCTCAGGCAATAGATGATTGGCTATTTCTTTACCTCCTGTTTTTGCCTAATTCGCATTTTAGTGAGCTCTCTGATTGGTCAGGTGTGAGCTAAGTTGCAAGCCCCGTGTTTAAAGGTGGATGTGGTCACCTTCCCAGCTAGGCTTAGGGATTCCTAGTTGGCCTAGGAAATCCAGCTAGTCCTGTCTCTCACCTCCAGATCCTATTTTCCCCTCACTTACATTTAGAGGTACCAATGACTATTTCCAGTAGTATGGAGAGCATTGACAGTTCATAGCATGATCTGGCAGTAGAAATTTGCAAAATATTACCATTAGATTCCCCTAATCAACCGCTTATAAGAAGCAGGGTGAGTGTGTATACAATATTCTTCAATATTTTTGTCAAAATAATGAGTATAATGATATTGGCTGTTTGCTCCTAATGTCACTGGACAATGTGGGAAAAGAAAGAAATAAGCTCCCAGCTCAAGGGTTCAATAGATGACCTGAAAACTTCAATGTGTGCCCTCTAGGAGGCCTCATCTCTAGCCATAGGGCTGAGATTGCTGAAAATCAAGCCTGAATCTTGTCCTGTGACCAGCTCAGGAGGCCTCATCTCTCTAGCCACAGGGCTGAGACTGCTGAAAATCAAGCCTGAATCTTGCCTCATCTCTCTAGCCACAGGGCTGAGATTGCTGAAAATCAAGCCTGAATCTTGTCCTGTGACCAGCTCAGGAGGACTCATCCCTCTAGCCACAGGGCTGAGATTGCTGAAAATCAAGCCTGAATCTTGTCCTGTGACCAGCTCAGGAGGCCTCATCTCTCTAGCCACAGGGCTGAGACTGCTGAAAATCAAGCCTGAATCTTGCCTCATCTCTCTAGCCACAGGGCTGAGATTGCTGAAAATCAAGCCTGAATCTTGTCCTGTGACCAGCTCAGGAGGCCTCATCCCTCTAGCCACAGGGCTGAGATTGCTGAAAATGAAGCCTGAATCTTGTCCTGTGACCAGCTCAGGAGGCCTCATCCCTCTAGCCACAGGGCTGAGACTGCTGAAAATCAAGCCTGAATCTTGTCCTGTGACCAGCTGAGTTACAACGTGAGGTAAACTGCCAGACTTGCAGGGCGTCTACTGTTAAAGTGAGGAAGCGATTGGGAAGAAATAGAATTCTGAAGTATGAAACAGGGACATGTGGGAGAAACTGATGAAACTGGAGCTATTGAGCCCCTAAATTCTGGTAGCTCTTTTTGGCCAGTGGAAGAGGCCTAGCTCCAGTGCAAGCAGCCTTCCCACTGCCAGGGAAAGTTGCCTTTTCACCTGTGTCTGAGGAGATTAACCCTGTATTGCTCAAGGAAACTGTCATGGCCTCCCCCGAGGCGTGCAACACAATGCTGTTCTTATCAGGACCCCACCCTACCACCCCTCTTTGCTTCTAGACCTGCCACTTCACTCCGGTCCCAGCAGGCTTCTCAAGGTGAGGTGCAAAGTGTGACTTATAAGAGTTTACTACACTTCAGAAGACCTACTTGAGGTTTTTTAACTTGCACAGAAAGAAATCTGGGGAACGTGTGGGAAAATGGATATTAAGGGTGTGGAATAATGGTAGAAGGAACATAAAATTGGATCAGGTCAAATTCATTGACCTTGGTTGACTAAGCAGAGATCCTGCAGTTAATGCTGTAGCTCTGGGAGATAAAAAGGGCTCTACCAGTTTGTTGACTTAAATATGGACCAAAAGATGGCCCACAATAAGCAAGTTGGAAATTCTGGACCTGTCTTGGTTGTATGTAGGAGAAGGGATTCAAAGGAAAGATTGAAATGTTAGGGAGATTGGAAGGTTAGAGACCATTTGTTGGTTAAAACCTACTCACCTATCCTCAGAGGGTTCAGAAGACAGACCTTTCACTAATCCTCTGAGAAATAAACTTGTGAGGAGAGCCCCAGCATCCTTGCAGAGCCTGTGATAACTTTTCTCTGTAGGCCAGACCTTACGGTGGGAACTGCAGTCACTGACCTGGATAACAGAATGCAGTGGAGTAATTGAATCCCAGGGTGTCAGGGCCAAGTGGCAGCACTAACCTGCCCAAAGCGAGGTGGGAGTGGTTACCATAATAAACAGCAGAGGCACAGCAGCACTCAGAATAGTCTGACACACACGCCTGGTGACATTGGCTATTTGATGATAATGTTCCCAGAGTGAAATAGATAGGAAGCCCTACTAAGTTCATACTCGATCTACATAAGCAGAGACCTTCTAGGTCAAGTGAATTAAAGTCTAACTTGAATCATAAAAACAGAGAGTCACAGCCCCTCAATCAGTTCTTAGATTTGAGCTGGCTTATAGACCCAGAACCCCTTGAATAAGGGACTGGCCCCTTAAAGAAGACCCCTGGTACATTGCCAACATTTATGCTGTTAATCTGTCTCCTAACCTTCCCCCAAAGGACTTATGGCTGTTACCAGGGTAGCTGCACACTAAGAGAAACAGAAGTAATCAAACCTTTGGAGGCTACTGGACAATGGCTCTGAAGTGACGCTAATTCCAGGAAACCCCAAGTGACTGTGATCCACCAGTCAGAGTAGGGGCTTATCGAGCTCAGGTGGTCAATGGAGTTTTAGTTCAGGTCTTTTTTACAGTTGGCCCACTGGGTCCATGAACTTGGATATTTCCCCAGTTCTAGAGTGCATCATTAGAATAAACATATTCAGCATCTAGGAGAATCCTCATATTGGTTCCCTGACCTGTGAAGTGAGGGATGTTATAGTGAGAATGGCCAAGTGAAAGCCACTCGAATTGCCTCTACCTAGTAAATCAAAAGCAATACCACATTCCCGGAGGGACTGCAGAGAATTAGGGGCACTATCAAGGACGTGAAAGATGCAGAGGTGGTGATTCCCAACACATCCCCATTCAATGAGTTTATGTGGCCTGTGCAGAAGACTGATGGATCTTGGAGAATTAAAGTGGATTATCCTATGTTTATCCAGATGATGAATCCAACTGCAGCTTTTGTACCAGATGTGGCTTCATTGCTTGAGAAAGTTAATATATCCCCTGGTACATAGGATGCAGATATTAACCTGTCATATGCTTGCTCCCATACCTGTTAATAAAGAATCACAACCAGAGCTGAGGTACCTGCTAAAGGCAAAGTGCAAGAACTTAGTTATAAATACCAGCTATGACCATGCGACCCATTACAGAAATGAGAACTGTAATTATCTGAGTATTTCCCCTTTATTTTTAATCAATATATTTGTTTATGTGCATATAATAATATCTTATTTTTCCTCTATTATATCCTTATTGTGTAACATAAGATATGTTGACTTTATATCGTAGTACTTAAGTATTGTTAACTTTACATTATAGTAATTAAGCTATGGGAGTTCAAAAAGAAAAGTAAATATCATGCAAGGACTTTACCTCCTTTTCTGGGGAAGGAATTAGTGCATTTTTGGTTTCACACAGGGTAGTTATATCAGACTAGGTGAAATTATGGCCTTGTTATTGTCTTTACTTGGAGTTTAAGTACAATTTAAGGAGATGTTATAGATGCCAAGTTGACAAGGGGTAAACTTGTGATGTCTAGTTTTATGTGTCAACTTGACTAGGGCAGGTGGTGCCCAGATATTTTGTCAAACATTCTTTTGGGTGTATCTGCAAGGGTGTTTCTGGATGAGATTAACATTTACATTGGTAGACTAGGTAAAGCACACTGCCCTTACCAATACTGGGTGAGCCTCATCCAATCAGTTGAAGGTGTGACTAGAACGAAAGGCTGACCTCTCCCCAGATGAAAAAAAAATTCTTCTGCCTGACTGCCTTTGAACGGGAACATCTGCTCTTCCTGGTTATGAAGACTGCTAGCAATTGCATAAGCCAATTTCTTACAATCAATTTATTATTTTTTTTTATTATTTTTTTTTTGAGACAGAGTCTCCCTCTGTCGCTCAGACTGGAGTGCAGCAGTGCAATCTCGGCTCACTGCAATCTCCGCCTCCCAGGTTCAAGCGATTCTCCTGCCTCAGCCTCCTGAGTAGCTGGGATTACAGGCACGCACCACCACACCCAGCTAATTTTGGTAGTTTTCACCTGTTGGTCAGGCTGGTCTCGAACTCCTGACCTCGTGATCCACCCACCTCAGCCTCCCAAAGTGCTGGGATTACAAGCATGAGCCACCACGCCCAGCCTTCTTACAGTCAGTCTTTCTCTCTCTCTTTCTATGTTTCTTTCTCTATTAGTTCTGTTTCTCTGGAGGACCCTAATACAACTATTTTACTTTCATATATGTTACTAATCCCTCAGTTCATTATTATTTTTGCTTTAAGCGACCATTTATCTTGTAACAAAATTAATCGAAATATACACTTGGTATTTACCTACACATTCTCTATTTCTGAAATCCTTCATTTTACAGATATAAGTTTCATCTGACATTATTTCCCTTCCCTCTGAAGAATTTTCTTTAACATTTCTCATAGTGCATATTTGCTGACAATAAATTCTCTCTGCTTTTGTTTGCCTGGAAGATATTTTATTTGAATTCATTTCTTAAAAACTGTCTAGTTATATAATTCTAGCTTCACAGTATTTCTTTCTGTCAAGACTTCTAAGCTATCTTTCCATTGTCTTTTGTCTCATTACTTTTGATGTGAAGTCGGAGATGATTGCTATTGTTGTTCCCTGAAATATAAATGTACTTATTATTCTCTGGATGTTTATAAAGATCCAGCGAATACAAATTTTTACCAATGATTTATATTATGATATGCCTTGCTGTGGTTTTTATTTGGTTAAAGCAAAATAAAACTCACCAGGGAGTTGTTAAATTTCCTGAAATAGTGGATTTATAATTTTCACCAAATGTAAACATTTTAAGCCATTATTTTAAGCCGTCTGTCTTCAATTATTCTAGTTTTAGATATGTTAATCCACTAGATGTTGTACTCACTGCCCAAGGCTCTGTTATGGATGTATTTATTTAGTCTTTTCTTCCTCTGTGCTTTAGCTTGGGTAATTTACACTGCAATAATTTCAAGTTTCCCTATCTTTACCTTTTTTTTTTCTTTTTTGAGATGGGGTCTCACCCTGTCGCCTAGGCTGGGTGTCACCCAGTCTTGGCTCACTGCATCCTCCACCTCCTGGGCTCTAGTGATCCTCCCACATCAGCCTCCTCAGTAGCTGGGACTACAGGCACACACCACCATGTCTGGCTAGTTTTTTTGTATTTTTGGTAGAGACGGGGTTTTACCATGTTGCTCAGGCTGGTCTCAAACTCCTGAGCTCAAGCAATCCACCTGCCTTGGCCTCTCAAGGTTCTGGGATTATAGGCATGAGCCACCACACCCTGCCGTGTTTACTTTTGAAGTGCATGGCATCTCTTTGTATGCATGCTTAGGAGACAGGGATTTGGTACCCTGAGTACCGGAGATAAAATCATGAATAATAAAAGAGGGGTCTCTAACCTCGCAGACTTCTAGTCTTAGAGATAACTGAACAAATAACCGGTAATTATCTTAAAGTATGCTGAGGACTGCCCATAAAAATAAGAATATAAGAATAGGGATCACATTCAAACAATTAGCATCATTTTGGGGGTTATGGATGACTTTCCAAATGAAGAAATGTTGATGCCAGGACTTGAATGGTAAATAATATGTAATAGGGAAGAAGGAGATACTCAGGAAAGATATTATTTGAAAAACTCAAGGAAACAAGAAAGATATTTGACGAATTCAAAGAAATTCATTAGTGGAAAAAGGTATGCTGCCACGAGCTGTGGTGGTGGTAGTGGTGATGGTGAGAGGGTTTGCTCTGAGGCTGAGATTACAGAATTATGCAATGGTTAGTCCATGAAGGGCATTCTAAGCCATGCTAAGGAACTCATATTTTTTCCTAAGGAAAATTGGGAGCTAATGAATAATTTTGAGCAAGAGAATAATACAATCAGATTTGTTTTGTAGAAACATTACTCTAACTACAATGTGGAGAATGAATTGAAAAAATATCAAGGGCAGGGGGGTGAGTCAGGAGACTATAGCATTAGTTCAAGCAAAATCCATGACAGAAAGCTATAATGACAGTAGCAATGAAGAGAAGTAGAATAATGAGAAAGCCAGTTAGAAGAAAGAAGGAGATAATTGTGTGATGGAATGTGTGGGAAGTGGTAATGAAAGGGAAGGACAAAGATGATCTCTAGGTTTTTTGCCTGCACTTATGAGCTTAAAGTAGCTTTTTCCTGTTCACATAAGACCTAGCCCCATGCCTCTTTTATTCTTCAAATTCTTCAAGCCACAATGACTTCCTTCCATTCTCTGCAGTTCTGTTGCACCCATTTGGTGCCTCTGCCCTTGTAAGACATGATATAATAAGAGAAGCAGCAGCATCTAGCAAATAAGAAAACGGACATGGGAGATACATGGGCTGGGTTAATGATCTAACTCTAAAATTGCTTTGCTCTTTGTCTTTTTTCTTATCTGTAAAATGTGAATAATCATAGTAATTATAAGCATCCTGTAAGGCCACTGTAAGTATTAAATGAGTTAATATAGGTAAAGTGCTTAGGCAGGTGCCTGACACATGGTTGTCATCATATAATTCATTTATATACTATATTATGTTATATTATATTGAAGCGTGATATTATATAAAAGTTGTTTTGTTGTTATTGTTACATAACTTCTCATCTTAACTACATGATAAGCTTCCAGGAACCTGCTCCCAGGTTTGGTATGTCTCTTCTCTACTGTTTCTAACACTCAATGGATCCCTGACAAACATTTTGGTTTGTGATGTTTTCATTCGAGTGGCTTCAGTGAAAAACAACTTGTTCCTAGGATGTTTTCAGTGGGCATATACTTTTGCCTTGAAGCAAAAATGAGTTTCTAAATTTTATGTTTCTAACCAAAAAAATCATAAAAGACATGCATCAAATGGAAAAAGAATTACTTTTTCAGATATGTTTTATAAGTTAAATGGGAGTTGAGTTAAAGCTGAGAGTTTTCTGATGCTTCTGTAGCAATACAGTTTTGGAACCTGAAGACTTGGAAGATATATAGCAAATTGAAATAATCTCAATTATTACAAATAATCTCAACTTATTATAGCAAATTGAAATAATCTCAATTACTGCTCTGCCTTTTTCCTTCTAACTCTAAATGGGGCTAGTTATATTTTATAAAATAAAAGGATGTGCATTAGGGCCAAGGTTTGAAGAGCATTATTTAAGCTTATGTTTAACTTATAAAGAATCTGTGAAAAATTATTTTTGCCAGTAATGATGAACCCACAATGCAAATTTGAAGAAAAAGTTCTCGTAGCCTGTCTCTGCCAATGTGTAGACACAGCTTGGAAAATAAGAGGTGGTTGTATTTTCTGCAAAATTGATGACTATCTTAGTAGTTTTTTCTCCATGTGGCTTTTAAAAAGCCAATTATAGTTCAATCAGTAGTATTTGAGACAGTTTTCCCAGTAGTCGGAAGTACATTATACACTCAAGAAAGAAGAAAATGGGGAAGAATAGAAGACTATGGAAAATGTACAGGAGTAAATAAATGGCCTCTTTTAGCACAAGATTTTGAAAAATGAGTCTTAAAGCAGAAACTCTCCGCCTATTGAGGTAGATAGAGCTTTCAAGTTCATTTTTGGTAATTGAGAGATTTATGGCTACATTTAGAATATTATACTTTTACTTTTATTTTCCCAGTCTTATTGAGATATAATTGACATGTAGAAATTGTATATATTTAAGAAGTATAACATGGTATTTTGATATAAATATACTTTATGTAATGATTCTTACAATTAAGCAAATTAATATATTCATCACCTGACATACTCCTTTTTCTGATGTAGTGAGAACATAACTTCTATTCCCATAGCAAATTCCTAGTATGCAATACATTATTATTAACGATATTACCTATGCTATATATTATAGCTCTACGAATAATTCATCTTGGGAACATACTCCAAGATTGAACAGATGCTCAACCCTAAAGCAAGTCTCAATGGATTCAAGGATGTTAAAATTATACCAACCATACTCACAGACTGCAGTGGAATAAAAAAAGAAATCAATATGAGCAAGATCTCTCAAAACCACACAATTACACGGAAATTAAACAATTTGCTTCAGAATGACTTTTGGGGAAACAACAAAATTAAAGCAGAAATTAAAAATATTATTTGAAATAAATGAAAATAGAGACACACTGTGCTAAAATATCTGGGATGCAGCAAAAGCAGTGTTAGGAGGAAAATTTATAGCACTACTCACCTACCTCAAAAACACAGAAAGGTCTAAAATTCATGATCGAACATAACACTTAGAGGAACTAGAAAAACAAAAACAAACTAACCTCAAAGCTAGCAGAAGAAAAGAAGTAAATCAGAGCAGAACTGAACAAAATTGAGGTACAAAAAACCCATACAAAGTATCAACAAAACCAAAAGTTGGTTATTTGAAAGGATAAACAAGATCAATAGACTACTAGCTAGATTAACAAAGAAAGAAAGAAAGAAAGAAAGAATGAAAGAAAGGAAGATTCACATAAGCAGAAGCAGAAACAACAAAGATGACTTTCCCACCGTTTTCACAGAAATACAAAAGATACTCAGGCAGTATTGTGAACAGCTCTATGCACATAAACTAGACAATCTAGACAAAATTGTTAAATTCCTAGAAATACTCAATTTCCCAAGATTGAATCAGGAAGAAATTGAACACTGAACAGACCAATATTGAGTTATAATATTGAACCAATAATAAAAAACCTACCAACCAAAAAAAAAAATCCATGGACTAGAAGGATTAACATTTGAAGTCTACCAGATATACAAAAAAAAAAAAGCTATTTATTTGAAACTATTCAAATAAATTGAGAAGAGACTCCTCCCTGATTCATTTTACAAAGCCAGCATCACCCTGATACAAATTCCTGGCAAAGATACAATGAAAAAAGAAAACTACAGGCCAAAATTCCTGATGAACATAGATATGCAAAAATCCTCAACAAAATACTTGCAAACTAAATCCAATAGCACACCAAAAAGTTAATTCACTGCAATACAGATAGTTTCATTCCTGAAATGCAAGGTTGGTTCAACATACATAAATGAATAAATGTGATTCACCACATAAGCAAAATTAAAAACAAAAACCATATGATATTTCAATAGATGCAGAAAAATCTTTCCATAAAATCCAACATCCCTTTATAAAAAAATGCTCAAGAAACTAGGCAGTGAAGAAACATATCTCAAAATAATAAGAACCATCAATGGCAAAACCACAGCCCACATTATACTGAATGGACAAAACTGGAACCATCCCCACCTTTGAGAGCTGTAACAAGACAAGGATGCTCATGCTAACCACTCCTACTCAACATAGTATTGGAAGTGCTAGCCAGAGCAATTATAAAAGAAAAATAAATAAAAGGAATCCAAATAGAAAAAAGAGTCAAATGATCTCTCTTTGCTGATTATATACTTCTATATCTAGAAAATCCTAGACTCTGCCAAAAGGCTCCTGGAACTGATAAATGACTTCAGTAAAGTTTTAGGATACAAATTAATGTACAAAAATCAGTAGCATTTCTATAAACCAATAACATTTCCATTTACAATACAAGAAAACAATCCCATTTACAATAGCCACACAAAAATAAAATACCTAAGAACACACCAAACCAAGAAGGTGAAAGATCTCTATAAGGAGAACTACCAAACATTGTTGAAAAATATCATAGATGACACAAACAAATAAAAAAACTTTCCATGCTCATATATAGGAAGAATCAACATTGTTAAAATGGCCATACTGCCCAAAGCAATCTACAGATTCAACACTATTCCTATAAAATCACCAATGCCATTTTTCACAGAAGTAGGAAAAACCATTCTAAAATTTATGTATAACCAAAAAAGCAGCAGCCTGAATAGACACTGCAATCCTAAGCAAAAAGAACAAAGCCAGAAGCATCACATTAACTGACCTCAAACTGTACTATAAGGCTGTAGTAGCCAAAACAGCATGGTACTGGTACATAAATAGATGCATAGACCAATGGACCAGAATAGAGAACTCAGAAATAAAGCTGCACACCTACAGCCATCTGGTCTTCAACAAAAGTCAACAAAAATAAGCAATGGGGAAAGGACTCCCTATTCAATAAATAACACTGAGATAGGTGACTAGCCATATGCAGAAGATTAAAACTGGATCACTCCATTTTACCATATAGAAAAATTAACCCAAGATGAATTAAAGATTTAAATGCAAAACTCAAAACTATAAGAATCCTAGAAGGAAACCTAGGAATTACCACTCTAGACACCGGCCTTGGCAAATAATTTATGGCTAAGACTCCAAAAGCAATCACAATAAAAACAAAAATTGACAGGTGGGACCTAATTAAACTAAAGAGCTTCTGTGCAGCAAAATAAATCATCAGAGTAAACAGACACCCTACAAAATGGGAGAAAATGTTCACAAACTATGTATCCAACAAAGGTCTAATATCCAGAATCTATAGGAAACTTACATCAACAAGCAAAAAACAACCCCATTAAAAAGTGGGCAAAGGACATAAACAGACACTTCTAAAGACACACGGTAAGGCAACAAACATATGAAAAAATGCTGAACATTACTAATTGTCAGAAATATGCAAATCCAAACCACAATGAGATACCATTTCACACCAGTCAGAATGGCTATTATTAAAAAGTCAAAGAAAACAACAGATGCTGGTGAGGCTGCAGAGAAAAGGGAACACTTATACGCTGTTGGTGGGAATGCAAATGAGTTCAGCCACTGTGGAAAGCAGTTTGAAGATTTTTCAAAGAACTTAAAACAGAACTACCATTTGACTCAGTAGTCCCATTACTAGATATACATCCAAAAGAAAACAAATCATTTCACCAAAAAGACACATGCACTTGCCTGTTCATCACAGCACGATTCACAATAGCAAAGACATGGAATCAACCTAGGAGCCCATCGGTGACAGATGGGATAAAGCAAATGTGGTACATATACACCATGGAATACTACACAGCCATAAGAAAGAATAGAAACATGTCTACGTGCAGCAACATGGATGCAGCTGTAGGCCATTACCCTAAGTGAATTAGCACAGAAACAGAACACCAATACCATATGTTCATACTCATAAGTGAGAGCTAAACATTAGGTACTCATGGACATAAAGATGGCAACAGCAGAAACTGAGGACTATTGGAGAGGGAAGGGAGAAAAGGGCATGGGTTAAAAATCTATTTGGTACTGTGCTCACTACCTGGGTGATGGGATCATTTATACTCCAAACCTCAGCATCATGCAATATACCCATATAACAAACCTACACATGTATCCCCTGAATCTAAAATAAAAGTTGAAAAATAAAAGAAAGAAAGAAAGAAAAAAGACACTGTCAAGGGAATGAAAAGTAAAGATACAGACTGGGAGAAAAACATTTTTAAAATACTTTTCTGATAAATAATTATTCAAAATAGAGAAAGAGCTCTTAAAAATGAGCAGTAAGGAAACAACTGATTTAAAAAATTGGATCAAAGACTAACAGACATCTGAAGAAGTTATGCAGATGGCAAATAAGCATATGAAAAGATGCTCCACATAATCCATCATCAGGACCGTACAAATTAAAACAACAAAATACCACTATACACACATTGGAAGAGCCAAAATCCAAAATACTAATGACATCAAATGCTGGCGAGGATGATGAGCCACAAGAACTCTCATTCATTGCTTGTGGGAATTCATAATAGTTCAGCTACTTTGTAATATACCTTGTATTCTTAAAAATAAACACACCCCGGCCAGGCGCAGTGGCTCACGCCTGTAATCCCAGCACTTTGGGAGGACGAGGCGGGTGGATCATGAGGTCAGGAGATTGAGACCATCCTGGCTAACACACTGAAACCCCGTCTCTACTAAAAACAAAAAAATTAGCCGCGAGTGGTGGCAGGTGCCTGTGGTCCCAGCTACTGAGGAGGCTGAGGCAGGAAAATGGCGTGAACCCGGGAGGCAGAGCTTGCAGTGAGCTGAGATCGCACCACTGCACTCCAGTCTGGGTGACAGCAAGACGCCATCTCAAATAAATAAATAAATAAATAAAATAAACACACCCCTCCATATGGTCAACAATTGCAGTCCTTAGGAATTTACACAAAAGAATTTAAAACTTATGTTCAAACAAAACCTGCATGTGGATGTTTATATCATTTTCTTCATAATTGTCAAAACTTGGAAGCAACCAAAATGCCCTTAAGTACATGAATGGATAAATAAGTTGGGATATAGCCAGGCAATAAAATATTATTCAGCACTTAAAGAAATGCACTAGCGAGCCATGAAAAGACATGGAGGAAACTTAAACGCCTATTGCTAAGTGAAGAAACCCAATTTGAAAAGACTACATACCATGTTATTGCAACAATATGACATCTGAAAATGGCAAAACTATGAAGAGTGTTAAAAGATATGGTTTTTCTTAGGGCTTAGGGGAAAGGAGGGATGAAAAGTCTAAGTGCCAAGATTATGAGGGCAGTGAAAGTGCTCTGTATGATACTATGTGGAATACATGTCATTATCCATTTGTCAAACCCATAGAGAGTATAACACTAAAAGTAAAACCTAATGTTAACTATGGATTTCAGGTGACAATGATGTGTCAATATAAGTTCATCAGTTGTAACAAATGTACCACTTTGGAGAGGGTTGATAATAATGAGGGAAGCCATGCTTACATAGGGGTAGGAGCCATTTGAGATATCTCTGTACCTTCCACTCAGTTTTGCTTGGAACCTAAAATTGCTCTAAAAAATAGTCTATTAAAAATAATCACCCAAATTAAATTGTGGAGCTAGAGTATAAACTGAAGTACCTTGTGCCTGTGATGTGTTTCAGCTATATATTCCTTTGCTGAAGACACATGCCATTTTTTTAAATGTGAAATGGAATCTCTTCCTCCTTTTAAAACCTTCCAAATTCACTTGAATCTCACCTAGCCTTACTTTTTGCTTGACTAATGTAATGTGGCAAGTTATGTACTGAGACTTCTGAAGCTAAATCCTAAGAAGCCTTGTTAGTTTCTGCCTGTACCTCCTGGAATGATTGTTCTTGGAGCACTGTAGTGTAAGAAGAAATTCATGCAGCAGAGGTATTATGTAGGCTCTCTAAGGAACAGACTGTACCAAGCTCAGCCTTCTGGGCCATCTCTGTCAAGGAATAGACAATGAGTAAATGTACCTCAGACCCTCAAGACCAGTCAAACCACCAGCTGTCTGCCACCAGATGAACACTGATTGACATCACGTGGAGCGAAAATTGTCCAGCCATACCCTGCCTGAATTCCTGCCCTACACATAAATAATATAATAAATAATAATAAATTATAAAATGAATTTTTAAGCCACTAGATTAATTTGTTACATAACAGTAAGTAACCTGTGCTCAGTAACTTTGCCCGTGGTCATCTTCTTTTTGTTTACCCATCCAGAGACAAGGGAGTCT
The DNA here is from genome assembly GCF_000001405.40 of Homo sapiens. NCBI lineage: Eukaryota > Metazoa > Chordata > Mammalia > Primates > Hominidae > Homo > Homo sapiens. The sequence goes on along the minus strand of NC_000004.12, from coordinate 187,751,816 downwards.
CCAGTTCTACTTTAACATATAAACATTTCAAGAAAGAGAACCTCTGTAGTATATCTCTGAGGGAATCAATGTGGATTGTATCTGATTATGAAAAGCGTTTTGTTGAAAAAATGCTTCTGCTTGATACTGATTTGGGGGGGCCTTGAACCTTCCCTTTGCTAAAGAAAAAAATCAAAATGAAATTAAAACTGTCTCAGTTAATTTTATGTCTAGTAAGAAAGAGCTAGTTACTTCCTAGATACAATGGGGGTACAGGCACAGGGTAAATACACTCATTCCAAATGGGAGAAACTGGCCAAAATGAAGGGGGCTGTAGGCCCCATGCAAGTCCGAAATCTGTCAGGACAGTCAAGACATAAAATGATCTCCTTTTACTTTATGTCTCACATCCAGGTCACATTGATGCTAGAGGTCAGTTCCTATGGTCTTGGGCAGCTCTGCCCCTGTGGGTTTGTAGGGTACAGCACCCCCATCCCCACCCCCACCCAGCTGCTTTCACAGGCTGGTATTGAGTGTCTGCAGCTTTTCCAGGCACATGGTGCAAGCTGTCAGTGGATCTATCATTCTGTGGTCTGGAGGATGGTGGCCCTCTTTTCACAGCTCTACTAGGCAGTGCCCTCCTGGGGACTCTGTGTGGGGGCTCTGACCCCACATTTCCCTTCTGCATTTCCCTATCAGAGGTTCTTCATGAGGGCTCCTCCCCTGAAGCACAACTCTGCTTGGACATCCAGGCATTTCCATGCATCCTCTGAAATCTAGGCAGAGGTTTCCAAATCTTAATTCTTGACTTCTGTACACCTGCATGCCCAACACACATATAAGCTGCCAAGGCTTGGAGCTTGAACCCTCTGAAGCAATGGCTTGAGCTGTACATTGGGCCCTTTTAGCCATGGCTGGGATACAGGGTGCCATGTCCCGAGACTGCACAAAGCAGCAAGGCCCTGGGCTTGGCCCATGAAACCATTTTTCCCTCCTAGGCCTCTAGGCCTGTGATGGGAGGGGCTGCCATGAAGACCTCTGACATGTCCTGGAGACATTTTCCCCATTGTCTTGGCAATTAACATTTGGGTCCTCATTACTTATGCAAATTTCTACAGCCAGCTTGAATTTCTCCTCAGAAAATGAGTTTTTCTTTTCTATTGCATTGTCAGACTGCAAATTTTTCAAACTTTCATGCTCTGCTTCTCTTTTAAACATAAGTTCCAATTCCAAACCATATCTTTGTGAATACATAAAACCGAATGTCTTTAACAGCACCCACATCATATCTTGAATGCTTTGCTGCTTAGAAATTTCTTCCACCAGATACTCTAAATCATTTCTCTCAAGTTCAATGTTCCATAGATCTGAAGAGAAAAGGCAAAATGCTGCCAGTCTCTTTGCTAAAGCATAATGAAAGTCACCTTTTCTCCAATTCCCAACAAGTTCCTCATAGTATTAGTAGCCTTGGTTTCTAGATGGTAAAGTAAGAAGCAAAAGGATTAATGGGAAACTTACTAATTATAAGCAATATAAAACTTAATATTTTCTAGATAACTATAGCTTAAACATTAATGCAATATTTTTACTCAAAACTATTATTGGGCCAGGCTCAGTGGCTCATTCCTGTAATCCCAGTACTCTGGGAGGCTGGGGTGGGCAGAACACTTCAGCTCAGGAGTTTGAGACCAGCCTGGCCAACATGGCAAAACCATATCTCTACATATGTTCTGCAGGGCATATGACAAAGCCTCCTTTCTGCTGGGATTCACATTGTTGAGATATACATTTTTGTAAAACCTAGTATGAATAAGAAGCTCACCATAAAACCTTGTGAATAGAGAAAAGATTCTTGTTGCTTTTCATGAAAGGAAGATTCCATGAGTGACAAGAAAATGATTGCAGAGAGATCAAACACTTAGAATCAAGATAAAAGAAAAATTAAGGAAATTTTAAAGAAAAATGGGTCCAAGTCCAAGAGATGTTAGGTGCTGAATCTGGCGTCTTTTGTTTTTATAATACCTACTATGAAAAGTGGAATTTGATCACTCTGTTTTAGGTCACTCAAAGCAGATTTCAATTTCCTCAGGTCTTTTTTTTTCTCAACTTGACTAATAATTCTTAATCTCATTACTTTACTTGTCTGATAAAGACTGTGGTTACTCTCACTAGCTAAACAACATTAGGCATTTTACATGTAAAATATTGAATGTAATTATGCAGATTCCTAAAGTGTGTTTTTGCCCCAAACATTCTCCCTAAATGTTTGCTCCAGACTACTAAATTATTTAGGCCAGTATCATTCATTTATATTCTAAAATTTGCAGCATAATGTCTGTATATCAGGTGGTTTTATTAATATTTTATTCAAGAACAGCAATAAATCAGTATTGGCAGCCAGGCACCGTGCTAGTACCAGATCTCTCATTTTCATAAATATCTGATGATACATTTGTATTATTGAGACCTTTTTTGTATTTTATTTTTTTGATGGAATAGGTATTTTTATTTATCCCATAAATACCTTCAAGGGTGGATCTCAGGAGTGGTCACCTTATAACCCTAAAAATGCCATGGATTTTGATATCTTTGCTCAAGGACAAAAATCCTACCTTCCTCCAAAGCTTTCCTTCCTGGTTTTGGAGCTCATTGATTTTCTATTTATTTCTGAAGGTACTTTGCTTTCCCTTCCATGTCTTCCCACTTCCAACTGTTGCTTTTCCAGCTAGTTTGATTTCCTTTCCATTTTATTTTGTTAGAGGCTTTGACAAATGTTACTTTTCATAAGAGTATAAGCAAATATGATCATCTTTCGGGAACGTCTGTCAACCCAAGGTATATCCTCTTTTAATTCCACAATGGTTTATTATTATATTGAATTTGGGATCCATTAAAATAGACGCTAACGTTTTTGAAGGATAATTGATATTTTGACACTACGCAGTTTGACAGTATTAGATGAAGATAGGACAAGTAATATTTTGCAGAGAAGTATATATTGAGGACCATGATAAGAAAGTAAGATGTGTGAATATTTTTATGTCTCTCTTCTGAGTAAGGTGACTGAATAATTTATCATTTGAAATTGATAAGAAATATCTACACTTATTCCAAGTCTATATGCATAAATCAAGGTTCTCTCATCAAAATGAGATATACGTTCCCCTTTCCATTAAGACTCTTCTGTTTTAGGTATTTGTTGCAGAAATGTTCACACACATACGTGTATTTAGACAACAGTGTAATGAACCCATGTGTCCTTCATCTAGGTTCAGTAATTATCAACCTGCAGCCAACTGTCATTCTTTTTTACACCCACAGTCTCACTCTGCCTTGCCAATATGCAGAAGCAAATCCAATGCAGTATAATGAGTTACGTCCTGAGCCAAATATGACTCCATTTTACCCACACCCAGCTCTCTCTTTTCCACTCTGTTCTGCTCACACCACCCCATCTCTGCCATTCTTTTCACTTTATCTTTTAGCTGTGCTGCTCTGATAGACTGACTCTGCCAGCAGAAAGACCATTAAGCTCAACATCAAACAAAAGCAACTCAGAGGAGGAGACAGACCAGCTGTGCCTCCTGCCTCCCCTCCTTTGCTCTCACCCATAGCTCCATCACAGTGGCTCCATGAGGGCAGTGAGCGAGGCCCTGGTCCATGTGAGGTTCATCCATCTGCTGCTCTGGCTGGGAGTGTTTCTGTTCTTTTCTGGATGGCTCCAGATTGGGCTCTGTCAACACCAAAGCCTCCCAGAAGTGGTGATACCCCTGAGGATAACTGGTGCTGACAGAGGCACGGACACTCAAGGCTGGCTGTCCTATGGCCTGCAAGTTGGCAGCCAAAGGTACATTGTCCACATGAAGGTCAATAAGCTTTTGATATTTTTGATATCCAAATCCTTCTCTGTGTTCACCTACTCAGACCAGGGTGCTATTTTTGAGGACCAACTTTTGTCCAGGATGACTGCTACTATCACAGTTATGTGGAAGGGGACCCAGAATCCCTGGTTGCTCTTAGCAGCTGTTTGGGGGGCTTTCAAGGAATACCACAGATAAATGACACTGCTTAGGAAATCAAGCCCAAAAGGGTTTCAGCCACATTTGAACATCTGATATATAAGATGGACAATGAGGAGACACAATTCCCACCCATGAGATGTGGGTTGATAGAGGAAGAAATAGCAAGACAATTGAAGTTTCAAGATCCTTCTACTCTAATGCAAAGTGGCTTTGAGGGCTGGTGGACCCATAAATTGTTTGTTGAACTGGCAGTAGTGGTAGATGATGAATGATTCCTTTATCTGGAAAGTCATACCTCAAATGTGCAGGAGGAAGTACTCATGCTGTATCAAAAAGCTGATGCATTTTATATTCCACTGGGTGCCAATTGTCACTGTAGTGGGACTTGAGATCTGGACTCAAGAAAACTTCATTACAATGGACACTGCAGGTGTTGGCCTGAAAGAAATTTGCAAATGGAAACAAACTAGCTTTAATTCTTGCATTCCTCATGATGTTGCACATCTTATTGTAAAACGCTCCTATGGTATTACTCTTGGCTTAGCCAATGTTGGAACAGTATGTTATAGAGAAAGTAATTATGCAATTAACAGTTTTGGACATAACAGAGTGGGATCTTTTGCACTCGTAGCAGCACCTGAGCTTGGTCATAATTTGGGTATGACTCATGATACAAAAACATGTTCCTGTGGGCAAAAAAGTGTATAATGTTTCCAACGGCAACTTCCACAAAAAGATTCAGCAACTGTAGTTAATGCTAGATTTTTTCAAACCACTGTAACAACGATCTGCATGCATGCTTCACCAAATCGAGATAGAATCATGACACAGAGGTGCTGTGGGAATGGTGCGGTAGAAGAAGAGTATGACCGCGGAAACTTACCATCGTGTGAAAAGAGCCATGTTGCTTTGCAAATTGCACTTTCAAACCTGGGGCTGCTTGTGTTTTGGGGCTTTGCTGCAAAAACTGCCAGATCATGCCATCGGTCGAAGTGTGCAGACAAGAGTCCAGCGAATGGGATCTTCCAGAGTGGTTCAACGGGACTTCGCATGAGTGTGCAGAAGATGTGTGTTTGCAGGACGGGATCCCCTGCAAGGGCAGTGGCCACTGCTACGAAAAGAGATGTAATAACTGTGATGAACAGTGTAGACAAATTTTTGGCCAGGTAGCCAACAGTGCAAATCAGAGTTGCTGCAGTAATATGAACATCCGAGGTGATCATTTTGGTCACTGTGGTTTCAATGGCACCAAATAGGTAAGATGTGAGGTCACAGATATCTTGTGTGGGAGAGTTGAGTGTGAGAACATGCAAGAAATCCCCCTTTTGAGAGATCATTCTACTCTGCACCGGACTCACTTCATTGGTGTCACCTGCTGGGATACCGGCTATCGAATGGGGATAAGCACTCCTGATATTGGTGACGTGAAAGATGCTACCGAGTGTGGTTCAGAACACGTCTGTATGCACAGGAAATGTGTCACTATGTCACTTTTGAACAGTACCTGTTTGCCCGTGACCTGTAATATGAGACCTGTCTGCAACAATAAACATCACTGCCATTGCTGCCGAGAGTGGAAGCCTCCTGACTGCCTGAGAGAAGGCACTGAGGGTAGTGTTGATAGTGGCACCACCACCCCCAGGAAAAAGGGAGAAAATGAGGTGTGCAAGCAAGGGGTGTAACACCATATTTATGGATTCCCTTTTTGCTTTTGCTTTGCTTTCTGTTTATGTTGTTGTTGATCACGCACAGAAAAACAAAGAAGAGCCAAATGCTCAAACTTTACCTGAAAAAGTAAAGCAACATGTTCAAATGTCACCTAAGAAAGAAAAGCAAAATGTTCAAACTTCACCTACAAAAAACTTGAAAACAAATTAAAACTTCAGAAAAGAAGCTTAATCATTCATGAAATTTCTCACGTATTAATTTTGTGTGTGCTGTCAGGAGAAATTTTATTGCATATGCCTGAGACCACTGACAGAAATCCCCAAGGTCTTTTATAGTTTAGAATCATAAATGTTGGCTATTGAATAAGGTAATGCCAGCTTATTCCTGCTTTTTCATTATTTTAAAGCAATTTTAGTGTTTTATTTGTTATAAAATTAGACTTGGGTTTCTTGAGCAAAGACACAGCTCACGAATGGGTTCTGTGTGTTTTAATTCGCTGTCTTTCAATTCCAAGCCTCCTTCCCCTTTTTACTCTTTATCCTTGCGCTTTGTCACAGGGAGAACGGGAACCTACACACTCCATTTCCTCTTTGCCCATCCTCTCTGTTAGTATTTGCCGTTGGGGGAACTAGAGAGACCGGAAACCTGACAGAAGTGTCTGATAGCTGTTTATGTCAATGTTACCTGAGTAACACACAGCTTCCGCCTTGGCAGCAGCAGTAGCTTTGTGCCTGCACGTTTTGCCTACATATATTCCATAACTCCCAGGTCCAATAGCATTGTCAGCCCCAGGGATACCAGCACAGCCATCAAACATCCATCTTACCTTCAGAGGTCTTAGTCGCCTCAGAGGGTCTTTGGATCCTCTACGAATTCCAGAGGTTTCAGCGGTAGGTTGGCTCTACCCTCTCCTAAGAGGTTGAAGTCCTGGAACCAGGGGATCTATTCCAAGCTTGCGGGTTCCATTAACCCCACTCCTTTCCCTTTGATCTCCAGTCCTAGTAGTGATCGCTACATCTTCCTGTTAGTGACTCATGGTTAGCCCAGGGTGTGGTTTCTCATTTTGTGATTGAAGTCTAAGTGACGCAGTCCTTACCTTGCTACGGTGGAAAACACGGGAAGGAAGCAGACATCGGAAGCGTTGGAATTTTCTCCTCATTGCCTTTTCCCATCTTGGGGAAAAGACTGAAACTTAGAAACACTGTTTTCAAAATCTGATAAAGAGAATAGCACTTGCCAATCAACCCCTCTGTAATTTTGGTAATAAAATAGGATAAAGAAGAACGAATTCTATGTAGGATAGAATAAGTCTTAGAAAGCCATGTTTTCTCTGGGAAAACACCAGAAATCCCAATTAAACTTCAAAAACCATATTTTTTTTTTTTTTTCTTGAGACGGAGTCTCGCTCTGTCGCCCAGGCTGGACTGCAGGGGCGCGATCTCGGCTCACGGCAAGCTCCGCCTCCCGGGTTCACGCCATTCTCCTGCCTCAGCCTCCCGAGTAGCTGGGACTACAGGCGCCCGCCACCACGCCCGGCTAATTTTTTGTATTTTTAGTAGAGATGGGGTTTCACCGTTTTAGCCGGGATGGTCTCGATCTCCTGACCTCGTGATCCGCCGGCCTCGGCCTCCCAACGTGCTGGGATTACAGGCGTGAGCCACCGCGCCCGGCCAAAAACCATATTTTAAGGGCATCAGAAGTTGTGCAAGCAAGAAGTACTTAATGAACTAAAACTTTAGGCATGGAAAACAGTTCTGAAATGAGTTGAATATTGCAGTCATTCATTTTTTTGGGAGCACTTACAGATGCTGGATGTGAATTGAGGATTACGTTTGACCTAGTTAGAGACCGTGTGCTGAGAGAAAGGGAAACCACCAACCCTCTTCATTGCTACTCAGGACTAGATTCACAGATCAGATGTTCTGGAGCCTTCAATTCTGAATCATTTCTCCCCAGGTCACATATGATGAATGTTAAGGCTTTGTGGGATGTTGATAAGCTAGCCTCAATGTTATCAAAGGATACAGTTTCCTAAACTGATGTGATATTTTGGACACGAAGCATAGTTAAACAGGGATTGTCTGTCTGTTAAGACACTTACCTAATTTGGGGCTTGCTTGTAGCAAGAGACTGGAGAGCTGGGCTGTGAACCTTTGTGTAATAGAGATGAATCCTTATATTGTTTCAGAGCTGAGGAAATAGAGCCACACAGATACCCAAGTGAAAGTCTAGCAGGCCCAGACCTCAGCAACATGAGAGAGAGAGAATTAGTCCAAGATACATGGAAAACTCACTTACTTCAGACCTAGCTCAATTCATGACTGACTCAGGGAATTAATTGGCTCCCCAGTCTAACAGAAAAAAGAGGGGAACATCTTCAATGGAGGTACCCGGAGCATCTGTGCTTGCTTTGTAATCAGTTACCTGACAAAGTAACTCATTTCTATGTAGGTTATGAGTAAAACAAGTATGACCTCTTATCAGAGAATGAAAAAAGGAAAAGAAAGAAGCAGAAGGAGACACTCTAAGTAGTGTCAAGATGATCCAGACAGGGGAGCACATACATAGGGGAGAATATTTTTAAAATGACTATAATTACCATGCTTTAAATTAGAAGGAAAAATGCACACAGTATATCAAACAATGTAAAATATCCTGCGTAAGCTGGAAATTTTCAAACGGATATTTCAGAACTAAATATGATTTAAGAATTCAGTAGATGCATTTAACAGTAGATTGGACAGTTCAGATTACAGAATTGCTTAACTGGAAAATAGGTCAAGGGCAAGATTCCTACACTGAAGCACACAGAAGACAAACTTAAAACTTAGGGATGAGGTGTCTGAACAGTATAAGAAGTCTAACATCCCTAATATGGGAGTCCTGGAGAAAATAAATGACACTTGAATAGCAGGAATAGTCCGAGCTGTTTGTTGTCAATTGCTTTAAAAGGAAGGAAAGATTTAACAACTGGTTCAGAGTGGGTCACGTATTTCCCAGAGGCACCTTTAATTTTTCTTTTCTTTCTTTCTCTTCTTCAGATTCTATCTTTCTTAATAATCTGCCTTAAATTTGCTTATTCTTTCTTCTGCCAGTTCAAATCTTTTTATTATCCTCTCTGTGAAATGTTTCATTTTGATAATTATACTTTTCACTTCAGAAATTTCCATTTGGTTGTTTGATATAATTTCCATCTCTTTCTACATATTCAGCGTTGCTTTTAAATAACTTATATTTGTTCAGAAATTGTGCTTAGTCCCCTTGAGTCGGTGAGAAATTCACTTCTTAGTTTTAACACTTTCGTGGGATTGTTAGGATTTTTCACATATATCTGTAGATCATATAGTTATGTCTTCTGAAGAAAAAGCGTTAATTTGACTTTTTGCTTTCCAGTTTGAATGGCCTTCATTTCTTTTTATCTTATTGCTCTGGCTAGGACTTCCAGTACTATGTTGAATAGTAGTGATGACGGTGGACCTCCTTGCCTTGTTCCTGATCTTAGAGAAAAAAGTTTCAATTTGCTATCACCAAGAATGTTAACTGTGAGCTTATCATACATGACTTTTATTATGTTGAGACTTTTTATCAGGAAATACTCTTGAATTTTGTCAGATGTCATTTTCTGTATCTTTGAAGATGATCATGCAAATTTTATCTTTTATTCTGTTAATGTGGTGTAAATGTTGATTGATTTGCATCTGTTGAACCATCCCTGAATCTCAGGGAGAATTCACACTTTGTCAGGGTGTATGATCCTTTTAATATACTGATGAATTCAAATTGCTAGTATTTTATTGAGGATTTGGCACCTAAGTTCATCAAAGATATTGGCCTATAGTTCTCTTTCCTTGTGGTAGCTTTGTGTAGCTTTGGTATTGGGGTGATGCTGGCCTCATAAAGTCAGTTTGGAAGTATTTCATTTGAGAAGTACAGGTGTTCATTATTAAGTGTTTGGTAGAATTCACCAGTGAAGCTAATTGGTCCTAGGCCTTTCTTTGATGTAAGATTTTTTATTATTCATTAAGTCTCCTTATTTGTTATTGATATATTCAGAGTTTCCAATTTTTCGTGATTCAGTCTTAGCACGTTGTGTCTTTCAAGTTATCCATTTATTCTGATATCTAATTTATTTGTGTACAATTATTCATAATAGTCCCTTATAATTTTTTTATCATCAACAGCTGATATATTGCCTTCTTCTCTATTTCTGGCTTTATTTATTTTAGATCTCTCTCACTTTTTTCTTAGTTTAACTAAGAGTTTTTAAATATTCTTTATCTTTTCAAAAACAATGCTTCATTTTATTACTTTTTTTCTATTTAAAAAATTTTTCTATATATTTGGCTCATCTAGCCTTTGTTATTTCCTTCCTTTGGCTAAATTTCGGATTAAATTATTCTTGTCTTTCTAGTTCCTTAAGGTGGAAATTTAGAGTTTTTTGGGGATCTTTTTTTTTTTTTAATGTAGATGTTTAATGCTATGAATGCCCTGCTTTGTATGCCTTTTGCCACATCCCATAAGTTTGGGGTATGCGGTTTTTATTTTGGTTTGTCTTAATATATTTCCTAATTTTCTTTTACTTCTTCTTTGACCTAGTGGTTGTTCCAAAGTTTATTGTTTAATTTTTACATATTTGTGAATTTTGATTCAAAATGAAAGAGGAGACTTTACGATTGATTCCAGATAAATACAAAGAATCAAAACTGGCCTCTATGAGCATTTATACACCAAAAAATTGATGACTGTAAAGAAAAGGATAAACACATAGAAATAGAAAACCTAAATAGCCCAATAACAGGTAAGGAGATTGAATCAGTAATAGAAAAACTCCCCAAAATGACACAAAAATCTCAGGATCCAATGGCTTTGCTGGTAACTCTATCAAACACTTAAGTAAAATTAATAACAATTCTTCTCAAACTCTTTTTAAAAAATTGAAGAGTAAAAAATAATTTCAAACCCATTTTACAATGAGCATTGGTCTGACACCAAAGCCAGAAGAGGATACTACAAGAAAAAAAAATTACAAGCCAATATCTCTGATAAATGTGGGTGAAAAATCCTTAACAAAATACTAGCAAAACAAATTTAATAGTGTGTTAAAAGGATCATACACCATGATCAAGTGTAATTTTTCCCTGGGATGCAAGTATGATTCAAAATATGCAAATCAAAAAGGTAGATACAACATATAAACAGATGGAGGATAAAAATCATATGATTATCTCAATGGATGCAGACAAGACATTTGACAAAACTCAACATCCTTTTATAATAAAAACTCTTAACAAATTAAGTATAGATGGAATGTATCTCAACATAATAAAGGCCTTATATGACAAGCCAATAGCTAACATCATACTCAGTGGTGAAAAAAGGGTATGTTTCATGTGCAAGTGAAAAGAATGTATCATATATTCTGTGATTGGTGAGTAGAATCTTCTGTAGATGTTTATTAGGTCCAATTGATCAAGTGTTTAGTTTAAGTTCAGAATTTCTTTGTTAGTTTTCTGCCTTGATGATATGTCTAATGCTGACAGTGGGGTGTTGAGGTCCCCTACTACAATTGTGTGGCTTTCTAAGTCCTTTTATGTGTCTAGAAGTACCTGTTTCATAATTCTGGGTGCTGCAATACTGGGGGCAGGATTGTTAAACTCCTCTTGTTGAATTGAATCCTTTATCATGATGTAATGCCCTTGTTTTCCCTATTTTACTGTTGTTGGTTTAAAGTCTGTTTTATCTGATATAAGAATAGCGCTCCCTGATCTTTTTTGTTTGTTTGTTTTCCATTTGCTTATTTGGTCTTTCTTCAGCCCTTTACTTTGAAACTATTGGTGTCATTACATGTGATGTGGGTCTGTTGAAAACAGAAGGCTTATGGGTCTTATTTAAAATCCAACTTGCTGCTCTGTGCTTTTTAGGTAGGGCATTTAGGCCATCCATATTTGAGGTTAAGAGTGATATGTGAAGTTTTGATTTTATTGTGAAGTTGTTAATTGGTTGCTTTGTAGTTTATATTGTGTGGTTGACTTATAGGGTCTGTGAGCTATGTGCTGTGTGTTTTGTGGTAGCAAGTATTATTATTTTGTTCCCATGTTTAGAACTCCCTTAAGAATCTCTTGTAAGGCTGGTCCAGTGGTAACAAATTCCCTTAGTGCTTGCTTGTCTGGAAAGTATTTTATTCTTCCTTTGCTTGTAAAGCTTGGTTTGGCAGCATATGAAATTCTTGGTTGGAATTTATTTTCTTCAAGGATGCTGAAAATAGGCCTGTAATCTCTCCTGACTTGTAAGGTTTCCGCTAAGAAGTCCCCTCTTAGCCTTAAGACATTGTCTTTGTATGTGATCAGAGTTTTTTCTGTAACTGTCTTTAAGATTTTTTCTTTTGCATTGACTTTGGATAGTCTGGTGACTATATGCCTTGGTGATGTTTGTTTCATGTAGTATCTTGCAGGTGTTCCTTGGATTTCTCATATCAGGATATCGACCTCTCTAGCAAGATTAGAGGTATTTTCTTGGATTATTCCCTCAAATATGTTTTCCAGGTTATTTGCTTTTTCTCCTTCCCTCTCAGACATGCCAATAATTCATAGGTTTTGTTGCATTACATAATCCCATATTTCTCAAAGACTTTATTAAAAATTACTTTTTCTTTATTTTTGTCTGACTGGGTTAGTTAGAAAGACTGGTCTTAAGCTCTGAACTTTTTTCTGCTGCTTGGTCCAACTTATTGATAAAGCTTTCAATTATATTTTGAAATTTAAGTGATTTTTTTTTCAATTCCAGCAGCTCTGTTTTTTTTTTAAAGATATTTATCTTTTTTATTTCCTGGATTGTTTAAGAAGTTTCTTTGTGTTAATTTTCAACCTTGTCTTGGATCTTGTTGAGATCCTTTGCAATCCATGCTTTGAATTCTTTTTCTGTCATTTCTGAGTTTCTATTTTAGTTAGGGAGCATTGCTGAAGAGCTAATGCAATCCTTTGGTGGTATCACTACATTCAGATTTTTTATGGCGTCACAATTTTTGTTCTCCTTCTTCTTATTTGAAGACACCGGCACTTACAATTTTTTGTAATTATTTTTGTGTGGGTAGAATTTTTACTTTTTATTTTTTTCTATATAACAATAATTTATTATTTTATTCTCTTTCTTTTTCCCAGCCTTCCTAGAGGTATGATGCTAAAGAATGCTTTTGGCTTTTGCTTCTCTAGCCCCGTGCAGTTCTTTAATTAGGTTTTATGTTGCACCGTGTAGCTCAACCTACAAGCCAGTAGATGGTACTCGTAGGTAAGAGCAGGCTGTGGCCAATGAGGCTGGGCATATACTTGATCCTTTTTTACTTGCAGAAGCTCTCTGGCACCTCAGACAATGAACTGATTCATGGAATGCACAGTGGTTTGAGCTCCCTGCTCATCCCTGGGGGCTAGTGGCCAGATGGGTGGTGCCAGACCAGGCAGGCCCTACCTGCACATTCCCAAACGGCACACAAAAGCACCAACACTGAGGGAGAATCCAGTGGGCGGCCACCAAGTACCCAGAGGTGTGCCTAGGTGTGGAGCTGATAAAACTCCTTGGCCTCAAGTTCTCTGCACAGGGGTGAGAGTCAGCTTAAACTCCTAATCCAGAAAAGTGGATGCTCCAGATACCTGGAGATGTGTTTGGGCATGTAGCAGAGGAAAGGTGCACACTATGGGTGGGGGGCTCAGGTTGCTGAACCAGGTGAGTGGGTGCTCCGAATGCCTGGCAATCTGCCTGGGCATGGAGCAGTGAGGGCTTCACTACACCATGATCTCAGGAGAGCAGTCTGGGGCATCCAGAAATGACACACACAGAGACCAGTTTCTGGTCACCAAGCTGGCCCTGGCTGTAAGTCTTGCTGCCCAAGAGATATTGCAGCTGTGGCAGCTCTTTTCCTACCCCAAGGTTGAGACGAGAGAAAGCATAATTCCAGTGCCTACTGCTGACAAACTTTCCACAGTTCTGGTTGTGGAAGTCCCTACCCTACTCCAGAGCAAATGTTCCAGTATCTGGCCGGAAACTTAAATGCCTGCATGACCATGCTGCCAGATCACCTAAGAATAGCTGACCATGTATGCTCCTGGATTAAAAATGGTATCTTGTTCTCAGTCCTGGGTTTGGGAAAATGTCTGAAGCTTTCCTCAGTGTCTTTCCCTCACAGCATCTCTAAGCCTCTCCTCAAGTTAGCTCCAGGGCTTCAGAGAAATAATGTGGCCTCCCTTGGCCTGGGTTGCTCAGCTCCCCAGTGGAAAGGTGAGCCAGGGGGAGGCTCTCTACCTCTCTCATATACTGGGGTTTCACTCATTTTTATCAGCTGGACAACATCAAGGGGGCTGTTTGCCAACGTTCTTCTCCCTGGGATCTGAAGTGTCTTTCATTATTCCAGTGGATTCTCATTTTTCTTCTTTAACTAAAGCTCACAGAGTTGATCTGTATGCACTATCTTGCTATTTTCAAATGGCTGAAGCACACTAAAAAACAACATCTTTCTCAAAGGGACACTTCATCAATTCTTTTTTTCATGTATTGCACCCTTAGTGTTACACCTAAAAAGTCATTACCAAACCCAGGATCATCTAGATTGTTTTCTATGTTATATGTAGGAGTTTTATAATTTTGCAGTTTACATTCATGTCTATAATCCACACTGAGTTAATTTTTGTGAAGTGTGTATGGCCTGTGTCATGATTTATTTATTTATTTGTTTGCACATGGATGATCAGTTGTTCCAGCACCATTTATTGAAAAGACTATATTTTCTTCATCGTATTGCCTGTTTCCTTTGTCAAAGATTACTTGACTATATTTATGTGAACCTATTTCTGGTCTCTCTGTTCTGTTCCACTGATCTAGTTGACTACTCCTTCACCAATATCACACTGTATTGATTACTGCAGATTTATAGTAGGTTGTAGTCGACTAGTGCCTGTCCAACCTTGTTCTTCTCCTTCAATAATCTGTTAACTATTCTGGCTCTTTTCTCTCTCCATATAACCTTTAGAATCAGTTTATAGATATATCCAAACTACTTGGGATTTAGATTGGGATTATATTAAATCTATAGGTCAAGTTGAGATAAGCTGGCATCTTGACAATATTGGGGCTATTTATGAAAATGGAATATTTCCCTAATTATTTATTGATGTATGTATTTATTTATTCTTTAACTTCATTTATCAAAGTTTTGTAGTTTTCCTCATATTGATCTTGTATATAAATTGTTAGACTTACGCCTAAGTATTTCTTTCTTGAGGATGCTAATGTAAATGTTATTGTTTTAAAGTTTATATTCCACTTGTTCATTGACTTTTGCATATTAACCATGTATTCTGCAATATTGTTGTAATTGCTTATTAGTTCCAGGAATTTTTTTTGTCCATTTTTTTTGGATTTTCTACATAGACAATCATATTATCTGCAAAGGCAGTTTTATTTCTTCTTTCCCAATCTGTACACATTTTCTTTTTTTCTTTTTTTCTTTTTTTTTGCCTTATTACATGAGCAAAGACTTCTAGTAAAATATTGAAAAGCAGTAGTAAGAGCATACATCCTTGCCTTGTTTCCTTATTTTCAATATTTTCGGAAAAGCTTTGGGTTTCTCACCATTAAGTGTTGTTAGCTGTAGTTTTTTTTTGTAGATATTCTTTATAAAGTTGAAGAAATTCTTTATCTATTCTAGTTTACTGAGAGATTTTCATTATAAATTTGTGTTGGACCTTGTCAAATGTGTTTTCTGTATCTATTGATATGTTCATGTGATTTTTATTTCTTTGGCCTGTTGATTGTGATGGAATACACTGATTGGTTTGCAAATGTTAAGCAAGCCTTGAGTACCTGGGATAAATCCATTTTCTGTGGTGTATGATTCTTTTTATACATTGCTGGATGAAATTTTCTAGTATTTTACTGAGGACCTTAGCAGCTGTGCTCATGACAGATATTGGCACTTTCTTACATTTTCTTTTCTTACATTTCCAAAGGTCTGTCTGGTATGGTATTAGAGTAATGCTGCCTTTATAGAGTAAGCGAGAAAGTATTCCATCTGCTTTTGGCATCTAGAAGAGATTGTAGAGAATTGGTAAAATTTATTTCTTAAATGTTTAGCAGAATTGTCCAGTAAATCCATCTGGACCTGGTGTTTTCTGTTTTAGATGATTAATTATTGATTCAATTTCTTTTGTAATTTAATTCAATTTCTGAACTTATTCAGCTTGTTTATTTCTTCTTGTGTGAGTTTTGGTAGATTGTATTTTTCAAAGAATTGGTCCATTTCATCTAAGTTATCAAATTTGTGGGCATAGAATTTTTTACAATATCCCTTTACTATCCTTTTAGTGTCCATGGGGTTTGTAGTAATGGTCCCTCTTTCGTTGTTGATGTTAGTAATTTGTGCTTTCATATATAACTTTTAACATGTCCCATTTTATAGGACATCAAAATGCATCATATCTAGAGCCATATGGGAACCCAAAAGATTAATGACATATGATACTACTGGCAGCAGATGAACACCATATATTCCCTTTTAAGGACAAAGACATTAAGACCCAGACAGGGCTAGTGAGCAGCCCAAGTCAGTTAGCTGGTTCCTGGAGAGCCTAGATAAAAATTTTTCTTATCAATTGCACAAAATTTTCATCCACCACTACCTATTTTTTCCTCCTCTTCTAGTGTTTTTAACTCTATAATTCGCATTTACAGAATTTTGCTAATACACTTGGGACTGGCAAACCTGAAAAACTGGACGACTGAGAAACCATTTTCTACAACTACTTTAAAAGTTTTTAATTCTTGGACTACATCATAGTTCATGCCAGATCTATAGAAAGTCAATTGAATACTTGATTTAGAGGACAAATATTCTCTTCCTGACATCTATTCAGTAATCCATGCTTATTATGAAACCTACACCATTCTTGCTCAAGAGACAGAAACAGAGGCAGAAATTGAGGCGGCCCAGAGTGAAAGAACTCAAGTTCATTGAATCATTCTGTCATTCAACATAGCAGTTGTTTCCATTCACTGTCACTAAGCTAAGTATACTTTGAAAATCTGAACCCACAATTCTCTTTATTCATTATTCTAGGATTCAGCTTTTTTTCATTGCGTAAATACTCTATTCTCCACTTCTTTCATTTTGCATTTTTGTATAACTGTCCTGTAGAGGGATGTGTGTGTGTGTGTGTGTGTGTGTGTGTGTGTATCTGTGTGTGTTGCAGACTACAGATACATAGGTTAAAGGAACCAAGAAATTAAGAGAGGGGACAGATGAATAAACTGACAGGGACAAAATAAGGATGGATACCAGGAGGCTGTGATAAGGTCACTTGATTATTTTTCCTCAGGAAGAGAAGGTTGCAAAAACATTTGCTCATGCATTTCTAAACCTGTAAACAGTTGTTATACAGAATAGGCAGAGAAAAGCTTCATAGAGGAGCAAACCAAAAAAAAAATGCTTTGGGATCCAACCAGAAAAAAACTGAATTAAATAGAAAGAAATTTCTTGACACTTTTTAAGATGCATAGATCATGATACAGGAAAGATAGAGAACTTTGTTCTCTACAAAATATGTACCTACAAGGAAAAATCTTTGACTCTAAAATAGTTTTTCCTCTAATCTCATCTTTGAATGGAAGGTGCTAGATGTACTAGTGATGCCAATGTTTGAAATGACAGAAATAATGACAGCTGCCCTCTCAGTTTCCCCCTAATCTAGTATTCAATAGTTCTAAGATTACTGCACACACAGTTTTCATCCCTGAGTTTCAGAATTGTGAAGATTATGCTCTAGTTTCCCTAAAATTTCTCAAACTATCACAATATTTAATTTTGATGAAGTGTTGCTGCTGTTGAAGCTGACGATGGTTATGATGATAATGATGGTAAAGATAATAATGACGCTTTCTGCAACATTGAGATTACCTAAAAAGAATATCCTCAGTGGACTCCATAGGTCCTTAAACTTAGCTAGCCCATGAAAACAAGAAAAAAGAAATTAATTTGGTAGATCTAGAACAGATATTTTCCATCTTGATGCTATTAACATTTTGGGTCAGAAGTGTGTGTATGTGTGTGTGTGTGTGTGTGTGTGTGTGTGTGTGTGTGTGTGTGTAATGGGCTGTCCTCTGCATTATAAGCTATTTAGAAGTACTCTTGATCTCTCTACCACAAACGAAAATATCTCCAGACATTACCAAATGTCCCCTGAGAAGCAAAACAGCCCTGGTGGAGAACCACTAATCTAGAGTTAAGACTGAGAGTCCAAGTCAGACTTCACTTTTAATGTTACCATTTAATAGTCCACCTAATTTGACTCAAACTTATTATTTCATCTCCCAAGTATTTTTCATCTTCTAAGGCAAAGATTCTCATAATTTGATAGCCATTTTTTGATACCTGCTACCCTAGGTTCTTTGTAAAAATTAATTTATGATTATGGCTGTTGCCTTCAAAAAGATTACAATTGAGTAGAGAAAATGAGATATTCTTAAATGACTAGAATGGAATATAGTCCATGCTAAGTGACACAGGAATGGAACTATTGACGAGCATTAGGTGTTCAGGGTGAAGCAAATCAAGTAATAAAATGAGCTTCAAAAGAATAGCCTTTGCATTTTGCTTTGAAGGAAGTATTGCATGGGATTTTCATGAGGCAAAATAAAGAGAAATGCATTCCTAGGAGTGGGATTATCCTACGAAATTATATTGATCTTTGAATGTTCAAAGTGGGGTGAAGGATGTCAAGTTAATTCTAATAAGGTGACTTTACACTTAGGTTGCCTCCATGAAGGGAATGCAGTTCTCTGTTGGCAAGGACAATCTGAAAGTGAAGTGCAATGAGTGTCAGTGATCATGATTTGTGTGATCCACTCCTGAGAGACTAAATTATTTTCAATGTGCTAACAAAGTCAGGGATCCGAGTGTACATTGCTGTGTAGAGTCCAGCCCTGCTGACTCACAGGCAGGACACTGTGAAGCATCGTTTTCCTTAGCTAGCCACCTGTATGGGCATGAGCCCTGCTCACCTTAATGTCCAACAAAGCCTTTCTTCCAAGTCTGTGGTACAGATTAGACAAAATTTTTATAAAGAATACCCACTGTGACCCCATCTCTGCCGATGCTCCCCTGCCTTTGGTACTTGTAACTTTTTGAAGTATTTAGAAATGACAGAAACTAGACAGAGTGATCCAATCTGAGGAAATCTCTGAATGGTGTGAGAGGTGCTCATGTACCATTAGGACTTCCTTCTGCACATTCAAGTCAACAGCTCAGCTAGGTCAGGCCTAGCACAGGCATCTTGAGCATTTCCTGATAAGTAAGAGGACTGCATCTATAAAGTAAGCTCAAGCCACACATAATATCCAGGTTTCTCAACAGGACATTACTCACATTTTGGCTGGGACAATTCTTCATTATGCAGAACTGTCCTTGGGATTTCAAAACATTTATCAGCTTTATCAACAAATATCTTCTGCTGCCCAAGTCCTTGTGACCCCAACTTCCTTCCTTCCCCTGTTTCCGTGGCTCCTGGGCATGAGGGCATGATTACTGCTGTTGAAAATCACTGGATGATTTTTGACCTTAGGATGAGAGCGTAAGGTGAGCGGGTGCCAATGGGAAATCCTCCTTTTGATCTTTCCACTGCCTTACTGGCCTGCTGGCCAGAGAATGTTTAAGGTGAGAGACACAAGTGTTCACTCTTGATCATAGAAAATTTCCATATGGCTCTAGACTCATTTGACATCTTGGCATCAAGGAGTCTAATACTTGAACAACGTGAGGGTGAAGGGTGCCAACGCCCATGTAGTCAAAAATCCATGTATAACTTTTGACTCCCCAAAACTTAACTACTGTTAGCCTGCTGTTGCTAGGAAGCCTTACCAATAACATGAACAGTCGATTAACCGTATTTTTTATGTTTTATGTATGTTATACTGTATTCTTACAATGAAGTAAGCTAGAGAAAGAAAATATTATTAATCATAAGGAAGAGAAAATACATTTAATATTTATTAAGTGGAAGTGGATCATCATAATCACCTTCATCCTCACCTTCACATTGAGTAGGCTGAGGGGGAGGAGGAGGACGGGGAGGGGCTGGTCTTTCTGTCTCGGGGTGGCAGAGGTGGAAGAAGTGGAGGAGGTGGGAGGGGAGACAGGAGAGGCAGGCACACTCCATGTAACTTTATGGAGCTATGTTGTAATTTCTGCCTGACTCTTTTCTTCTTCATTTCTCTAAAAAAGTGTCTTTATTGTATCAATCCTTCTTCCACTGATTTTTGTAGTTTCAGAGCCCATAGGAGTGCCCATAGAGTGAAAGAAGACAAAAGCTCTTTCGAATCATCAGAACCCTCTGCCAGACTGTCTGATGCCAATTTGTTTTCCAGGACTGCTTTTCCTACATCTCCTTCCTCATCGTCTGGCACTGGCTCAGCAGCACTCATCTCGTCCTTACTAATAAATTTCCTTTGCGGCATTCTCTCCCAGAATAGGGCACTTTCGTCTGCATTAAAAGCCTGTTCAGGCAGATGTCCTTTCTCCTCAATGATTTTCTTAATGGCATCTGGGAACTTATCTGCTGGCTCTTGGTTGGCAGAAACTGCTTCTCTTGTTATCTGGACATTTTTGAAAGCCAACCTTTTTTTCTAGAATTATCAAACCATCCTTTGCTAGCGTTAAAATCTCCAGTTTTAGATCCTTCACCTTCTTTTTGCTTTAAGTTGTCACACAATGACTTTGCTTTTTCTCAAATCATATTAGAATCTATAGACATGCCTTTTGTATAGCCATTCTGCACCCTCATAAATGCTATATTTCAAAGTGAGATTAAAAAGGTATTTTACAAAATACCTTTTGTGCAAGATTTTCACACCTCCTGGTTAGCTGCAGTGACAGCTTCACAAATTTCCTTTTCTTTATTTACAGGAGCCCTAACACCAGATTCATTCATCTTAAAATGGTGTCGCCGCAGCTGCAGAGCGCAATTGATGGTGCATATCAAGCAATTCAACTTTTTATTGTAATGTCATGAGTTTTCTCTGCTTCTTGGGACCACTTCCAGCGTTACAAGTGGCACTTCATAAGGGCCACATGGTGTTATTCAAGGTTTATGATATTGCACTAAACATGATGAAAAATACACAAGAACCTTGAGAAATCACTTTTCACTACACCACAGAATTTACTGGAAAGACAAATTCCTCAAGCAGAGATGATTAGCATCACGCAGTGTTGTAGGTGGATATTTGAGCTCATTATAGTAGCAATGGGAGACGACAATAATATTATTGCAGCAGTACAGTAGGTATCTGATATGGTTTGAATGGCTTGCCCCTTCCAAATCTCATGTTGAAATGTGACCTCCGATGTTGGAGGCGGGCCTCGTGGGAGGTGTTTGGGTGACGGGGACAGATCCCTCATGCCTGGCTTGGTGCTGTCCTCACCGTAAATAGGGAATTTCTCTCTCTCTGAGTTCATGTGTAATCTGGTTGTTTTAAAAAGGAGCCTAGCGCCTCCTGTGTTAGGCTGTTCTTGTGTTGCTATAAAGAAATACCTGAGGCTGGGTAATTTATAAAGAAAAGAGGTTGAATTGGCTCATGGTTCTGCAGGCTGTACAGGAAGCATGATGCTGGCTTCTGCTTGGCTTCTGGTGAGGCCTCAGGAGGCTTCCAATCATGGCAGAAGGTGAAGCAGGGGCAGGCATGAGGTATGGCAAGAGAACGAGTGACACGGAGAAGGGGGAGGCCCCAGACCCTTTTAAACAGCCAAATATCACATGAATTAACTGAGCGAGAACTCTCTTACCACCGAGGGGATGGAACTAAACTGTTTATGAGGCATCTTCTCTCGTGATCTAGTCTCCACCCTCCAGGCCTCACCTTCTATACTGAGAATCACATGTCACCATGAGATTTGGAGAGAACAAACATGCAACCTGTATCACCTCTCCTTCTCTCTCTTGCTCCCTCTTTCTGCATGTGACATGCCTGCTCCCCCTTCACCTTCCACCATGATTGGAAACTTCCTGCGGGCCTCACCAGAGGTTCCGGATGCCCAAATACTGGAGGTGAGCCCTCAGTGGGAGGTGGTGGGGATGATCTCGTGAATGGCTTGGTGCTGCCCTCATGTTGATGAGTTATTCTCTCACTCTGTGAGTTCATGTGAGCTCTGGTTATTTTGAAGGGAGCCTGGCACCTCCCCACTCTCTCTCTTGCTCCCTCTCTCGCTGTGTGACACGCCTGCTGCCCCTGCACCTTCCACCATGATTGGAAGCTTCCTGGGGCCTCATCAGGAGCAGATGCTGACGCTTGTGAGCCAAAATAAACCTCTTTTAGTTAATTACCCAATCTCAGGTACTTCCTTATAGCAATGAAAACAGACGAATTCAGTAACGAATATAGTAAGTTATAATCTAATGCTGCATCTTCCTATTTGTTTACATTTCTCTCAAATGTGAATGGCTTCGTGTATGGTCTCTAAGTGTTAACTTTTTAATAATAGATTCATATATATTTTATGGTGGCAAATTATAAAATAGACTAGTATCTACATATATTTTAGGCATTCATGACATATCATTTCTTACATTTTTTGATAATTCTAAGATACATAGCTCATCTTCAAGTTTTTTGAAAATTGTCACAAATATCTAAAGATATTTCCAATACATTTATTTTTAAAAATCTGCCTATAAGTGGAACCATGCAGTTGAAACCTGTGTTGTTCAAGGATCAACTGTATAGTGAAAGGTACACCCTTATTTCTGTACTACTAGCAGAGATAATGCTGCTAATTCATTTATACATGCTTTTTTTAATCACTTCCAGTTTTAAAATTTTATACTTATGAAAGAGCTCCTCTAAACTTAGATAAGGATTTTTAAAATCATATGGTATTTTTGTGGAATATAAACAATGCTATAAGCCAAAAACACTGGAAATGTATGCCTAAATCTTCATATTGATTGTGAATTTTATAAGAAAACATTGTGACTTGGTGGCTGTGTCTTTTGCTTAGTATATGCCATCAAGAGGGTGCTCTCTTGGGACTGAGCAATATTCCCTGCCTCCAGTTCTATTTTTTTTGGCACACTATAGGTAGTAGTTTTACCTGCATAGCAGTAGTCAAATGCAGCATATCTTCATTTACTTGTAGATGTCTTATATAAAACTCTCTGTTGATGATTTATAAGAAAATATCAAATTATGGTTATTTCTCTAATGGCTAGTGTCTTTTTTACTAATATCAACTGTTATATTTTATATAATATAAAATTGCTGTGTGCTTTATGGATTATAGTTTTATGTCCCTGTCTTTCTGTAAACACAATAACTTATTTCAAAGACAAATTATAGTGCAATCTATTTGCAGATATGTTAAGTATCAAAACTCCACATATGGATCACAACACGCAACATGCACAACTCACTTGAAGTCATGACAAATGAACCCCTGGGATCACACTTGCTCACGTGCTGAGAAATGAACCCGTGATCACACTTGCTCACATGCTGAGAAATGAACCTGTGATCACACTTGCTCACGTGCTGAGAAATGAACCCCTGGGATCACACTTGCTCACGTACTGAGAAAATGAACCTGTGATCACACTTGCTCAAGTGCTGACAAAGGCAACAGTTTCACAACTCTCTCTTGACAGCTGCTGATTTTAAGAAGCATCTTGATTACAAAGAGGTTCTACTGGGAAAAATATGTGTATCTAAAAACATGAAACTTGGGTCTTTTGACAGCTCCAACATCAATAGATTAGATTAAAAATCTAAAGTGCATCCATCTCGTATATCAACCAGGGTAAAGGTGAAGGCAAAAATCTATGAAGGTGAGAGATACAGGTTTTCTTGACCTGGCCCTAACTTGCTAGACAGGGAGATAATGGATGACACAGGGCCAGGAGAATGCAGATCCCAGAGGGCAAGTGAAGAAACGATGCTAACAGGAGAGAACCTCTGCCAATGGCAAAGGAAGCCTGAATTCCAACTGGAGCAAGCCACAGAGTGCCGAGTGTGGTCAGCACCTGGCACTTAGTAGGAGCTTAGTAAATGGTAGTCATGCTTCATATTTGAGGGCGGCAATGAATAAAGGGAGTGTTGTTGGATTAGGAGACATTGCAAGAGTTCCCTGGGAAGAGTGGTGGCTCGGTACCAATCCATGTTTCCTACCACGTTTTCTGAGGCTCTGAATTCTGCAGACCACTCTGCGCTCCCTCCCACCGGTCTTCTCTTCACCACTCCACTTCAACCCCACTGGCTTCTTTGACTCTTCAAACACCCAGAGTTCATTGCTCTTTCAGGACCAAGCTTGTCCTGTTTCTTCAGCTGGACACATTTCCCTCGGACCGTCACATGCCTGCCTCTTTCCCATCATCCAGATTGGACTGCACATGCCAGGGTCTCGGAAAACTTTTCCTGACTCTTGTATTAAAAGTATTATCTGGCTGTAACATCAGCCGCTCTGTAATAGCATGCTTTTTTGAGTTTTTGGTATTACACCTCACTATGAAAAATGGTGCATAGCGATAGAAATATGGATAAAATACAAACCATATATGTTATTTTAAATGTTTTCATAGTTATATTTTTAAAAAAGAAACAGTAAAATTAATTTTACTGTTATTTAACTCTGTATGCCTAAACTATTGTCATTTCAACATGTAATCAATGTAAAAATCATAAGTCATTTTATATTAAGTCTTCAGCAGTTCGTGAGCATTTTACACTTACAGCTCATTGCGTCCATATTGGCCACAGTTCACGGAGCAATGGCCACATGTGGCTGAGGGCTACTATGTTGGATGCTGCAGATTCTAAAATAAATTTATTTTTAAATTTATAGATCTGTCTATCCATTTAATTATGCATGCATGTGTTACCAGAATGTCAATCTATAAAGTTTATGGAATTTAAATCTCAAATTCATCACTGAATTATAACACCAGGAAGAGTAACCTAACACATAGCTGGTCCTGAATAATGTTTGCTAACTTAAATAATAGATATGAAGTTTCAAACCAGAGATGTGAGTGTAGTGTTAACAGACAGGCTGATAGGGCAAGATGGACCATTGAGAGAGGAGAAAATGTAGATGCAAAGGTTCTCCAGCCACAGCATTTTGCATGTCATACACTAATGGTGGACATGCAAAATGGTACAGTTACTTTGAAAAACAACTTGGCAGTTTACTGCAAAGTTAAATACGTATGTACCAAAAAACCTAGAAGTCCTACTCCTAGGCATTGACCCCAGTGAAATAACCTACATTCCCACAAAAAACTATCCATGAATGTTTGTAATAGCTTTATTTGTAATTACCAAACACTGGAAACCCAAATGCCCTTTAGCTGGTGAATGAATAAATAAGCCATGGTGGAGCCCCGCAGTGGCATGAGTAGGACGAACAATTGACAGGTGCAACAGCAGAAGTGAAACTGACGTGCACTCAGGGAGAGGAGCCAACTCCTGCTGTATTGATGCACAGAGAAAGGTACACGCTGGACGATCCCATTCATATGAGATTCTAGAAAAGGCAAACCGATAGGGGTGGAGAACATCAATGTCACCAGGAGGTGATGTCAGGGAGAGCATGAGGGACAGTATGAGGGATTGCCCAGGAGCTGTTCTGTAGCTCATAGAACTGCACACAGAAGAGAAGTTAACTTTACTGTATGAAAAAAACCTACAAATTAATAAAAATTGAAATTTTTTTTTTAAGATAGGCGCTCCAGAAAGTTGGCATTTGGTATCACAGATGTGTTAGGAGGCAAGTATGTGGCATCTGCTAAGATACCGACTTCCCATAGGATGGGAGGGAGCAAGGAAGGAGACTGGAAAGGAGGGACCAGGGACGCAGGCAAGGGGCCTGCAGAGAAATCCGTGCCAGAAGCAAAAGGAGATCTATCAGGACTTGTGCCTCCGCAGAGGCTGGCCCTGAGAACCAAGGTGAGTCCTCAGGCCTGGAAGACTCACACCCAGCCTGGGGACCCCGATCCTAGGCCACAGCAAGATGGCCTCACGGTGTCTTCTCTTCTTCCCTGCTTTGTTGGAGGCAGCTCTTTATCTAACAGGTTACATGTGTGCCTTTTCCTTTAAGAACAAATCCTCTCAAGACGGTGCTGGGCGTCTTTCAGTTATGCGTATTTCCCAGCATCCCTTGAATCTAGGTGTCCCCAAATGCCTAACCTTGATTAGGGCAAACAAACAGAAGTGATGCGGTGGCAGAATTATTATATTTCTGAAAGAAATTCAAGTTAAGACTGTGCAGGTTACCATAATGGAAGCAGTGTAGAGAGACAGGAACAGGCATTAGACCTACAAGGGAGGGTGGAAAAACGGATTTCGAAAACGGAGCTCAGGAGGAAGGATAAAGAAATGGGAATTGGATTGAATGAGGAACCAAGTTCTGCTCAAAGGGAGGGGGCCTTTCAAAAAGTCAGGTGGAGCTCATGGGGCAGAGAGAGAGGGAAAACGAGGCTGGATTCTAACTGCACGTTGTTCTGTGGTGGTAGGAACCAGGTCTTACAGCACAGTACGTTAGGCTAATGTTAGCCTCCGAAATATAACTGAACTTAGTACCTACATTTTGGTTTTATTTTACAGGAGTTAAGGAATTAGATTATATATTTCTTTAAGCACCAAGCCGATTCCTGCTCCTGTACCCCGCTGCTCATAACTCTACTTTTTAAATAGTTATTTTTCTTATATTATTTGAGATTATTCAACATAACTTAAATCAGGCAAGAAAGTGCAAGCATCTTAAGAGAAAGATGACTTTTTCAGACCTGAGTATACAGGTCTGCTTATGCACCCTCAATGAGTTTGTTTTCTATGTTAAGCTTGAATGCTATTTCTTTGAGAGGCATAGAAGACTCAGATTTTGTTTTGTTTTGTTTTGTTTTGTTTGATGGAATATCGCTCTGTCGCCCAGGCTGGAGTGCAGTGGCGTGATCTCAGCTCACTGCAACCTCCGCCTCCTGGGTTCAAGCGATTCTTCTGCCTCAGCCTCCCGAGTAGCTGGGACTACAGGTGCACGTCACCACGCCTGGCTAGTTTTTGTATTTTTAGTAGAGACGGGGTTTTATCATATTGGCCAGGCTGTTCTCAAACTCCTGACCCCATGATCTGCCCGCCTCAGCTTCCCAAAGTGCTGGGATTACAGGCATGAGCCACTGCACCCAGCCCTTCAGATTTTGAGACTCAAATTACTAGTGAAAATGAATTTTTAATATAATTCAATAAGCAGAAAGATTTGAGAAGTTATGTTGAGTGAACCGCCCTATAATATTTTTTCCCAATCAGCCTCACTCAGTGGAAACATTCTTGGTTGAGCAAACATGTAATGACAATCTACAGCACTGCTGACATCCTTCCTCTGTACTGGATGCTGAGTGAAGTGCTGCCTTCGTGGTTGGACATTTGCCACACACCAGATAGGAAAGCTGAGGCTTCCTGAAGTCCAGTGAGGTGCCAAGTTCCCATATCCCGGTAAGCAATGAGACAGGGTCTGAACTCAAACTGGAAGATCCTAAAGCCTGTTCAATTACCCCGTTCTATATTGCTTCATTTGAAGACAGGAAACGTGGGAAATGAAATCTGTGAACAGAAAATGTAGACTATAAGGAATTGCTTTGGCTGGCTGCAGGACTTCTAATTCAAACAGAGAGGACCTTAGAATTTGCAGAAATAAGTTCTGTTTTTGCAATCAGCCTTCTCTTGGGATTGTTAAAATATTTTTCCAGATATCCCTTAAGAGTAAAGATGGTACAAAAGTACACTTGTACTTTTTGTACAATAGAGGCAAAATATTAAATCAGGTATATTTCTTGGGAAAAGAGAACATTTTTGTTTTGTTTTCTAAATTATAAGATTATATTCATTAATTTAACTTATTCAGAAAGTAGAATCTCACTAAAGTAGTTGTAAAAAATAGCCTTTGAATTTTGCAATGTAGTTGTATCAGGATATTATAGATATTAAGTGACAATTCTTTGGATTATTAATTTTATTTGGTTAATTCTTTCAGTAAATGAGCTCTTATGTCATTTAGGAAATATATGCACTTATGGTTCCCCAAACTTGAAAATAACTAGTCAACGCTTTATTTCCTTCAATAGAAACAAAAGAAAACAAAAACTTCTCCAAATGTTTCATTTGAAAGTAGACCTTTTTAGGAAATTGCTAAAACTCCTAATCACAATCACGTGGCAATGTGGCAATAATTTAAAGATACTTTTCCCTTAAAGAAGAGTTATTAACACAACAATTCTACCAAAAACATACCTAAGTATCAAGACTGTTCTTCTGAGATGAAGAAAAGCAACAGAACTATTGCCTCCTCTTTTATAAGCAGCTCCCTGCACAGTCACCTGACCCAGGAGCTGGCTGAACCCCAGTTGTATCCATATACAATTCTGGTGTTCCTAAGCCTCTCATCTCTGGCCCTCTGCTACCTGACCTTTTTCCCTCTCCACTCCATACGCATTTATGCCTCATTTCATTTTATTTTTATCTCACTTCTCATTTACTTATCTATGTTTTCATTACAAAAAATATTTATTAGGCTGGGTGTGGTGGCTCACACCTGTAATCCTGGCACTTTGGGAGGCTGAGGTAGGTGGATCATGAGGTCAGGAGATCGAGACCATCCTGGGTAACACGGTGAAACCTCGTCTCTACTAAAAATACAAAAAATTAGCCAGGTGTGGTGGTGTGCACCTGTAATCCCAGCTACTCGGGAGGCTGAGGCAGGAGAATTGCTTGAATCCAGGAGGTGGAGGTTGCAGTGAGCTGAGATCATGCCACTGTACTCCAGCCTGGGCGACAGAGCAAGACTCCATCTCAGAAAAATAAAAATAAAAACAAAAAACCAAAAAGCATATATTGAAAATGTGTTCCATACTTTGTACTGGAATCCAGGAGGCGGAGGTTGCAGTGAGCTGAGATCACACCACTGCACTCCAGCCTGGGCGACAGAGCAAGACTCCATCTCAGAAAAATAAAAATAAAACCAAAAAACCAAAAAACATGTATTGAAAATGTGTTACATACTTTGTACTGGAATCCAGGAGGCGGAGGTTGCGGTGAGCTGAGATCACACCACTGCACTCCAGCGTGGGCGACAGAGCAAGACTCCATCTCAGAAAAATAAAAATGAAAACAAAAAACCAAAAAACATGTATTGAAAATGTGTTACGTACTTTGTACTGGAATCCAGGAGGCGGAGGTTGCAGTGAGCTGAGATCACACCACTGCACTCCAGCCTGGGCTACAGAGCAAGACTCCATCTCAGAAAAATAAAAATAAAACCAAAAAACCAAAAAACGTATATTGAAAATGTGTTCCATACTTTGTACTGGATGTGCTAGATGAGGAACAGCCCCAAGTGTGTGTCATTCCCTTCCCTGTGTCCGTGTGTTTTCATTGTTCAGCTCTCATTTATAAGCGAGAACATGTGATGCTTGTTTTTCTGTTCGTATGTTAGTTTGCTGAGGATGATGGCTTCCAGCTTCATCCATGTCCCTGCGTAGTATTCCATGGTGTATATATACCATGGTGTATATGTAGCATATTTTCTTTATCCAGTCTATCATTGATGGGCATTTGGGTTGATTCTATATCTTTGTTATTCCTACTATTCTTAAAAAGAAAAGACATTACACTCATGGAGTTTACATAAAATCTTAAGCACTCTGATATAAAATTGTCTGAGGGAAAACAATTTTGAAAGAAACATAGACACCTCCTTTCTAAAGTGCATGCATGCTCTAAGCTCCTGGCTAGTAAGAGCTCCACTGGAGTTCCATCTTCCGAAGGAGATGGTGCTAGGCCTGGGATGGTGGCTCACGCCTGTAATCCCAGCACTTTGGGAGGCTGAGGCAGGTGGGTCACTTGAGGCCAGGAGTTTGAGACCAGCCTGACCAACATGGCGAAATGCTGTCTCCACTAAAAATACAAAAAATTAGCCAGACATGGTGGTGCACACTTGTAATCCCAGCTACTCGAGAGGCTGAGGCGCAAGAATTCTTGGAACCCAGGAGGCAAAGGTTGCAGTGAGCCAAGATCGAGCCACTGCACTCCGGCCTGGGCAACAAAGGGAGACTTTGTCTTGAAAATAAATAAATAGGCCGGGCGCAGTGGCTCACGCCTGTAATCCCAGCACTTTGGGAAGCCGAGGAGGGCGGATCATGAGGTCAGGAGATCGAGACCATCCTGGCTAACACGGTGAATCCCGGTGAATCCCTGTCTTTACTAAAAATACAAAAAAATTAGCTGGGCATGGTGGTGGGCACCTGTAGTCCCAGCTACTCGGGAGGCTGAGGCAGGAGAATGGCATGAACCCGGGAGGTGGAGCTTGCAGTGAGCCGAGATCACGCCACTGCACTCCAGCCTGGGCGACAGAGTGAGACTCCATCTCAAAAAAATAAATAAATAAAATAAATAAATAAATAAAGGACCTGGCGCTGCACCATAGAAGATGCTCACAACAATATATTTGCTGAATTCATCTTTATGCAATGAGTATATTCTATAGATTTAAATCTTTCTGTTTCTTTTTTACATTAGTGCAACTTCTTCAAGTGTTTCCAAAGCCAAGTGACAGATCACACATTCCCGGTCGGTCTTTTCTTCCAGCACTATGTAAATGCAGGTTGAGATTATGATTCTCCTTGTCTCCAACAATTAAAAAAATTGAATAAAGCATAGAGTTTAGAGTCACCAAGGTAATACAGAACTATGCCATTAAAAAAGACAAAGTTCCTTGTTTTGTTTTCCAGCTATTCAGGAATAAAGATTTTATAATTTTTAGTTCATGAAGTATTCAATTCAGTTTTAAAATCTTTGAATAATTAAACAGTGGGAAAATTGTATATACATTATACTTATTAATGAAAGAACAACTAGTTAAAATATGAAAATGAAATCAATAATTTGTGTTCTACACTTTTTTCTCTTGTTCAATTAGTTATGTTTTAGGTCATGTTTTGATTTATTTATTTATTTACCTTTAGGATGCAAAATTGGTCATGAGAGCAATTTTAAAGTTAACTTAGTAAGACAGATTTAATGTTAAGGATGCAAATATTTCTTGAAGTATTATCCATTGGGAATTTGCCTGGCTTTATATCTGCAAGAATAGCCCTATAATCATGTGAATATTTAATCCTAATTATATGTCATACTTAAAAAAACCTATGCCCACTTCACAATTTTATGGACACTATACAAATCTCACAGGACCATGTGATAAAATAACATATATAACACCCTTCAAAAAGATTCTGAAAAATTAGCATTTAAAATAAGAGTCATCCCGAGCCAGTAGATGAATAGCTAAAGGAGCAGTTAATATTTCACATAGTAACACAGCATAATTTCCATTTCTATATAAAAAAGTATTTGCTGAATTTTATATCATCTGGTAATGTAAAAAAAACACTTAATTTTATTAACTAAAGCAAACTCCATATGTTAGCAAAAAGTTTTGAGATGTGAAACCAATGCTAAAACACAAACATAATAATGTTTTTCTCACATGGAGAAAATGTATAAGAAAGTTTTTTTTTTCTGATATAGTTCTAAAGGATTTATATCTAGCTCTAGGACTTAGGGGTCTTTAGGGTTCCAATGGGCTATTGGCTGACAGCTCTCAGATAGATTCTGGTTTATGGACTGTAATATGTACAACCAACCTCTTTGCCTCCTTCCAGAAGATGGGAATGGCTGCAGAAGCAAGAATTAAACCAACAGCCTGCTCAATCAGCCCCTCGATCTTTCCCTTCCTGTCTCATTAGGACCTTATTATTATCGTAATAATCAGGTTTCTCCCGTCACCTCCAAGCTCTCTTTCTACTGGGTTCATCTGTATACTTCAAACGTGTATACAGAGGAAGTTTTTACTAGAGCACTTGCTACAAGTTACTCTTCCATTTTTTCAATTTTATTTTAAAAATATTTCTTAAACATCTCTTCTCAAATTCGTGATTTTCGCCTACATTTTCATTGCAAGGTCAGCTGTTTTGTTTGGTGTTTTGGTCTAATCCTAGCCTAACTGAACTGTAAGAATAGTTTGCTTTTATTAATATGACTATAAAAGCAAGTCCTATTGTTTACAAAATATTAAAAGCAATGATGGCTTTCCTCAGCTTGCTGCTTTGCTTGTATTTGTCCACAAACAAAGTCTATCAAAACATCCTATGTGCTGCTCTCTACTAAGGGCAAGGAGGACACATGAGGCAAACGGCTGAAGAAGCTCATTTATCTGAAGATAAATCAGAAAGTGTGGAATGGCGCATTAACTGGGCATTGCTATGAAAAGAAATTGTAAAGACATAAAGCTCAGTTTAATGTTTTCCAATAGTTTTTGAATTTGAAAATGTAGGTGTTTTCCTACATGCTTATTTGATCATGGTATATTTTTTCATATTACTGACACCAAGGAGACTTCATTCCTACTAATTGTCTCCACTGCTCCTCCTGAAGTGGGAACAGCACTTACTCACACAGACTCGGAATCCTGGAGACGTGGACTCACACAGACGATGTGCAGTTGGCATGAGGCCTATAATTGCTTCCTTGCGTTGACATGACAATATACATTTTTAACTTCCAATGAGGTTGTCTACTTAGCTCTCTCCTGTGACAGGATTTCTGCCCATTTTCATTGACCAAAACTCACAGACTCATCCAAATAGAGCTAGAATCTGCTTTGGAGGTCATCTTTGCCTTTTGCAGACACATGTAGAAACAAAATTAACTGCACACAAGAATGAAGAAGGACTTATTTTGTGGGTTCCCCTTTCCTAGTCAAGAGATTATTAATGTGTCTGAAAAGAAAAATCAGAAAAACAAAACAAAACAAACAACTTTTATCATTAGAGAATTTTGCCAGGAGTGCTGTGATGATTTAGCTGGTTGGATTTTCCGTTTCTGAGACTCATTTCTAAGTGTGCGTGCTTCCATGTTTCCTTTTCTTGTCTCAGGAACATTAAAGTCCCAAATAACTGAAAACAAACAAACAAACAAACAACAAACAAGCAAAAGAAAAGATTCAAAAAGATTCTAGCCTGTAGATTCTTCTCAAATGTTCTTCCAATATTTTGAGTCGGACATGTTCTGAAAGGTGGATAATTATGAGGATTTTAGTACCTCGTTTATGCAAAGTATGTAAAGTAACCGATGCACCCTTCTGCAAGGTTCGTGTGTCTAGACTGTAACTGCAGGATTCTGCAGTTAACATGGAGGGCACCTTGTTTGTATTATAGGTAGGATGATGAGCAGTCTTTTAGAATTCTGGACTCAGATGCGTGAATATAAAGAGAACAGAAATTTCTTGTAAACTGACTTCTGTATTTGCACCCCATTGTAAAGCTATTACCAAGGACTGTTACACTTAAAAATATTTCAAAGCTCACTGAAAGGGCAAGCATTTACAAACTATAGGACACCCAGTGAAAAGTATTCACTCTGCTCCATCATTTAATTATCTTGTTAATGAGTCAAAAGTTTCTCATAGAGATATTTAGGTTAGATTCAATTGAAAAAAAAAGGAAAAAGAACAGATTATAG
Organism: Homo sapiens; assembly: GCF_000001405.40. Classification (NCBI taxonomy): domain Eukaryota; kingdom Metazoa; phylum Chordata; class Mammalia; order Primates; family Hominidae; genus Homo; species Homo sapiens. The sequence continues at coordinate 187,718,553 of NC_000004.12, read as the reverse complement.
TGAAAAAAAAAAAAAACACAAAACAAAACCAAGAGTATTAAGAGGCACTTACAGAAAACGATGACACAAAATGCCATCTAGGGTGTTAGAACTTTCTATTTTGTGATGCCTTCTCATTCCTCCTGCAATGCAACTGTCTAGGGTCCTGGTTCTGCCAGTCACTGCTGGAAACCATTTTTGCACTGCAGGCTTGTTCAAGCAAAGACTTACATTAGCACTGACCACAAAGAGTCAAAGGAGGAAAGAAAAACAGCTGATAATAACTAGGCACACAGTTTTCAATGACTTGTGACTTTATCATTCAAAAAAGATTATTTTACCTCTTTTACTGCAACGATAACCGAACACCTCACTTCCTAAATGGCCATAGGCCTTTTTGTTGCAGGCCATAAACCATTTAGTCCTGCACGTGGGCCTGAGAATTGAGGCTGGCACTGGCTCAGGTAATCATGAGCCTTCTGAACTCTAAATGCACGGTCCAACTCGATACAATCTGCTATTGTCATTTTATAAAGAAACAATCTGCAGTCAGAAAATGTAGTTTGTTCTACTAGATGGCCCTTCTTACAGCGGAAATAATTATTTTTGACTCAGCTTTAGAGCTAGTTATGTTATTTTACAGTCATCCTGATAACTATTCTATAATTTGCTTGGTTTTGATATTTTATTGGCACATAACAACTGTTCTCATATATTAAGTTTATCACTGTTTTACGGAGGCATGATTATATTTCAATTAGATTTGTATAAAATGCGGAATTGCAAATTATTTTCAAATAGAATGAAATGGTCTATATTCGTAGTTTCACCCATTCAGACAATTTGATTCATTTGACGTAATACACATGTAAAACAAATTGCTCTAGTAAATTTGCATATAAAATAGCATCAGTCTTAAGGCTCTAATATAAACAATTAGTTCCTCATTTTTATCTTGCAGAAACACTGGTTTCCCGCATAACAAAAATCGACCTGGTAAAGTTTGTATTTCACCATTATGTTAGGGAGGAAATGGTATGTAACAAAAATAGTCCTTTTCTGCCTAGCCATTCCATAATGAAAGGTCCCTAACCCATTTCAAATATATTTTAGAGATATCTACTTGCATGCGTTAAGATCAGAAATGCTACAGAAAGTTGCTATAATTCTGAGTTTAACTCATTATTCAGATGGAGCAAAGATTCTACTGGAAATATTATGTTTAATCTTGGATGAATATGCTTATCTTAATAAGCAGGTCTATAAAAGCTTAATTTTAAAACCACAAAGTTCATGCAATCCTTATTGAAATAAATTTATAATTTGCTCTTGATGGGCCTAAAAAAATCACAAATCCTGAATACAGTTTATTTTTTTTTAAATGTATTGGTATAGTAGTTTTTCTGTGTCTGAAATATGTCTACAATATCTGAGTCATTAAACAGAATATCAGGTTCATTCTCCCAGCATGTCAATAACCCCAGACCTTGAAGATGACTATAGAAGGCACAGTGGAATTTTGCAAAATCAGTTTCATTGTTGATTTTTCTCACCTGGATATGGTGTAGCATATTGTTATGGGGTGATTTTTGTTGTTGTTGTTGTTGCTGTTGTTTGTTTTTGTTTTTTTTTTTCCAAGACGGAGTCTCGCTCTGTCGCCCAGGCTGGAGTGCAGTGGCGCGATCTCGGCTCACTGCAAGCTCCGCCTCCCGGGTTCCCACCATTCTCCCGCCTCAGCCTCCCGAGTAGCTGGGACTAAAGGCGCCCGCCACCACGCCCGGCTAATTTTTTATATTTTAGTAGAGACGGGGTTTCACCATGTTAGCCAGGATGGTCTTGATCTTCTGACCTCGTGATCCACCCGCCTCGGCCTCCCAAAGTGCTGGGATTACAGGAGTAAGCCACCGTGCCTGGCGGATTTTTTTTTTTAACCATCTTTATATGATGACGGACAGCTCTGATCGTGCTTTAGAAATTATTATCAGGAAGTGTTTATAATGTTTAGTATGCCTCTCCAGAATACTTTCTCATCCTTCACAAATCTTAGCACAAAAAAAGACACCTAGTTAGTAGCCAACGAATATTTACTGGTATATTTATAGAAACCCAGTTGAGTATTGGGATCACAGATATGATACCAGAATAATTTTGAAGACTTAAACATTTTTTGTATGCCAGACATGACCAATACAGCAAAACTGTACTAGAATTCTGTTGCTTGATTTAACGTGTTTGAATAAAAATATATTTGGATTTTACATTGCTAGTGTGTGTGTGTGTGGGTTTATCTAGGACAGGGAGAGAAAGTGAAATAGATAAAGATTTCTATAATACCTGTAAGATAATATTTATTTCTCTTGTCCATTGAATAAAGTAATGAGCACCTTTAGGTGTAACATCTTTTCTGGTACAAATATCAGCTCTAAGATCTTCCATTAGATGATTCATGAACTGTCCAGAAACAGTACTGACTTCTTTTGAGAAATTCTTTTGCAAATATTGCTTTAAAAACATAAAACTCAAAAGAATGTGCTAACCGAGATTTTCAGTGTGAGACATTTAACAAATAAACTGACATTTCTTATGTAATATGTGGGTATCAAACAACATAATTAAATATTTAATTAGTTTTAAAGTACCAAGAAATCTCTAACTTAAAATTAAATTACATTTTTGCAGATGCTAATTAAAAATTATTAAGCAGTGATTAACATTAAGATAATTTCCCAAATTATAAGTTTAAAGAAAAGTATTTTATTTGTTGAGGGGTACTTTTTGTTTTATTTTACTGATTTACTCATTTATGTAAGGGCTACTTTCTATCCTCAGGATAAACTTGCTCTTTATTACATCATGGTTTTTATTGTTTGAAATACAGGAAGTAGTGTGTCTTCCCCATTAGCTACAGTCTGATGAGGCATATGATTTCCAGAGCTCTGTATTTTATAAGCTAGTTACTACTGACTTCCTAAAATGCACAGTTGTTGTGGGAGGAAAGGTTCATGGCAAGCAAATACTCCATCCTGTTTTCTGTTTTCACTGGGTCTAGAGAAATTGAAGGTCTGCTGTTTAAATACTTATTAAAAATTTTCAGCCCCCAAATTTACTTTCGTGGGACTTAAATAGCTAAAAATTTTCTCTGCAAGAAACAATTTGTAGCCAGGTAGCACTGATGATAACTTTGTGGTTGTTTATAATTAAGCCAGGACTCTCCCATGGCTTCACCAGTTACAGAATGTCAAGAGGATCTATTATAATCCAGAGTAAATAGCTTTTAAGTTCTTCTGGGATACCTTGTTGAACATGGGTAGGGAGGCAGAGATAAACTTATTGAGCATGTCTTCTCCTCTTAGATGGCAGGATTGATGTTTTTCATAAAACGGAGTCCTCGGCACAGGGCGTAATCAGCACCCACCTGCTGGTGATGGTGCCTCGTAGCAGCTTCGTGACATCAGATAAAAATCAATTAAGCTTTTTCCATAGCAGATGTTTCTCTTTGCTACCTAAAATTAAGCTAAAAACCCATTATGGTCATAAAAATCCCTTCCTGGATTATTATGTGTCATTTAAGACACAACATTAAGGGAAGCTTAAATATTTCTCAAGGATAACAGTTGACAATGAACTTCACATATTTTAACCCATCCGATTCCCTTTCCTCCAAAGTCACACATATTTAAAGAATATTTAGGCCAGGCGTGGTGGCTCACGCCTATAATCCCAGCACTTTGGGAGGCCAAGGCAGGAGGATCACTTGAGCCCAGGAAATTGAGACCAGCCTCTGCAACATGGTTAAAGTCTGTCTCTAAAAAAAAAAAAATACAAAAATTAGCCAGGCGTATGGTGCACACCTGTAGCCCCAGCTACTCGGGAGGCCAAGGTGGGAGAATCACTTGAGCCCGGGAGGCGGAGGTTGCAGTGAGCTGAGAACACATTACTGCACTCCAGCCTGGGTGACAGAATTAGACACGGTCTCAAGCAAACTAACAAACAAAAGAATATTTCATAGCAGAAAGTGGAATAAAAAAATCTAATTTTGCACAATTTTTATGACCAAATTGATTATAACTTCTCTTATTACCAAACTGAACAGAAAAAGAACTCTCTGAATCTTGTGAGGGAAGACTGATAAATGCTGAATCTGACAATGATAATATTCACTTGATTTGACTCACATTTCTACACAAGTAAATTGCCTCTTCATATTTCTCTAGCAGAACATCATGAGAATTAGTAAACCTAGAATAAATTGTTAGAAGATAGTGCAAGGAATAAATGTCACCAATTTGTGTTTATTTCTAAGCAAAATGGACATTTTAGAAAATAAACAAACACTGGGATGATCTGGGATCTCTGGGGTCAGGAAAGGAGGACCTTCTGTCTTAACCCACAATAACGCTGACAGCCAACATTTTGTGAACTTGAGGAAAAATTGGAACAGAAAGACTCTCAAAGGGACTTTGATGCCGCAGGAAATTAATAAGGTGAAGAAGTCTGTTCTTCCGTCACTATTTTTGAAGGGGATTACATCGATGTCATCTAAAAAACCCCAAGGCATACATCTTTAGCACCCATCAGTGAAGGGAAACTTCAAGGAGATTCCTCAGTCCTCTCTTCCCATTTGCCTATTATTTTTAACAGGTTAGATTGCCGGCTCTTGTTTGCTATTTGGTGTGAGTATCAGCAGCACTAGCACACTCAGGCACTGACACCTTCACGTACAAGTAACACGGGGCTCCGATCTCCGTGCTGGTGCTCACTGCTCATTCGAAACATGGGTGTAAATTGAATACTCAGGGAAAAAGATAGAATTTCTTACGATGCTATTGTAAAATCCCATGCTTGGCCGGGCACAGAGGCTTATATCTGTAATCCCAGCACTTTGGGAGGCCGAGGCGGGCAGATCACCTGAGGTCAGGAGTTCAAGACCAGCCTGACCAACATGGAGAAACCTCGTCTCTACGAAAATACAAAAATTAGCTAGGCATGATGGTGTGCGCCTATAATCCCAGCTACCCAGGAGGCTGAGGCAGGAGAATTGCTTGAACCCAGGAGGCGGAGGTTGCAGTGGGCCGACATCACGCCATTGTACTCCAGCCTGGGGAACACAGCAAGAGTCTGTCTCAAACATAAATGAAATGAAATGAAATGAAATAAAATAGAATAAAATCCCATGTTCCCCCAGACAAGTTGCACTTGAGAAATCAATCAATCTCTCCTTGCCTGCAGAAAGAGCACTACTAAACGTACAATGTTTACATTTTGCCCTATTTCCTTCACGCACTGGCATATCACCCTCTGACTGCAACCAGTCAGCATCCATGCTGTAAACAAACAGACTCTGGACCTAGTATCCAAAATAGTAAGAAGTTTTCCAGGATTTCCAAGGATGAAATAATAATACTCATGTAAAAAGCAAGCCTCTGTTCAGAGTCATGAGTCTAATTCTTTGTTATTCTTCTATGATAACACACAAAACGGCAATTGCTGAATGAAAGAGCAGTGGAGGCACAACGAAGGAACTCGAAGTGATTACTGCAGGAATACTTCCATGAGATCAGTACATTATTATGACTTGGCCTGGGAATTTTGAAAAGAAAGAATTTGACCATTTCTCTGAAAGCTGAAAGGCTGCCTAAACCACATTTAACCAATCAGAATATGGATTGGAAATGTGTTCTTGATGTCAGTGTGTGGAACACTGAGCAATCGGCCAAATGTGCTATGATGTGCTTATAATGACTTTCCCCCAGGAACTTACGACCTGTCAATTGCAGCCAATTTGTATTGTCTTCTCTAGAATAGATTATCCCAGGATAGCTCTCATAGATGCTTTGATGAATTTTCTTTGTTTTGACTCCAGCAACACTGTGTGTTTGGGCATTATTTTGTTTCCCCTTTCTTGTTAAAAAGAAAACGAACCCATAATGAACTTTCTTAAATGTAAGCATGCTACTGTTTCCATTCAGCTGAACTAATAAAATGAGTATTAATAGGAAACGTTTTGATGGATTCCTTCTAAATGATGATGATTATTGGATGTCTTTAAATGTATTTTAAATGGGGGATGGCGTGCTATCAAAAACCTCTTTTGCTACTTTCTGTGTTTGTGAATAGATAAGCTCAACAACAAAAAGGGAAGTATTTTTTTCTTTGTAATTTATAATAAAATAAAACCAGATTGTTTTGACATTTTTACTATTTTTTTAAAAATAGCTGTCTGAAAATAAAACAAAACTAAACCCTTCTTTTATATCCATATTTTGAGGATTCATCTTTATAGAGTTTCAGACTGGTTATTAATAAATTTGACAAAATTTATTGTCAATATATATGATTTTTCGGCAGAGCAAAATTTACTAATTACTATTTAACCAAAATGCTTTTTAAATAATATTTATCCTCAGACTAATCCCCAGGATTCTAATTTTTTACCAAAGAACCATGTAGACAGAGCTGTGATCACAGTGATTTTTGTTTACCCACATTTTAATTGATTACTTTGCTGCTCTCTAAAATATTCATTGAGTGTAATTTGTTGCTGGCCATATGTACACAGTAGTGTTGTCCAGATCTCAAAGAGATCAGAAAACATCTGAAAGTAGTGTTGCTTTTACCTGATGACACACACTATGAATTCCCGGGGGACACATGAGGAGTGAATGGCACTGGTGTAGGTCATCAGCTGGCCAGCCAACTTCACCCGGAGAACACGTCCCAAGCTCCCAGGCCTCCAGTTCCACTGCTCCCCTGAGGTCTTGTCATCAGTGTCTTTCCTCTATGATGCAATACTCTAGTCTCTGGTCTCCCTGATGTGACTTCTGTCCAATTCTGTCAAAAACACAAATAAGGTCTTATCACAGCCTGGAAACTCCTCCAAGGACTGGCATCTAAAATGCTTGTACAGCCCACAGGCCACTGCAGAGTTGGGTGCTTTCTTGCCTCCCTAAATTCATCTCCTATCACCCTCCTCCATTCTCTGTGCCAGAGCTCAGTTGGCCTCCCCTTTTCTCAAATATACTGAGCTTCTTGCTTCCTCCAGACCATTGCACTAGCTATTTTCTCTGCTTGGAAATCTTTTTCTCTAGAATTTGCCATGGCTTACTCTTTTTTAGGACAATATTGTTTCAGTTCAATGTGATCTTTTGAGGGCCTTTGCTCATCACTCAACCTAAAATAACACCCCACTCAATGACGCTCCATTAGAAGCTATCATAAGACTCAGTTTTATTTTCCTCATACTGTTTATCACATGGTCTCTAGGTTTTCATTTTGCTGTTTATTTGTTTACTATATATTTCCTCCTCTGAAGTAAATTTCAGAAGGCTTTGTCAATCCTGTATTCCAAGTGTTTAGACCATTGTCCTGTACAGAATAGTTTTTTAAAAATTTTTGTATTGATACATAATAGATGTACATATTTTCAGGACACGTGATAATTTAATACATTGATAAAATTTGTAAAGATCAACTCAATATAATTGAACTATCCATCACCTTAAATATTTGTCTTTATTTTAGAAATATTCAAATTATTTTCTTCTATTTTGAAGTATACATTAGATTATTGTAAACTATAGTCACCCTACTGCTCTGTCAAATACTGGGTCTTACTTCTTCTGTCAGAATGTATATTTGTACCCATTTATCAACCTCTCTTCATACTTCCCTCCCCACTACCTTTCCTGGGCCCTGGTAACCACCAATACACTCTTTGTCTTCATGAGATTTACCTTTTGAACCCCCACAGATGCATGAGAACATGAGATATTTGTCTTTCTATGCCTGGCTTATTTCATTTGATATAATGACCTCCAGTTTCATCCATGTTGCTGCAAATGACAGAATTCTTTTTTATGACTGAATGGTATTTAATTATGTATATGTACTACATTTTTGTTATCCATTCATCTATTGATAGACACATAGGTTGATTGGCTTTGTGAATAGTGTTGTAATCAAGATGGGCATGCAGATGTCATCAATATACTAATTTCCTTTCTTTTGGATAAATACCCAGCAGTACAATGGAGCTGGATCATATGGTAGCTCAGTTTTTAGGTTTTTAATGAGGAACCTCCATACTGTTGTCTGTAGTGGCGGTACTAGTTGATATTCCCACCAACAATGTACGAAGGTTTCCCTTTTCTCTAAATCGTTACCACTATGCATTATTGCCTGTCTTTTTGATAAAAGCCATTTTAACTGGGATGAGAGTATGTCTCAGTTTTAGATCACATTTCTCTGATGATTAGTGATGCTGAACATTTTTTTCATATACCTGTTGGCCATTTATCTGTTTTCTCTTAAGAACTAACTGATAAGATGTTTTGCCCATTTTTAAACTGGATTATTGTGGTTTTTTTTTTTTTGCTGTTGAGTTGTTTGAGTTACTTATATATTCTAGTTATTAATATTGTCACATGGGTAGTTTGCAAATTTTTTTTTTTTTTAGTTTTTTAGACAGAGTCTCTCTCTGTCGCCCAGGCTGGAATGCAGTGGCATTATCTCAGCTCACTGCAAGCTCTGCCTCCCAGGTTCACACCATTCTCCTGCCTCAGCCTCCTGAGTAGCTGGGACTACAGGTGCCCATCACCACACCTGGCTAATTTTTTTTTTGTATTTTTAGTAAAGACAGGGTTTCACCATGTTAGCCAGGATGGTCTCGATCTCCTGACCTCTTGATCCGCCCGCCGCGGCCTCCCAAAGTGCTGGGATTATAGGCGTGAGCCACCGTGCCTGGCCTCAAATTTTTTTTTTTTAATTATTTTTTAGATTGTCTCTTCACTTTGTTGATTGTTTCCTTTGCTGTGCAGAAGCTTTTTAGTTTGATGTAATTCTGTATCTCTAACTGTGCTTGGGTTGCCTGTGCTTTTGAGATCTTACACAAAAAATATTTGCCCTGACCAATGTCCTGGAGCATTTCTCCATTGTTTTCTTCCGGTAGTTTTATAGTTTCAAGTCTTAGATTTAAGTATTTAATCCATTTTGATTTGGTTTTTGTATATAGTGAGAGACAGGGGTCTAGTTTCATGATTCTGTACATGGTTATCCAGTTTTCCTACCATCATTTTTGAAAAGACTCTGTTTTACCCATTGTATATTTTTGGTGACTTTGTAAAAAATGAGTTGGTTGTAAATGTGTGGGTTGATATCTGGGTTCTCTATTCTGTTCCATCAGTGCATGCATGAGTTTTTATGCCAGTACCATGTTGATTTGGTTACTATAGCATTGTAGTATATTTTGGAGTCAGGGAATGTGATGCCTCCAGTTTTGTTCCTTTGCTCAGTATTGCCATGGCTACTTGGTGTGTT